>NC_000010.11:130039628-130351108 GCF_000001405.40 Homo sapiens | reverse complement strand
TCAGCCACAGCCCAGGCGTCCTCTCTGCAGAGCCTTCATCCACCAGACTGTTTGGATACTTTACTTGCTGTGAGCTTCTCACAGGTAAGAATCACTCCTCCTTCAATGCGTCTTCCCAGCACCCAGTCCAGATGTTCACACCAAGTAAACACTGGAGAATCATTCACTGGAATTGAAGGGGGGGGGGGTTGGCAGCTATTAAACAGAGGGCAAGCACACCCCGTGCCAGGGAGGCCCCAAATTCAGGGAGACCCCAAAGCCAGGCTCTGCACCAAATGGGCCCCTTCCTCAGCACTTGTGTAGGGACTCCTAACAGAACAACTTCCAACAGAAGGAACAGACCAAGTTCAGCTGCCCCAGTATCCACCGCTTATGCTCACAGGCTAAATGCTAGGCGCCATGTCATATTTTCCACAAATGTGTTCAAAGTCTACATTTAGAAAGTGGATTATGTTAGAAAATTCTGCTCCCAAATGTTTGAAAAGTACAGCTATAGATATAAGACAGTGACACATGTCATTGTCAGCAAAAAAAATCAAACAACCATTTGGAAACATCAGCTTTCAGCTTTTCCCTGCTCTCCCCAGAGCACAAGTTCTTCCCAAAAGGTAGTTCCTTACTTGGTTAAACCATATCTTTACTCTGAAGGTTCAGATTAAATTATTTATTTTTTTCAGAAATGTATCTTAGCATATTCTAAGACCCACTTGTCATCATAGGAAAGGTCAGCAAATTTAAAATACATCCTTTTGTAAAAGGAAAATTATGTTTAAGTTGGAAAACTAGTTTAACCACAAAATATTTCATAATATTCCATTTCATTGCGAAGTATTACAAAGTGTCTATTCCAAAGTCCTTGCTTTGATAGAAGTAGTCACGTAATTGATTTTCTGTTTCTTTTGCACACTGCTAGTCTCAACCTTTTAGCCACGCTACTTTAACTTGATGCTAAGGATGAACCTCACACACACTGCTGACCTCTGGAACTTTGTCCTGGAATCCTTCGCTTCGCATTTCTGGCTCAACTTACCACTTCATCTGGGACTATACTTAGACTGGCTTTCCTCAAGCATTGTTTTTATTTAAAATCTGCTCGGGGCCAGGCACAGTGGGGCCAGGCGTGGTAGCTCCTGCCTGTAATCCTAGCACTTTGGGAGGCCGAGGTGGGTGGATCACCTGAGGTCAGGAGTTCGAGACCAGCCTGGCCAACATGGTGAAACCCCGTCTCTACTAAAAATACAAAAATTAGCTCAGTGTGGTGGTGAATGCCTATAGTTCCAGCTACCCTGGCGGCTGAGGCAGGAGAACCGCTCGAACCCGGGAGGTGGAGGTTGCAGTGAGTTAAGGTTACGCCACTGCACTCCAGCCTGGGTGACACAGTGAGGTTCCTTATTGACTCAAGAGAATGGATTCTTCATGTATTTCTACATTAAGACAGATTATCACAAACGCCATAAGCCAAGATGTATGAGATTCAGTCATATTTTATGCACCTGCATAGCATGGTTCCCACAAATGTATAATTTCTTCCAATTCTTGTTTGCTCACATCTTCATCAGTATCTCTTATGTACCCTCCAACAGTATTTGCCAACAAAGAATACATTTGGGTTTGTTGCCATATTGTTTCATGAGACTTGTTTCAGCCATTTTACCTCAGCAGGAAGAACAAACCTTTACCAATAGTATCATGAATTACTGTCTTTCACGATGAAACCACAAAACAGGCTTCCAAGTGTATATCAATAACTTAAGTAAAATTATGTAAAATCACAAACTGAGTATTGCAGGATTTCAAAAATCTCTAATTTTGTAGGGCTTTATCCATATTCTTAAATATTAATTTTTAAATGGCTTGTGTGTCCTGTGCTTTTATTGATATATAAAGGCATAAAATTCAGTTAGGTTGAGGACCGTATCACTAAGAGTAGTGGATGTAAACTTCCACTTCTAGCATGATGGGGAAACTAATACAAAAATTGCCCTCCCATCATACAATGAGAAAACGGGACAGATATATAAAACAATAGTTTTCACTTGTTAGAAAACAGGCAGGGCATCCTCGAGTCTGCTGCGGAAGACTAAGCTACATATATACAGGGTAAAATTTCACAAGGCTGGGAGAAGAAAAGCAGGTGCGCTGTAAGATGAACAATGCTCAGAGTGTGCATAGAGGTAGGAGCCACTCGAGTTCCAAAGAGCTGAAGTGGAGAGACATCATTAAACACCTAGTGAGTTCAGAAGAGACCTCAGATATGCCAAGCCTCAGTCATAGGGCTGAACTAGCTTTAGAGTGCAGGTTACCCCCTCTAACAAGCTTAAAAACAAGCCTTGAGAGAATAACATTGATTGACAAGTAACTTAGTTGCATGCCGGAATATAGTTCAACACTCTCTAAGGGAAAATGACAAAATTGAGCCCTCAGTAATGTGGTATTTAAATTTCCAAGTATTCAATCAAAAAGTAACTAGACATGTGAAGAAGCAGAATAATGTGACCCATTACAGGGAAAAGGCAGCCAATAGAAACAGACCAAGAAATCACAGAGGTGATAGAATTAGCAGTTAGACCTATAAAACCTATTGTAAATAGGATCAAAGCCGGGTGCAGTAGCTCACGCCTGTAATCCCAACACTTTGGAAGGCCGAGGCGGGTGGATCACCTGAGGTCAGGGGTTCGAGACCAGCCTGGCTAACACGGCAAAACCCCGTCTCTACTAAAGATACAAAAATTAGCTGGGCATGGTGGCGAGTGCCTGTAATCTCAGCTACTCGGGAGGCTGAAACAGGAGAATCACTTGCACCTGGGAGGCGAAGGTTGCAGTGAGCTGAGATTGTGCCACTGCATTCCAGCCTGGGTGACACAGCAAGACTCTGTCTCAAAATAAATAAATAAAAATATGAACTTCATAAGGAAAAAATAGAAGATATAAATATGAATAAAATAAAACTTCTAGACTAAAAAATACAGTATCTAGAATGAAAAAAAAATCCCTTATAGATTTCACAGCAGGTTAGAGTATTACAGAAGAAAATATCTATGAACTTCAGGACATGCAAGTAGAAATTATGCAAACTGAATTTAAAAATTAAACAAACAGAATTGAGCTTCAGGAAGTTTTGAGACAATACCAACAGGTCTAAAATATGTGTAAATGGAGTAGCAAAAAGATAAGGAAAGCAGAAAAAAAAAACAGCAACTGAATATTTTCCAAATTTAATGAATACTACAATATCCTAGTATCTCAATGAAAATGAAAAATAAACACAAAGAAAACCAAACCAAGACACAATGATGTAAATTGTTAAAAACTAAAGATAAAGAAAAAAATATTTTTAAATATCTACAAAAAGAACCATATTATGAATGAAAGAGGGTACATCACCAAAAAGCCTATATTATAGATAATAAAAGAATAATATAATACACTTTGTGTTCAAACTGTCAAAAATGTAGACAGAATAGAAAAAGTTATTAAAAGACACAAATTACCAAACTGACTTGAGAAGAAATGGAAAATCTGCATAGTCCCATTCTTATATTTGTTAAAGAAATTCAACTTATAATGAGAATTACCCCATTAAAAAAAACCTCAGTACGAGATGACTTCACTGATGAATTCTATCACTTAAAGGCAAATAAGACAAATATTGCCAAAAATATTTGAGAAAAAAGAATATCATTTATCAAACCATTTTGTGAAGCTAGCAGAACTCTGATATCAAAACCAAAGATATTAGAAGAAAGACAAAATATTCAGATAACTATCACCTGTGATACATGATGCAAAATTCTTTAACAGAAGATTCTACTTCTACTCAAAATGAATAAAAGGGCCTAGCTTTACTCACCTGCTTGAATCAACTAAAAAAAAAAAAAAACAGACAAAACGTATGAAACAATGGTATACAAGACATTGGGTATCAGACAACAAAAAACAATAACCCACAGACAATAAGAAAATGAAACAAGCCCTATGATTGTCCCGCTTACTGCTTGGAGAAAGTTTTCAGGTCTCAGGGCAAGGTGGTTTTCCTGAATTGAGGAGATGTAGCTGAGAGCCTGGGGAAACCAAGGCAGCTAGAATTCACAGGGCAGAGTATCATAGAGGAAAGAGCTTCACAAAGAGAGAACTCAGGAGATCAGCAGAGTCTCCCTCAAGTATTCAGTTGAACACTGACCAGTGCATCTGCGTGAGGACATACTGAAGCTGGGGAAATAGCCATCTGTAGGTTAGAGGAATAGGTTTCAGTGCACACCAAGGGACTGGAATAGTACCTGTTTCCAGCAGCCTAAGTTGAAAACTCTATCATTGAGAAGGCATTGGTTGTACTACCAAGAGGCATCTTGACTCAACAGTGGGAAAAAACTAACCCTAGACTAAATGTAGAGTCCCAGATAACAAAGCTTAAGAGAAAGATCCAAAAAATCAAACTGTTTACAAGTAAATTAACCACATCCAAGAACAAAACTCAAAATTATTTATAGGATAAAAAATATTCACCACCCTACAAGATGCAACTCACAGTGTCTGGCAACCAAGCAAAAATGACCAGGCATGTAAAGAAGCAAGAGAGCACTGCCCACAATGAGGGAAGAAAAATCAATCAAACCTGACCCAGAATTGACACCGAGGGTATAATTAGTACGTAAAGACATTAAAAGAATGATTGTGACAGTATTACATTTACATACCTTAAAGAAGCTAGAGGAAGGATTGAGCATGTTAAGTACAACCTAATATATGATCCAGTCTTTCTACTCCCAGATATTTACCAAAGAGAAATGAAAGCACTTGTCCATGAAAAGAGTTCCACACGAATATCCCTAGAAGCTTTCTTTATAATAGCCCCAAACCAGAAACAACCCAAATGTCTATCCACGGGCAGATGGATAAACAAACAGAGGTATAGGCATGCAATTGAATGCTTCTCAGTAATAAAAAGAAATGCAACATTGATATATATCACAACCAGGATGACTCTGAAAATAATTTCACCTAGTGAAATAAGCCACACACAAAAAATCTCCTGTATGTTTTCATTAATACACAATTCTAGAAAATACAAACTATCATAACAGAAAGCAGATCTGTGGTTGCCTGGAGAAGGAAGTAGTATAAATCAAGTAGATGAAGGGGAGGAGGGATTGCAGAGAAGCATGAGGACACCCTGGGGTGATCTAAGTGTTTATTTTTGTGATTGTGGTGATGTTCTCAGGGGTATGTACATATGCAAAGATTTAGCAAATATGCACTTTAACCATGTGCAATTTGTTGTATGTCAACATACCTCCTTAAAGCTGTTAACATTTTCTTAGCCAAACATTCAATGACATAAACGTTTACAGCATCTTTATTTGTAAAAGACAAAAACTGGAAACCACTCAGATGTCCTTCCCAGGGTGGTTAAACAAGCTGGTGCATCTACACCGTGGGACACTACTCAGTGATAAAAGAACAAGGTACGGATGAGTAAAGCACATGGACAAAGCCAGAGAGTTATGCTCAGTGAAAACCTCAGTCCCAAAAGATTGCATGTCATGTGACTCCATTTATATAACATTCTTTAAATGACATATTCTAGACTTGCAGAGCAGATAAGCTATTGCCAGGGGTTAAGGAGGGATGCGGACAGAAAGCTGTGGGTATGGCAATTAAAGCGCAACAAGAGGGATCCTAACAGAGCTGGAAATGTTCTGAATCTTGGTGGTATGGATGTCAGTGTCCCAGTTGTGATATCACACTGTAGTTTTGCAAAATGTGACCATTGGGTAAAGCATATGTGGGATCTCTGTGCATTATTTGTTATAATTTCATGTGAATCTACAATTACCTTAAAATAAAAAAGTTTAATAAAAAAAAACAAAAAAATACTGTACCTACAGTAATAACATGACCTGGAAAGCAAGTGAAAGCCCTTGCCTAAAAGAAAAAATATGCAGGAGGGAGGGCACTGTGCACCCTACTATGCCACACAGTAGAGTTTTGACAATTCCTGAGGTTATACACATTGTCACAGAAACACAATAAGAGTGTTGGTAGAAGGTGATCTTTAAATAATTTCAAATTTGTGTCTCTTTCCCAATCTACACTGCCTGAAGCAAAGTATGATTTAACATTTTTTAAATAAATTCTGTAATTATCTTGAAAACAGAAGAATCTTATTACTTTTCTTTATGTTAAAATATTATTTAATGTCAACATATAAAATATTCCACAAATTCATGATTCTCCTTTGGAGATCTTCATGTTTTAATCATCCATGAGCCTCAAAAAATAAAAGAAGGAGAAAAGGAATATAGTTCTAAATATAAACGCCAGAGTTATAAAACTGCTAAGAAAAATTCTAGAAGAAAATCTTTGAGACTTTGGGAAAGGCATAGTTTTCTTAGATAGGACCCAAAAAGCATGAATCAAAAAAAAAAAAAAGAAAAGAAAGTTGAACTTTATTAGAAATAAACTAATTTTTAGAAATATACCCCTAAGAAAATGAAAGGCAAGCCACAGATTGGAAAAAAGACTCGCCATGCATATATTTGGCAAAAGGACTTGATCCAGACCATATCAAGAATTATTTCAATCTAGTAAGACAATATTTTTAAAAATAAACGCAAGATCTGAACAAATCCTTTTTTTTTTTTTTTTTTTTTTTTTTGAGATGGAGTCTCGCTCTGTCACCCAGGCTGGAGTCCAGTTGCACGACCTCAGTTCATTGCAAACTCCGCCTCCCGGGTTCACGACATTCTCCTGCCTCAGGCTCCTGAGTAGCTGGGACTACAAGCACCCGCCACCACGCCTGGCTAATTTTTTTTTTTTTTGCATTTTTAGTAGAGATGGGGTTTCACCGTGTTAGCCAGGATGGTCTCGATCTCCTGACCTTGTGATCCACCCGCCTCAGCCTCCCAAAGTGCTGGGATTACAGGCGTGAGCCACCGCGCCCAGCCACAAATTCTTTACAAAATAAGATAAATGAATGATCAAGAAGCACTTGAAGAAAGCTCAGCATCATTGGTCATGGGGAAAGACATACCAAAACCATAACGAGACGCTGCCACGGACATATTAGTGTGGCTAACATTAAAAAGACTGACAATTCCAAATTTTAACAAGGATATGGGGAAACCAACTAACTCTCATCTATTATTGGCAGAGCGTGAAATGGTACAACCACTTTGAAAAATAGTTTGGCTGTTCCCTGCCTGCACTTACCAAGAATTTCCATTCCCAGGTATTATCCAAGAGATTGAAAAATTAGGTTCACACACACACAAATGTGTCCATGATTGTTTGTAACACTTTATTCATAGGAGCTAAATCTGGGTACAAAAGTTCCATCAACAGATGGGTGAAAGAACAATTGTGGCATAGCCTAACACTGGAACACTACTTCACAGTAAGAAAGACTTTATCTATCTATACACACAACAGGAACGAATCTCCAAGTCCTTATGCTGAGCGAAAAAAGCCAGACACAAAAGAGGACAAACTGTGTGATTCCATTTGTATGAAATTCATCACACGGACAGAAGAGAAAGCAGATCAATATTCACCTAGGGCTAAAAGTGGGGAAGACAAAGAAACAGGGAAGAACCCTTTGGGATGAAGAAATCATAACATATCCTGATTATGGGGGCGATTACCCAGGTGACTTGTCAAACACATCTACAGATTATTAAAATGAGTGCATGCTGTTCTATGTAAACTACCCCTCAATACCACTGATTTTCAAACAGAATAGAGAGTGTAAATCCATATCTCATGTAGGCTTCTTAATAAGGCTGACACTTTTTGCCCACTTCTTGTCAAACCCAGTTAGAATCTTTTTGATGTGTCTGGCTGTTTTTACTATTTAATGTAGCTGGTGAAGAACTTGTCCTGGGCACGGGAAGTTCTGTTGGTTTTCTTGTTGCTAGCACCTGTTTGCATTACGTGTAACATCTTCAATCTCCAATCTTCTTCTCAGGACTCTTTGCAACCCACTTTTTGAAGGGAATGATTTCCTTAGACCTAGATGAGGTGATCCATAAACCCATCCTCCTGGCACGTGTGAGAAGCAATGCTCTGCAGTCCACTGGGAGCAAGCCACACCTGTTGTTCGTCTTTTACATTCTCTACGTGGGGAACTCCTGCCTGGAAACTCCAGATGAAATGTGGTTTTCTAAAATAAAGACTAAGGGAGGATATCCATCTGCATTCTTGTTGGTTAAAATTAATTTATTTTAAATGAAAAATAATTAGAAGGATATTCTATATAACAATCTAAAATAATCACCTACCATGTGCTTCCCACATCCCACTCTGCAGAGTCCAGTCTTGAAGGCTGGGGAAACTAGGGAGGCAGCAGGATGGAAAGAGGGACGACAGCGTGGCCACGCCCTGGCAGGAGGGACCTCTGCTGCTCAGCTCTACAGCCTGTCCACCTCATCTGCTTCATTGCATTAATTTGAACTTGATGCTGTCTGGAAATATTCAGGATATGTGCTGAGACCACAACGACACTCTGAGGTGTCCCCAAATGGTCCAGCTAGGAAGGGGGAGCATCAGAAAATCTCTACTCAGAGTCACCTTGCAATCTCAGTTTCCACTTTCCCAAGCATTTCACCTTCATAATTTTATGTATTCACTTTCTTGTCTAATGTTTACAACAGCCATGGGAGGCAGGTAGGGAAACAAATATAATTTCCACTTACACGTGAGCCCGCCAAGCCAGGAAGGAGCCAGGTGAGCATGGAGGGCACTTTCTTCGACAGAGCTCTGGGACTTGTGAAGTTCTTTGCTAGTTCTGTCTGTGTCTCACTGTCTTCAGGAGACAAACACACACAGGCACACGCATGTGCATACACATATATGCATGCAAGCATACGTGCACACACTAACACACATCCCCCACAGTCACGTCTGGTACTACCTCCTAGCCTGGACCCATCTGGGCTTCTCCACCAGAACTTCTCAGCCCCAACTCCTGTCTCCTTGCAGCTTCACACCTGTATGCTCCTTCTTCTTGCTACATCAGCAGCTGGCAGCCAGCCTCTACCTCCATTTCATCCCCTCTACACCCCACTGCAAGTTGGGGGACACTGAGGGTAAGTGGGAATAGGCAGAGGTTTGCCTCCTTGAAAGGGTGCGTGTACCTCCTGGTTTTGTCCATCTTCCTATTCCAACAGAACTCCATTCTTGTAGCCAGAGGGGTGTGGACTTTGGAGAACAGAAAATCCCTTAGGGAACAACAGCCTTTCAGCAAAGAAGCCCACATTTTCCTGGGAATGCCTTGGCTCAGCCCCTTCTTATAGGAGGCTGTGATTAGTGTTTGACCCCAAGATGGCCAAGACACTGATGCTCCATCCATTCCCACGGCCCCCATCAACCTGGAGACAGTTTTAGAGAAAAGGAAATTCCCAGCAAATGGCTGCGTTTGGTTTCATCACGAACTCCTGACAAGGGCAAACTTTGAATTGGAATCCCTCCACCTCCAGCCTTCCATTGTATGCCCAAGAAAATACAGCAGAAAATCCTGGGAGACAACTGTGGGTTCAAATTGTATTCAGGGCTGATTCCCAAGGACCGGGACTGTGGACTGTTAACACAGCCAGAGGGCCTCCTAGCGGCAGGGAGCAGCATTTTCTGCTGGCAGAAGTGCTTTGCACACAGAGGACCTGGTCCTTCTGTCTACAGAGCTGAGAGAGCCTCTCTCCGCTTCAATGCAGTGCTAATCCATCATTTCCAACCCTGGAGACACAGACGGGAATGTCACCCCTCTCCTTCCAACTCAGGGTATAGTTTAACTTTCTTCTAAATGTGACATTTTTTCTAATGTCACATTCAGAAAGAGAGAAAAAGTCCCCATAACAGTTGTTGCCTGTTTGCGTCTGTCCCTGGCCTTAGAAAAGGATCCCTGAGGGTGAACCTAGTCAGGGAGAACTCCAAAGAGCAGCCTGGGCCACAGCCTATCGGCAGGGCTCAATGGAAGGGTGGCCAGGGGCTTCTTTGACCTGGAACCAGACTCAGGGAGACAGCCAGGGCATGCAGCCATCCCCCAACCCCCACAGGGGGTACTGAAGGCAAACGAAGCTCAGAGCCAGCCCAACCGTGATGCCCCCTCCCCAGGACATGTCATGCTTGGGGATACCTCTCAGCCAGGCTACAATTCAACCTCTCAGTTTGGAATTAGAACAATTCAAGGGAAGATGTAGAAGCAGAGGGCGGTGGGCTAAATGGTGGACCCCAAAAGACGTGTCCACATCCTAACCCCCATACCTGTGAACATGGCCTGATTTAGAGATAAGGACTTGGCAGATATAATCATGTTAAGGAATCAAAATGAGATCCTTCTGCATCTAGGGCGGGCCCTAAATCCAATGACTGGGTTAGAAGAGAAAGGAGAGGGAGTGGTGACAGACAGCAGGGGAGAAGGCCCTGGGAGGATGGAGGCAGAGGCTGGAGGGAGGCAGCTATGAGCCAGGGAACGCCAAGGCCTGGGCTGACCTCCAGGAGCAGGGGAGAGCCATGGATTAGCTTCTCCCACAGAATCCCCAGAAGGAACCAACCCTGCCAACACCTTGATCTTGGACTTCCAGCTTCCGGAGCTGTGATACAGACAATAAACTTGGGCTGTGGAAGCCACCAGTCTGTGGTATCTGTTACCGTAGCCCTAGGAAGCCACTGTGGAGTTGAAAACCATTTGAGATGTGAAGTCCGATCAGGAACCTGCCCTCTGGAAAGGTCTGTGCCGGCACTGCCATGACTGGAGGATACAGCAGCCCATTTCTCAGCAGGGAACGTGACCTTTGACTGGCCATTTCATTTCTAGAAGGTCAAAGGAAGCGATTGGGCATGTTTGCAATGCCCTAAGAACAAGGGTGTCGCTGCACCACTTGTGTACGGATGCAAAACAGTGGGAGGGCCACGGCCTCCTCCCCACCTGCTCAAGCAGAAGCCTGAGACCCCCTGGTCCTTCCAGGACCCTCTCCTCGAAGTCTGTAAGCTCCAGCCAGTTCCAGCTGCTGCAGGCAGTGACTCCCAGGCCCACTGCACGTATAAGCCTGGTCTTTCGGGGAGCACAGGGACCCCACCTGTATCCCACTCAGCCTGAGACAGTCCAGCTGGCACCTGCTGACCAGCTATCTCATCCAGTTTAGCTTTTGTCCCAGAATTTTTAAATTTGAATTAAGTAGTATTAATAAGGGCAGCTCAAGAGAAGTCTAGATGGGCTGGGTAGGCCCTGTCTCTGCTCCCAGCCTCTGCTGGGGCGACGCCTCATGGTTCAAGAGACATAGGTATGCTGGTCAGTGCTCCTTCTCAATATATGGTTCAGTCTGAAAGGCCCCAGCAGCAGCTTGCCTGTCTCTCCCGGCCCCTGCCATCCCGAAACATGGAAATAGCTCATGGTGACAAAAAAGTTAACATAATCTGCATTTAGATGAATTTCCTCTGGATTTACTAGGGTTAATTAAGATAGTACGATCTACAGAAAAGAAAGAGGTAACTCAAGATATCAGCATTTTCAATTTATCCATAATAAAATACAACTTTGAAAAAGAATTCAGGCAATCTGTTGAAAACTAAATATAACATCACATTTTGAAAAATATATTTTTTAGAAAAATAACAGTGCTGCTCAATTCAACAACAAGGCCCCACTCCTAAAGGAATACGCCAACGTTCAAACGCAAGGCGACTGCTGACCAAGTCAGCACAGAGAGACGACGCACACTCCTGAAGGCACCCAAAGGCTCTATGTGGGGGCAGAACCCCCAACAGACGGCAGTCACCTGGGGACTTCCATCATCAGAACCAGTGGAAAGAATGGGCCCCTGTCCCACGGCCTCTGGTGCTTCTCCATAGAGTGGCAGCCAGGAGCCCAACCCCTCGGAAATCCTCAGGGCAGGAGATGTGCCTTCATTCCACCCAGTCCCTCATTAGTGCATCTGACATCCACAGAGGGAATTCCCACAATGGTCCCAACACTACAGATCCCCCCACTCCCCCCGCCAGCACCATTCCATGACTCTCGATCCACCTTCTTCCTGGGATCCTGTGCTGGGAAGCCTGGCCCTACCGTGGGTGTCTTCATGGGGCTGGGGGCTCTCAGAGTAGTGGCCAGCCAGGCCCGGCAAGGCACAGTCCTCCAGCCAGGTAAAAGGGCCAGACCCTGGATCCTGGTCCCACCCCCATGTCTGGGACGCCCTCCTCTAGCCAGGCCCTCAACCGTCAGTCCTCCTCTGATTCTGGGCTGCTCTGGGAGACTCATGTCCACCCACCCCAGCTGGGGCACCGCATCTTCTTTGGGTCTTGGGTGTTTCTTCTTCCAGAGCTGCAGACAGGTTTCTTGGGTGGGGTCAGAACCTGGACATGCCTGGGCCACCAGGAACCAAGAAGTTTCCAACCCCAGCCCCGTCTGGCTCCATCAGGTGCAAGGGGCAGGGTGTCCCCATCACTAACCAGGTCAAGAAAAGAGCTGAGGTTGTCAGTTGTAGAACACAAAACCTACAACAACCCCCCCCCCACACACACACGCACATACATGTACTCACACACACTCACACACACTCATTCACACTCACGCTCACACACATTTGTAAAATCACATTCACACACACACACACCAAGGGCAGGTGCTGGAGCGCTGTCCAGCCCAGAGAGCAACTCACAGACCAGACCCCTTCCCAAGCAGCCTGTACCATGGAGGGGCTACAGGGAGGAGCTCCGCTGGGATCTGCCAGAGCCCCTCCTGGCTGGGCCAGATGCCAAGCCCTGGCACCTGGGCAGGCCAAAGGGTGCATCCCGGGGTGCCAGGCCTGGCTCAAGGCTTCTCTGGTGTCAGGGCACCTGCCTGGGAGACAGGGAGCCTCTGTGCTTACTTTGTTCATCTAGAAAATAGACCGCAGCCAGTCCCCGGCAGCCTGGGAGCAGCGCTTGTAGAACACCATGCCAGGACGCTTTGAAGAAGGGGTGAGCTTTGGGACTTGTGTGGCGAGGTCAAGGCCAGCAGCTGGACCTGCTTCATGACCTTTGCTAGCTCCCATGACTCTGCTGTGCCGATCGATTGCTAAAAGCAGATGCGATGGGCAAAATGTCAGCTGCCCCAGCCCGTTCCCTTCTCAATTTGTGAGATCAGAACCTCGGCACTGCAGCAGATTCTGGATCAGGTGCTGGGGCAGCAGCAGCTCATGTTTCCAGATGGCGATTGTGCAAGGAGGCCTAGAGCCTTGGAGTGGCCGGCACCTGTGACCCAGTAATTCCACTCCTGTGACTTTCTCCTGAGGAGCCGCTGAGGACGGGCTGCAGTGTATCATTGTAAAGGCCAAAGCCCCAGAAACAGATCAAATATCCAAAATCAAAAGGAAATGTTGGAATCAACCACATACATCCATAGGCAAGGTGTTATGCCACCATTGAAAATGACATCAAGGAGGAATTTGTAAATTTGTGAAAAAATGCCTATGAGAGAATATGAAAAGAAAAGATTACACCACAAACCTGTTGGCCTGCCAGCATGGTGAGAAGTCACAGTCCCTGCCTAAGCAGGAGGCACGGCTGTTGGAGCACTGGACAGCAAGCGACAATTGCAGGCTGGGGACCAGCGCCAGGACGAGCCTTGGAGCTGACCTCACAGCAACAGATGCCTGCGCTGACGCCCGTGACCAAGGAAATGGTGCACGTTACTCGGGCCCGTTTCAGGCGTGAATTACAGTTAGGAGCTGCATGCACTTAACACACAAACCCATCCAGAGAAAACAGGAAATGAGCATCAAACACACGCAAGAAACCCTGCCGGCTGGAGCCAGGAAGGTGGGACAAGATGAACTTGAAGCTGGCCCACCCCAAGGCTATGGAGCAGATGAACATCCTTCCGAGCCTCCGCTAGCCTGGTGCATGGCAACCCAGGAGGGCAGCATGGAGGAGGTGTTCTTTGAGCCAATCCTGAAGGAAGGAAGGGGCGTGAGGAGGTGAGGGATGGAACTGTGTATGGAGGGAACAACGGGGCACCCAAGGCAACAGCAACCACTCAGTGAGGCTGAGAGAGGAGACTCTTTGCAGGCCGTGGGGAGCAGCACTTGGTTTTGTACAAGGACAGAGAGCGCTCCTTTAAGAACAAGGCCTGGCACATCAATGGTCTCACAACCATCATCAGGCAAAGATGCATCCTCAGTATTGCAGTGGGACTGCATTAGGCTACCAAACTCACCTCCTGAAATCCATCAATCAATTGGCTGAAAAGCAACAGCTGCAGTTCAGTTCAGCTTTCACATCACCCATGTAGATAAATCCAGCATCCCAGCGCCTCCTCCTGGGGAAAATACAGGCAGCATGGCACCTTCCCTTGTGGAAATCCTACACTGGACTGCCCAAGCCAACCTCAGAGTTGAGAGAGAGAAACAGAGAGAGAGATGGGTTAGGGGCAATAGCTACATTTCCTGGGCCACCAAGTTCATTCGACAAGCATTTGCTGAGCTCCTACTATACTCCAGGGCACTTTAAGCAATTATTCCAATTAAAACTGATATTCATTTCCCAGGGCTGCTGTCACAAAGTACCACAAACCAGGTGACTGAAACACGGCAATTGATTGTCTCAGGGCCCTGGAGGCCAGAAGGTGTCAGCAGGGTTGGTTCCTCCTGAGGGCTGCAAGGGATGGATCTATTCCAGGGCTCGCTCCCGGGCTTGTAGGGTCGTGGTGTTCCCATGGCATTTTCCCTCTGTGGGTGCATGTCTCCAAATTTCCCCCACCCTGATGGCCTCGCTTTAACTTGATTACCTTTTTAAGGATCCTATCTCCAAGTAAAGTCAGAGACTGAAGTACTAGGGGTTGGGGCTTCAACATACAAGTTTGGGGAGGACACACATCAACCCACAATAACACTGATTGCAAATCTACGCAACACTGTCCTCATTTCACAGATCCAAAAAACTGGGGCTTGGAGAAAATGGGTAATTTGCCCCGAATCATATCCTTCCATCCTAACCTGGCAGAGCCAGAATTTGAATCCCAGTCTGAACTCCAAAGCCTTTGACATTCCCAGTGGGTAAAGGCAGCAAATGTGACAAGTGCTGCATGAAGGCAACAGAAGATGCAGAGTGTTGGTACAAGAACCCGAAGCTGGACCTTTGGAAGTGGGGAAAATGCAATAGTCGGGAGCTCTCCAAGCCTGGCACCCGATGCCAACGTACCCCCGAATAAACCGCTTACTAGCTCTGACTGACCCTTGGAGGAGGGGGTGCCTTTCCTGTCTCCCTCCCTACCCACCACGGTGGCTGCCCCTCCTCCAACCCTCAGCCCATCACAGAAACCTGCTGGCCTTCACTTCCAATGTTAAAAGGAGACAATCCCTTCCATGGCGATCTTCTTAGCTATTTGGGTCTTAATGATTACTCCATAATTGTACTGGATACTGAGCTATGGAGGAAATACAAATTCTCCTCCCTCCGTGCCTACAGTCTGCAAAACAGAGAGATGATACCATGCTCTGACAGCTGGAGACCAGAGGGCACTTCTCCCCACAAGGCAGGGTTACAGGGTCAGCAGGGCCCGCCTCCTGGAGAGCCGACGTCCAGCACTGGGCACAGGCTCCAGGTGGCTCTGCCGGGACCCTCACCAGCAGGGCAGCCCACTGTTAGTTATTCAACCAACAAATGCCCCAATGGCAGGGGGATATGTAATTCATCACCCAAACTGAACCAGTCGTGAGAGTAAAAGAAAGTGCCGTTGATAATGACAGAGGACAGTGGGCGCCCACCACTCTGTCGTGACCGACCAGGATTCATGCCCACCCTACCCAGTGCACACCCTGCTGATGAATCTCCTTGGAGATTCCCCCTAATCTAATCCGATTGTTGCTCCCTTCCCAGCTCAGCCAAGGACTGAGGGACCAGGAGAAGACAGTTCCCCGAGTGTGCCCCTGGAGCGGGGGACGGCAGGCCTGTGTTCCAGGGATGCCCTCTCGGAGTTTATCCTTTGGAGTTTCTGGGGATTCTAAGCTTAGATGTAAAAAGATGCTGACCATTCTGTTGACCTTCTCCCCTGGGGGTCCTGCCCAACAGAGGAGAAGCCTCCAGGGCCAGGCATTGTACAGGTGCTCTTTTCTCTGGAGCCTGGTCAGTAGCAAGCCCTTCCCATCTCTGAAAACTTTGGACTGACATCCTCCGCCTTTGCAGGGCACCTGAGGCCCACCTGGCTCTAGGGCAGTGAGGGCCAGGGACTCACGTGCAGGCTGAATGGACATTTGCTTGGCCTCATCTCCAGCCATGAGAGCGGACCCCCCAGTCCCTCTCAGAGGGAAATGGGGTTCAGGGAGCTCTTGACGGGGGTCTCCTGCAGCCGCAACTTCGCTGACCATGGGCTCCGGGGGGGTGCAGCTTGCCAGGAGGAGAGGGTGGGGCTGAGAGACACAAAGCAGAGAGGGCAGGGCTGAGAAGACCTCAGGGTTCTGCGAGGGTGAAGGAGGCATTAGGGTGACCTCCCTGTTTGTCTCCGCTGCCCGCTGCCAGCCACTCTCCACACACCCCAGTGCCATGTTGCTGCCACTTCTTGATTGAAAGCGGATTGCTCATCATCTGCTTTTTATTTCTCCAATGATTCCCAACATCTTGGTGTCAATGACTAAAAACCCCATCCTTGTGGTCCTCTCCACATCTTCCTTCCAGGGGCCCAAGGCACCACTCAGGGAGGTCCATGCTTCTGAGGGTATAAAACAATAGATCCATAATAAGATGGCCCTTCCTTTATTCTGATACAGTGAGCAGGACAGAGGAGTGGGTTGAGGGGTGGCAGACATATTTTAAGGATTCCGGGATAGAATTACAATGGATATCACGTCCCACATGCCCACATGTCAGACTAGCAAAGGTTTCAAAGTATATTAGTGAGACTATAAATTGAGACCACCATGCCACAGGCCATGGAGCAAAGGAATCAAAATCTAAAATGCATATACCCTTGAGCTCAGCCATTCCCTCCCTGGGAACTTGTCCCAAGCAGATCATTAGACAGCTGTGCAAAAAATAACTATTCAAATCACAGTGGAACAACCTAAATGCCCATGATTATGTGGTTGGTTACATAAATGATGATGTGTTGAATCAATGGAACCTAATGCAGACATTAATAAGAATGATATGTACCAACATTCATTCACAAAGGTTAATGGTGTGCCAAGTGAAAGCAGAAGACTACAACTTTTACAACATCCTCGTTTCTATAAAGTTGTGTGTGTGTGTGTGTGTGTGTGTGTGTGTGTGTGTGCCTATTTGCTTAGAAAAGATTTGAATAATGGCTTCTCTGGAAAGAAGTAAGAGGGATATGAGAATAAATTTTTAATTCTCTATTATTTAGTATGTTTCGTGGTTAAATATATAAATGTGCATTATCTGTATAAGCAGAAGAAAACCGTTTTTCATTTCAAAAAATACGCAAAGGTAACTTCCCTACTTTTCTGAACTCTCGACATAACTTGAGGTGACGCTATATTTGTAGACTGCCGGAATTTTATGGTTAATTTCATATGTCAGCTGGACTAGGATATGGTACCCAGAAATTTGGTCAAACATCAGTCCAGATCACTGTGAAGGTATATTTAGATGAGACTAATATAAATCAGCAGACTTTGAGTAAAGCAGGTTACTGCTTGTAATGTGGGTGGATCTCATGCACTCACTTGAAAGCCTTGAGAGAAAAAAATTGAAGTCCCCTGAGGAAGAGAGAATTTGCCTCTAGATGTCCTCAGAGGCCCAAGACTGCACCATCAACCGTTCCCTGGGTCTCCAGCCTGTTGGCCTGCCCTGCAGATCTCAGACTTGCGGCCTCCACAGACTGATGAGCCAATTCCTTAAGATGGATAGATAGATAGATAGATAGATAGATAGATAGATAGATAGATAGATAATAGATAGATGATAGATAGCTAGATGATAGATAGATAGATAGATAGATAGATAGATAGATAGATAGATAATAGAGAGATAATAGAGAGATATAGATAGATGATATAGTTAATAGACAGGGAGATGATAGATAATAGATAGATATAAATAGATGATAGATAATAGACAGATGATAGATGATAGATATAGATAGATAATAGGTGGGTAGGTAGATAGATGATAGGTAGGTAGGTAGGTACATAGCTAAAGATAGATGATAGATAGATGACAGATAGATAGATAGATAGATAGATAATAGATAGATAGACAGAAAGACAGAGACATCCCATTGGTCCTGTTTCTCTGGAGTACCCTGACTAGTACAACTGCTTTTGATCCTTTTCATAGACTTTTAGAGCAGTTCTAGGTTCACAACAAAATTGAACAGGAGGTACAGAAAGTTCCCACATATCCTAGCCCCACACATGCACAGCCTCCTCGCCTATCAACATCCCCCACCGGGGGGCACTTTTGTTACAATCGCTCTTTTTCTGATCTTTTTACCGTCTCCATTGTTTTGCCTTTTCCAGGATTGGAATCACAGTTGGAGTCACACACTATGTAGCCTTTTCAGGTTGGCTTCCCTTAGTTAGTAATATGCACTTAAGGTTCTTTCGTGTCTTTCCATGATTTGACAGCTCATTTCTTTATACTGCTGAAAAATATTCCACTGTCTGTATGTACCATAGTTTATTTATCCCTTCATCTACTGAAAAACGTCTTGGTTACTTCCAAGTTTGGGCAATTACAAATAAACCTGCTGTAAGCGTGCATGTGCAGGTTTCTGTGTAAACACAGGCTTTTTACTCCTTTGGGCAAATACCAAGGAGCACACTTGTAGCATATGGAAAGAGCATTTTCGTTTTGTAGGAAGCTGCCAAACTGTCTTCCAATGTGGCTGTTCCATTTTGTGTTCTTTCCAGTAGTGAATGAGCACTCCTGTGGCTCCACAGCCTCACCAGCATTTAGTGTTGTCGGTGTTCCAGATGTTGCTCATTGTGACAGTTGTGTAGTAGTCTCTCACTGTTGTTTGCTTTTGATTTTTCCACACGAATTACAAGGCAGAATGTTTTGTGGCTCCCATTTTACAGAGCAGGATGCCGTGACTCATGAAGGCTAAATGACTTGCCAATGGGCTCAGCCAGCTGGAGGCAAAGCCAGGGCAGCACCCAGCCTCCCTGCCTCTCTGGCCAGAAACTTTCTTCTAGAGACTTTATTCAGAGCCAATGAGAATCAGCAGTTGGGAGCAAATAGGGGGAAGGCAAAGTAATTACCTGGACCAGGCCAGGGCTCTCTGCAAGATGGTGGAGCAGGGAGCCACAGAGTAGGACACAGCCTGCCTAGGGACCAGCCCTCCAGCCTGATGCACCTGCACACCACTTCTGTCTCCCAGATCTTGGTTTTCCACATTGTCCTATTCACATTCTAGCTTCAGCCTCCTGAGACAAAAGTTCCTCTTATGGGGCCTGCCAACCCCACAAGCAGGGAGAGCCCTAGCCCTCAACAAAGAATGGAACTGAGTGTCTCGTTCATGCCCACAAAGCCCCATCCCAGATGTGCGATAGAGGGGTGGAAATTCCCATCCTCCTGGAACCCTAGTCTTAGCTTGAGGAGTGTCTCTCACAGCCCCCTCATTCTCTTTCCACATATCCTGGGGCTTTCACAGACACCAGGACATCAGGAACTGACCTGGCAGAAAGGGCCTGAGAGTGGGGTTACAGATAAAATACAAGACACTCTGTTGAATTGGAATTTTAGATAAGCAACAAATAATTATTTAGTGTAAGTGTGTCCCATGCAAATATTCCTTCCTCAATTGTTATTAGCTATGTCTGCAGCTCTGCCAGAGATTACTCAACCCAGGGCTCCCACCTGGGGTCCTCAGCTCCCAAAGAATCAGGACCTACGAGTTCCCTGCAGAATTGCAGAAAGCCTATGGTATTTCTGTGGGTGCAGGAACTCCCAAGCCTCTTTGACTAAATCCCATTAGCTGGTGTGCCGGTTCTGGCTGACAGTGACTGGTGACCGAGACTATGACTGGAAGTGAGTGGGGTCTCTGATTGGGACAGGGAATTAGGTGGCACTCTAACCTGGTGGATCCCTCCCATGGTGGGGGAGGGGTGGGGATTGGGGAGGGAGCAGGAGGTGGCTAGGAAAACTATTTCGGGGTGTGGATTCCATGGGATGAATAAGAAACAGGATCGTTTCTTATGAAAAGTGCAGGGACCCCTCATTTTACAACTAGGGGACCAATGTCCACAGTGTAATTCTCCTTGGAAGGACCTTTCACTGCATCAGTGTTTCTCCATCCATTTTATTGGAGTCCCAGTCAATGTTCCCCAGCCAACCCCTTGCCTTGAGTGGAGACTAGCCCCTCCCCAGCAGCTGTGTAAGGAGCCAGTGTTTGATGTCTGGGGTCAGAACTGCTGCTCCTGCAAATCATCGGTCTCAGCGGAAACCAATCTCTCAACCCCTCCATCTGTTAAGCAGGGCCAGCCCAGAGAGCTGCCGCTTTGGTTGGTACTAAAAGTACACGGCAGCAAATTCTAGAACCAAAGGTCAAATCGCTTGATTATAAGGTTTTTTAAAACCCAAAGTTAAAGAGCCATTTGCCTTCAGCACAGAGCAGCTGGCCGGCTCTGTCCGCCCACTCATCCACCTGGCCCATGAAGGGCCCACCCCCTCCATCACTTGGGTCTGCAGGGCGTGTGTGAGACCTTGCGTGGGAAAAACAGCTCTGTCTCCATCCCCTGCAGGCGGGGATCAGCAATCTGCTGACCAGGGAAAAGGTAAGAAAAGCCCCTTGGACTGAGGGCAGAGTTGACACCGTGCATTCCCCTGTGCTTGGAAGAAAGTGCTGGGCGTCGTCACAGGGACAGCCACTGCTTCCGGAGGTAGACGGGCCACTAGGAACACACACCCTCTAGAGCACTTCTCATTTGCACAGCTCCACCTTATGCATACATTTCCCAAGTCGTGCGCTGAGCTCCTACTGTATGCAAACCTATAGGAGAGAATAACTTAATCCCCGCACTGTCTGAGAGAAAAAGTCTCTCCATGTCTGCACTTCCCAGGGAACAAGACAAAGGCACAGAGAAGCTAAGTGAGAGTTGGTGGGGGGCAGAGACTACAGGGAGCAACCCCAGTGAGTGGCTCCCGTGCCGGCTCCTGAGCCCAGGCCCCTGCCTCACAGCTGTTCCTGGCGGCACCTGCAGCCCCAGGCCCGGGATAACCATCAGACATTATCATGTCTGGTGCTAATAAAAGTGTGGGTTCTCCCACTATCAACCACACAAATGTCCTTTGGCAGGCAAATGATTTTTAGCCTCTTAGCCTAAAAAGATGCCTTAGGGAGTGGGGAGCCCATGTTTCAGGGGGACAGGGTTTCCGTCTGGGAAGACGAAAGGGCGGTGGGGATGGATGGTGCTGCACAACAGCGTGAGTGTGCTTCATGCCGCAGAACTGTGTGCTTAAACAAGGTTAAGGGGCGAAATTCTGTGATGTGTATTTTACCACAATAAAATAAAAAAGAAATTAAAGATGAATTACTCTGAATCCTGGATCCCAGGACTAGCGAAGTGAAATCAGCTCTAGAATCAAGTGTCCATAAAATGTCAGCAGGGCACCACCTAGGGAACCAGGAAGTGTCTCAGCACCCAGGATTGCTCAAGAAGAACAAACACATCTGCTTTTGAAATATATAATACACAATACGAAATTTCTTAAAACTAAAGGAGAATAGAGCAGAAAGGCTGCATTGCTATAAAATACAATCCATTCCTTTTTGTTAACAATAGCAATGTAGTTGATTGGCACGTGTGTAAACACAAATCTTAAACCCACCCAGAGGATGGATTCCATATGCTGACAGAATTCAAAGACCCACCATGATGTCACTTGTTGAATTTAATTACAATTGAAAAGTAAACATCTGTGTGTGACATCATCAGCTCACACATTTTATCTCTTCAATAATCGCTTCCCTATTACACCTTGAGAATGAAGCCAGCTAAGAGAAAAGGTGAGACTGGTTCTAATGACACGTGAGACAAAGCCAGAGGGTGAACAGGCTGCACAGCTGCAGAGGGTTAGCTCTGCACAGAAACACCTTGCAATAGAATGCACTCTCCTTCGATCAGACACCATGAAAAAGGCGCATTTCAGTGAAAAAGACAAAAAGACAACAAGAAAATAGAATAAAAGACCCAGTGATTAGCTGAGATTTGAATGAAGAGAGACTTAACAAAAGCTACTATGATGTAGAAATAAAAAAGGTCACTTTTTTTTTTTTTGAGACAGAATCTTGTTCTGTCACCCAGGCGGGAGTGCAGAGGCATGATCTCAGCTCACTGCAAGCTCCGCCTCCTGGGTTCATGCCATTCTCCTGCCTCAGCCTCCCGAGTAGCTGGGACTACAGGTGCCCACCACCACGCCCAGCTAATTTTTTGTATTTTTAGTAGAGATGGGGTTTCACCATGTTAGCCAGGATGGTCTCGATCTCCTGACCTCGTGATCCACCCGCCTCGGCCTCCCAAAGTGCTGGGATTACAGGTGTGAGCCACTGTGCCCGGCAAAAGGTCACCATTTTTAAAAGACATAAGTATCAAAATAATTTTGGAAATAAGATGCTATAATTTTGGCATGAGATTTGCTTGGCTGGCGGAAATGGGTGGATGTGGCCCAAAACAGGCTGAAGATATGCTTGTGGAGTTTGGTGCCCTGGGCTCCTGCCATCACCAGGTCTGAGTGCCCGCGAACTCAAAATGATGATGGGTGCAGCAGCCCCTAGCCCAACCTACAGCACAGCACCACCCCCAGCCTAGAGCCACCAAACCCAGCCAAACTACAGCCTGAATCCTGGCCAGCCTCAAGCTACCAGCAACCAGCCTAGCTGCGGACCAGCACCTGCAAGCACTAGAATGAGAGGTGAGTGCCAGCTGTTAGTCGGAGGCCATTTGTTTTACAGCATTATCCTGATGATAACTGACAGATGCATGCAGTGGGGACTTGACTGTGTCCCCTGAGATTCCTATGTTGAAGCCTGAACCCCCAGAACCTCAGAACATGACTGCATTTGAAGACAGGACCTGTAAAATGGTGATGAAGCTAAAATGAAGCTGTTAAGGTGAGCCCTAATGCAATCTGGCTCGTGTTCCTACACAAAGAAACTGGACACACACAGAGACAGCAGGGATGCCTGCACACACACACGTGTGCTCCAGTGCATGTGCACACACACAGAGACCATGTGAGGATACAAAGAGAAGGCTGCTGTGTGCAAGCCAGGGAGAGAGACCTCGACAGAAAACAGCCCTGCTGACACCTTGAATGTGGGCTTCCAGCCTCCGGAACTGGGAGAGAGCAGGTTTCTGTTGTTGAAGCCTCCAGGTCTGCAGCATTTGTTATAGCAGCCCCAGCAAATGAAGGCAATGGATTACTGTTACCTTGTCACTTTCCATGCTTTGTAATTTCTGGAGGCTCTCAGCTTATCTGAGACAATCCCCCTGGTCCTACTCATGGTCTGTGAGGAAGGAACAAAGCACAGAAGCTCAAACCTCAGTTTCCCATCTCAGGAAAAGGAATCCCATGCCCTGTGAATTGGGGTGAGCCTCTGTTCTGGGGCCGGAGCCGGACGTGGTTTCAAGGCTACAGCCCCACAGCTCCACTCCCTCTGAGCAGCACCTTTGCATGCAGCCAAGCAGCCAGGAGTGTGACAGGAGAGACCAAGCAGGACCCATGCCCCCCAGGCCTCTGGTTGGCCTTGCTGTTGGAGTGGACGACCTGAAGCCAAGGGAACTGCCTAGCCTGGACATCGCATGGGCAGCTCCTCCTCTGAGCCACTGATGGAGCTGTGGAAAATGCTGGGAGAACCGCTTATATGGGCCTGTGCCCAGTCATGCCGGGGAGAGCTGCTTTGCCCTCACTCTAAGCAAGTCCAGTGCCGCAGAGCCTCTGTGGCCTCTTCTGGAAGCCTCCTGGAATGAACAGATGGCCGTGCAGAGTGGCTCGGGGCGGTCATGCTTGCAGCAAGGCTCAGCAACCCTGGCCTCTGTGCCTGTGGCCTCCCCGCCCCAACCAAGCCCCCCCACCAAAGCACAGGCTTCTGGGAGAGGCATTCTGCCCTTTTGAGGCTCACCCTGGGCAGCAGAGGGAGAGGAGAGCAAACAAGGTGGCCAAGCCTAACAGCAGGTCATCTGTACACCCTCCTGGGCACCTGTCAGCACATGTGGGACAAGTCTGGGTGGACTGTCAGAGCCACTGGCCTTGTAGGGAGGCTAATCACCCATCGTACAGAGATGGTGGCCAACTGGGGCTGCTGACCAGCACCATTCCAATGCCACCTTATTCTGGATGAGGCGGTAGTGCCATCATCCACTAATCAGGGTTGCGTTAAGCATGATGGTGTTCCCATAAGCTCTGCTGATGGCCTTCCTATTATTGCTTTTCAGATGGAAGATTTAGGATAGCAGAAAATACTACGAAAAAAGGGATATTAGGTTTAGATTGACCATAAAAAAATTATTATAAGACCCAAGCTATCTAGTGTATACTGTATCATTAACTACACACGCTCCCAATGTGGTGCTCAGCAGACCAACAAAGCCAGCATTCACTGAAGATTTCAATCTTGGTGAGCAATAAACTCAGTGTTTTGCATAAATAGATTGCACAAACTCTGTGTATTGTGATTCCCACATACAGCAGATGGGAAAGTGTGTCTGCAGAGGAGCCCTTCTCCTCAGGGAGGTTTGAGCGCACAGAGGTAAACCCATTAAGTCAGTGCACGTGGGATGAGCAAAAGGCAGCCCCATGGAATTTTATAACAGAAAGGCTAGGATCCCCTCTCTGTGCTTCAACTGCATGTCAAGATTCTGCATCTGACTTTTTCATCTGCCCCAGAGAGCTCTTAGATTGCAAGTATAACATCCAAACGGATAACACCTCCTTGAGCATCAGAGACCAGAGATGGAGACGCAGCCAATGTGGATGCCTCGAAGCCAGATGCTGAGTGAGGAGGAGCCAGGTCTTGAGCCTTCCTCCCTCCAACCCCACAGCCCCTTCTGTAGGTCATCCACAGCAGCCTCCAGAGGTCAGACCTGTGGCCAGGGGCATTCCTCATGGTCCCTTAGTGCCCATGGGTACATTTACCAAGCACGCTGCTGATTCATTATTCACCAGCGTGAGCAAATGGGCCGGCTTCCCATGGCTGCTGTAACACATTTTCACATACTCAGTGGCTTGAGGCAACACAGATTCCTCCTTTTACAGCTCTTGAGATCAGAAGTCCTTAAATCAAGCTGGCGGCAGGGCCCAGGGATTCTGGGTGGGAACCACTGCCTTGCCTCTTCCAGCTTCCAGAAGCCACTCACACTCCTTGGCTTGTGGGCTCTGATATAATTTGACTGTGTCCCCACCCAGATCTCATCTTGAATTGTAGTTCCCATAATGCCCACGTGTCCTGGGAGGGACCCAGTGGGAGATAATTGAATCATGGGGATGGTTACCCTCATGTTGTTCTCATGATGGTGAATGAGTTCTCACAAGATCTGATGGTTTTAAAAGGGGCTATTTCCCCTTTGGCTTGGCACTTCTCCTTCCTGCCACCATGTGAAGAAGGACGTGTTCGCATCCCCTTCTGCCATGATTGTTAAGTTCCTGAGGCCTCCCCAGCCATGCTGAACTGTGAGTCAATTAAATCTCTTTCCTTTATAAATTACCCAGTTTCAGCTATGTCTTTATAGCAGTGTGAGAACAAACAAATACAGGCTCTTTCCTCACATCATTGTGACCTCTACTTGTCACCAGATGCATCTACAAAGTTCCTTTTGCTATGTCAGGTGACAGATGCACAGGTTCGGAGATCAGGACATGGACATCTTTGGGAGTCATCATTGCGTCTACCACAGTAAATCCTGGTGTTCTCTGTAATTCTACGGTACAGGATGGTTTATGAAAGTTCTTGCTTGTTTAACAGAACAGAACCTTTTATTTGAAGTATATTGGCTGTGAGCATAAAAGTAAGCCTCTCTGCAGGAGAGGAGGAGTTGGGAGGTAGTGAACAAAATATGGAAAATGCTCTCCTCAAAGGCCACCCAAGTCTTGGCATGCTCTGGGAACAGATAGTAGCCCTGAGGCTCAGAGGGTCACAGCACAGAAAGGCAGTGCAGGCAGGTGGAGAGAGTACCCAGCTCTGTCTTCTCAGTTCTTGCCTTAAAAGCCCATGAGTATTTATGAGGTTGTGTGCCTAAGAGCCTCATCAGCTTTCTGAAACCTTAATTTCATTTTATAATCATGAAAGCTCTGCCTTCCAGGACATGAGATCATCAGGCATGTCTTTCTAACAATCACCTGTCATCACTCTCTGCTACAGGTGCCTCTGAAACTAACACGCACTCCTTGGCCTGATGCTGCCTCTCAGGGATCTCCTGGCTCTTTCTGCTGCCTGCTGCTGGTGGGTGAGGGTCCCAGGATAAGTGCAGCTTGCAGGACAGTTCCACCTTGGGGATTTACGGATTTCAAAGGCAAGCAGAATTTCTGTTTGCACTAGGATGCAGTAGGCCCCTTGGGAGAACAATATAGAGATCTTGGAGATGGGTGCTCTGACACTGGGGAACCCAGACTAAGATTACCAGGCAAAGAGTCTGGGGAGAGGTTCAGAGCCTCCTCCCAGCGCTAGTAACACGTAGTAAAAATATACAGGCTCACACACCCAATAACTCAGGGGTTAACAGGTTTCAGGCACAGCTGGATCCAGGGGCTTGGCAACGTCATCAGGAACTGTTTTAATTCTCCATCTCAGTCCAGGGCCCGCCCCACTAATCCTGCACTCACACAATCCTGAGTGATAGTGCCTTAAATTTTTGCATCCCAGGTCCCTCACTGGCCTCACTACAGTCCCGGCACTGCTGCCATGTCCATTCTTAGGCAGGGTCTTCTCTTTATGGTAACACAATGTCCACAGAGCTCCAGACCTTCATACATACAGATCTGGTTCTATGGGAAGAGAGGTCCCCCTTCCCCAGTAGCTCAGAGTATCAGAATTTGGTCTACTTGGCTGATTGTCACACCCCATCCTGGGTTCCCAGGGCCCTGCTACATAAAAAGACCATGGGATGAGGGTTGGGAAGGGGTCATTTTCACAAAGAAAAGCTGTGGACTGGATTCAGGGCAGCAAAAGCAACAGATGTCCTCCTTGGCCAGTGATTCACCATGAGGTAAAGGCAAGTCCATGTCTGGGGCCACTCTGACATTCGATCATCCACAGAGGAAGGGTGGATCTTTGAGAGGGGATGCTGGCCTCTTTCTGATCCAAACTGCAGGGAGTGATTTTTTTCTAGTTCTTTAAGAGTTCATTGCTCTTGAATTCTACCATCCATAAAGCCGTAGGGCATGGAAACAACTCCCACAAGTTCTTTGCAAATGTATGACAAGGATGGCTTTGCTCCAGTTTCCAATACCTTGTTCCTCATTTCCCCTGAGACTTCATCAGAATGATCGTTACCATCCATATTTCTGCCAGCATTCTAGTCATGGCCACTTAAGTTAACTCTAAGATGTCCCAGACTTTCCCTAGTCTCTCTTATTCTGAGACTTCACCAGAATTGCCCTTAATGTTTCATCTATGGCAATACAAGCTTTTTTTAGCATTCATTTCAAAACTGTTCCAGCCTCTACTCATTATCCAGTTCCAAAGCTACTTCTACGTTTTCAAGCATTTGTTATAGCAACAGCCCCACTTCCCAGCACAAATTTTCTGTTTCTGTTTTGTGTTGCAATATCAGAATTCCACAGCGGGAAATTTATATTGGACAGAAATTTACTTTGCTCATGGTTCTAGAGGCTGGGAAGTATAAGAGCATGGCACCAGCATCTTGTGAGGGCCCTAGTGCTGCATCATCCAATGGCAGAAGTCAACAAGTGGTGAGGGAGGGCACAAGTGGAGAAAAGAAAGGACAAATCTGCTTTCATGACAATCCACTCTTGGGAGAACAAACCTACTTCCACAAGAACAACATTAATTCATTTTAATCACCTCTGAAAGGTCCCACCTCTCAATACTGTTACGCTGGAGATTAAGTTTCCAATGAACACTCAGGGACACATTCAAACCATAGCACATATGACACCTATATAAAACTTATGTTGTGTTTTATACTATTTATTAAAGTGGACATATAGTACTTAGAACACAGCTGGCCCCTAGAAACCACTTCCTTATACTTTCTGCTTCATCTGTTCCTGAATCAACCTCCTCTTGTCTCCTCTCCAAAGGTTTCAACAGCTTGGCCTAATAATGTGAGTGTCTTCATATGTTATCATAGGACACATGTGTGGCCATTTCTCTAAATCTATGCCCATGGTAAGGGATTTTTGTGTATCCTCCATAGCCAAACAGTTTCCCAAATGGATATAACAACTTACACCCCAACTTCAGTTTATGAGAGTCAATTGTTCCATATCTTCATTGGTACTTGATATGGTTTGCATGTTCATCCCCTCCAAATCTCATGTTGAAATATGATCCCCAATGTTGGAGGTGTGGCCTGGTGGGAGGTGTTTGGGTCATGGGGCGGATCCCTCATGAATGGCTTAGTGCCATTCCCTTGGTGATGAGTGAATTCTTCTGTGGTGGTTCACATGAGATCTGATTGCTTAAAAGAGTGTGGCACCTCCCCTCTCACTCCTTCTGCTCTCATCTGGCTCCCCTTCCCTTCAGCTGTGACTGTAAGCTTCCTAAGGGCCTCACCAGAAGCAGATGGTGGAGCCATGCTAGTACAGCCTGCAAAACTGTGAGCCAATGAAACCTCTTTTCTTTGCAAATGATGCTGCCTCAGGTATTCCTTTATAGCAATCCAAAAACGAACTAACACAGTACTGCTTAATTTTGCCTATCTGATATGGCCTTAGTTTGCATTTCTCTCATTTCTAAAGATGTCAAGCTGTAGGGACCAGCCCCACAGGGTCGGTGGGTCTCTCCCCATGTGCGGCGATGAGAGAGTGTAGAAATAAAGACACAAGACAAAGAGATAAAAGAAAAGACAGCTGGGCCTGGGGGACCACTATCACCAATGCGTGGAGACCGGTAGTGGCCCCAAATGTCTGGCTGCGCTGTTATTTATTGGATACAAAGCAAAAGGGGCAGGCTAAAGAGTGTGAGTCATCTCTAATGATAGGTAAGGTCACGTGGGTCACATGTCCACTGGACAGGGGGCCCTTCCCTGCCTGGCAGCCGAGGCAGAGAGAGAGAGGAGACAAAGAGAAAGACAGCTTATGCTATTATTTCTGCATATCAGAGACTTTTAGTACTTTCACTAATTTCCTACTGCTATCTAGAAGGCAGAGCCAGGTGTACAGGATGGAACATGAAGGCAGACTAGGAGTATGACCACTGAAGCACAGCATCACAGGGAGACGGTTAGGCCTCCGGATAACTGCGGGTGAGCCTGACTAATGTCAGGCCCTCCACAAGAGGTGGAGGAGCATAGTCTTCTCTAAACTCCCCCGGAGAAAGGGAGACTCCCTTTCCCGGTCTGCTAAGTAGCCGGTGTTTTTCCTTGACACTGAGGCTACCACTAGGCCACGGTCTGCCTGGCAACGGGCGTCTTCCCAGACGCTGGCATTACCACTAGACCAAGGAGCCCTTCTGGTGGCCCTGTCCGGGCATAACAGAAGGCTCGCACTCTTGTCTTCTGGTCACTTCTCACTATGTCCCCTCAGCTCCTATCTCTGTATGGCCAGGTTCTTCCTAGGTTATGATTGTAGAGCGAGGATTATTATAATATTGGGATAAAGAGTAATTACTACCAACTAATGATTAATGATATTCATATATAATCATCTCTAAGATCTATATCTGGTATAACTATTCTTGTTTTATATTTTATTACACTGGAACAGCTCGTGTCCTCGGTCTCTTGCCTCAGTGCCTGGGTGGCTTGCCGCCCACATCAAGCATGTTTCATGTGATTATTGAATGCTTAGGAATCTCCTGTGTGAAATGGTTATTCAAGTATCTTGCCCACATTTCTGTCGGGGTCTCTGTCTTTTCTTATTAAAACTATTTGGTTTTCTCTGAGGCAATTATTTTCTCCCACTCTGTGGTTTCCCTTTGCACTCTTTAATGGTGTCATTTGATGAATAGAATGTTTATTTTAATGTAGCCCAATTTATAAATATTTTCTTTCAAAATATTGTCTTCTGTAACTTTTAAAAGAAATAATTCCCATTCCTATAACAACTTCTGAATGTTTTATACTTTGCTTTTTATACTGAGGTTTTATTACCTCCAAAAATGATTTCTTATATGGTGTGAGAAAAAGGAAACCATATTTTTTTGGATGATGCACCATTATCCCAGCAGCATTTATTGGGAAGAGCATCTTTTTTCTACTTCTCTACAGTACAATCCTTGTCATTTATAAGCATCCAAAAGGCAAGAGTCTTCTTTTTGAAGGTTCTGTCTTTAACTCCATGGGTCTACGATCATCTTAATACCAGGTCTACACTATCTGATTACTACAACTTTTACACTTATATGTAAATATATGATATACATATATTATTATAATGTTACAATTCTATAATATATAATTTTTCATTATCAAATTTACCAGAGGTCTTTCAATTTTACAAATATTTTAAAGAAACCAACATTTGACATTGCTGATCCTCTCTAGAGTATGTTTATTTTCAATATCTTTAAATTGTATTATTTTCCTTATGATTTTCCTTTTTTGACTCTTTTTAATAAAATTTGGCTTTTCTGAACTATTGAGGTTGATGACTACCTAATAAATTCTTAGTCTTCTTTTTTATTTTATCCATTTAAGATTGCAAGGTTAAATGTCAGACCTCAAGCTATAAAAATGCTAGACAACAACCTAGAAAATACTCTTCTAGACATTGGCCTTGGCAAAGAATTTTTGGCTAAGTCCCCAAAAGCAATCACAGCAAAAACAAAAGTAGACAAGTGGTACCTAATTAAACTAAAGAGCTTCTGCACAGCAAAAGAAACTATCTACAGAGCAAATGGACAACTTAAGAATTGGAGAAGATATTCACAAACTATGCCTTCAACAAAGGCCTAATATCCAGAATCTATAGGAAACTTAAACAAATCAACAAGCAGAAAACAAATAACCCCATGAAAAAAAATGGGCAAAGGACATGAAGAGATACTTCTCAAAAGAAGACATACAAGCAGCCAACAAACATATGAGAAAATGCTCAGCATCACTAACCATCAGAGGAATGCAAATCAAAACCACGATGAGACACCATCTCACACCAGTCAGAATGGCTATTATCAAAAAGTCACAAAACAACAGGCACTGATGAGGCTATGGAGAAAGGGAACGTTTGTACACTGTTGGTGGGAATGTGAATTGGCCCAGCCACTTTGAAAGGCAGCCTGGAGATTTTTCAAAGAACTTAAGCCGGGTACTCCTCTGAGACAAAACTTCCAGAGGAACGATCAGACAGCAGCATTCGCGGATCACGAAAATCCACGGTTCCGCAGACACCACTGCTGATACCCAGGCAGACAGGGTCTGGAGTAGACCTCTAGCAAACTCCAACAGACCTGCAGCTGAGGGTCCTGTCTGTTAGAAGGAAAACTAACAAACAGAAAGGACATCCACACCAAAAACCCAACTGTACATCACCATCATCAAAGACCAAAAGTAGATAAAACCACAAAGATGGGGAAAAGACAGAGCAGAAAAACTGGAAACTCTAAAAAGCAGAGCGCCTCTCCTCCTCCAAAGGAATGCATCTCCTCACCAGCAATGGAACAAAGCTGGACGGAGAATGACTTTGAGGAGTTGAGAGAAGAAGGCTTCAGACGATCAAACTACTCCGAGCTACAGGAGGAAATTCAAACCAAAGGCAAAGAAGTTGAAAACTTTGAAAAAAATTTAGACAAATGTATAACTAGAATAACCAATACAGAGAAGTGCTTAAAGGAACTGATGGAGCTGAAAGCCAAGGCTCGAGAATTATGTGAAGAATGCAGAAGCCTCAGGAGCCAATGCGATCAACTGGAAGAAAGGGTATCACTGATGGAAGATGAAATGAATGAAATAAAGCGAGAAGGGAAGTTTAGAGAAAAGAGAATAAAAAGAAACGAACAAAGCCTCCAAGAAATATGGGACTATGTGAAAAGACCAAATCTACGTCTGATTGGTGTACCTGAAAGTGACGGGGAGAATGGAACCAAGTTGGAAAACACTCTGCAGGATATTATCCAGGAGAACTTCCCCAATCTAGCAAGGCAGGCCAACATTCACATTCAGGAAATACAGAGAACGCCACAAAGGTACTCCTCGAGAAGAGCAACTCCAAGACACATAATTGTCAGATTCACCAAAGTTGAAATGAAGGAAAAAATGTTAAGGGCAGCCAGAGAGAAAGATCGGGTTACCCACAAAGGGAAGCCCATCAGACTAACAGCGGATCTCTCGGCAGAAACTCTACAAGCCAGAAGAGAGTGGGGGCCAATATTCAACATTCTTAAAGAAAAGAATTTTCAACCCAGAATTTCGTATCCAGCCAAACTAAGCTTCTTAAGTGAAGGAGAAATAAAATACTTTACAGACAAGCAAATGCTGAGAGATTTTGTCATCACCAGGCCTGCCCTAAAAGAGCTCCTGAAGGAAGCGCTAAACATGGAAAGGCACAACCGGTACCAGCTGCTGCAAAATCATGCCAAAATGTAAAGACCATCCAGACTAGGAAGAAACTGCATCAACCAACGAGCAAAATAACCAGCTAACATCATAATGACAGGATCAAATTCACACATAACAATATTAACTTTAAATGTAAATGGACTAAATGCTCCAATTAAAAGACACAGACTGGCAAATTGGATAAAGAGTCAAGACCCATCAGTGCGCTGTATTCAGGAAACCCATCTCACGTGCAGAGACACACATAGGCTCAAAATAAAAGGATGGAGGAAGATCTACCAAGCAAATGGAAAACAAAAAAAGGCAGGGGTTGCAATCCTAGTCTCTGATAAAACAGACTTTAAACCAACAAAGAGCAAAAGAGACAAAGAAGGCCATTACATAATGGTAAAGGGATCAATTCAACAAGAAGAGCTAACTATCCTAAATATATATGCACCCAATACAGGAGCACCCAGATTCATAAAGCAAGTCCTGAGTGACCTACAAAGAGACTTAGACTCCCACACAATAATAATGGGAAACTTTAACCCCCCACTGTCAACATTAGACAGATCAACGAGACAGAAAGTTAACAAGGATACCCAGGAATTGAACTCAGCTCTGCACCAAGCGGACCTAATAGACATCTACAGAACTCTCCACCCCAAATCAACAGAATATACATTTTTTTCAGCACCACACCACACCTATTCCAAAATTGGCCACATAGTTGGAAGTAAAGCTCTCCTCAGCAAATGTAAAAGAACAGAAATTATCACAAACTGTCTCTCAGACCACAGTGCAATCAAACTAGAACTCAGGATTAAGAAACTCACTCAAAACCGCTCAACTACATGGAAACTGAACAACCTGCTTCTGAATGACTACTGGGTGCATAACGAAATGAAGGCAGAAATAAAGATGTTCTTTGAAACCAACGAGAACAAAGACATAACATACCAGAATCTCTGGGACACATTCAAAGCAGTGTGTAGAGGGAAATTTATAGCACTAAATGCCCACAAGAGAAAGCAGGAAAGATCCAAAATTCATACCCTAACATCACAATTAAAAGAACTAGAAAAGCAAGAGCAAACACATTCAAAAGCTAGCAGAAGGCAAGAAATAACTAAAGTCAGAGCAGAACTGAAGGAAATAGAGACACAAAAAACCCTTCAAAAAATTAATGAATCCAGGAGCTGGTTTTTTGAAAGGATCAACAAAATTGATAAACCGCTAGCAAGACTAATAAAGAAGAAAAGCGAGAAGAATCAAATAGACGCAATAAAAAATGATAAAGGGGATATCACCACCGATCCCACAGAAATATAAACTACCATCAGAGAATACTACAAACACCTCTACGCAAATAAACTAGAAAATCTAGAAGAAATGGATAAATTCCTGACACATACACTCTCCCAAGACTAAACCAGGAAGAAGTTGAATCTCTGAATAGACCAATAACAGGATCTGAAATTGTGGCAATAATCAATAGCTTACCAACCAAAAAGAGTCCAGGACCAGATGGATTCACAGCCGAATTCTACCAGAGGTACAAGGAGGAACTGGTACCATTCCTTCTGAAACTATTCCAATCAATAGAAAAAGAGGGAATCCTCCCCAACTCATTTTATGAGGCCAGCATCATCCTGATAACAAAGCCGGGCAGAGACACAACCAAAAAAGAAAATTTTAGACCAATATCCTTGATGAACATTGATGCAAAAATCCTCAATAAAATACTGGCAAACCGAATCCAGCAGCACATCAAAAAGCTTATCCACCATGATCAAGTGGGCTTCATCCCTGGGATGCAAGGCTGGTTCAATATATGCAAATCAATAAATGTAATCCAGCATATAAACAGAACCAAAGACAAAAACCACATGATTATCTCAATAGATGCAGAAAAGGCCTTTGACAAAATTCAACAACCCTTCATGCTAAAAACTCTCAATAAATTAGGTATTGATGGGACGTATCTCAAAATAATAAGAGCTATCTATGACAAACCCACAGCCAATATCATACTGAATGGGCAAAAACTGGAAGCATTCCCTTTGAAAACTGGCACAAGACAGGGATGCCCTCTCTCACCACTCCTATTCAACATAGTGTTGGAAGTTCTGGCCAGGGCAATCAGGCAGGAGAAGGAAATAAAGGGTATTCAATTAGGAAAAGAGGAAGTCAAATTGTCCCTGTTTGCAGACGACATGATTGTATATCTAGAAAACCCCACTGTCTCAGCCCAAAATCTCCTTAAGCTGATAAGCAGCTTCAGCAAAGTCTCAGGATATAAAATCAATGTACAAAAATCACAAGCATTCTTTTTTTTTTTTTTTTTGAGACAGAGTCTCGCTCTGTCGCCCAGGCCGGACTGCGGACTGCAGTGGCGCAATCTCAGCTCACTGCAAGCTCCGCTTCCCGGGTTCACGCCATTCTCCTGCCTCAGCCTCCCAAGTAGCTGGGACTACAGGCGCCCGCCACCGCGCCTGGCTAATTTTTTGTATTTTTAGTAGAGACGGGGTTTCACCTTGTTAGCCAGGATGGTCTCGATCTCCTGACCTCATGATCCACCCACCTCGGCCTCCCAAAGTGCTGGGATTACAGGCGTGAGCCACCGCGCCCGGCCACAAGCATTCTTATACACCAATAACAGACAAACAGAGAGCCAAATCATGAGTGAACTCCCATTCACAATTGCTTCAAAGAGAATAAAATACTTAGGAATCCAACTTACAAGGGACATGAAGGACCTCTTCAAGGAGAACTACAAACCACTGCTCAATGAAATAAAAGAGGATACAAACAAATGGAAGAACATTCCATGCTCATGGATAGGAAGAATCAATATTGTGAAAATGGCCATACTGCTCGAGGTAATTTATAGATTCAATGCCATCCCCATCAAGCTACCAATGACTTTCTTCACAGAATTGGATAAAACTACTTTAAAGTTCATATGGAATCAAAAAAGAGCCCGCATCGCCAAGTCAATCCTCAGCCAAAAGAACAAAGCTGGAGGCATCACGCTACCTGACTTCAAACTATACTACAAGGCTACAGTAACCAAAACAGCATGGTACTAGTACCAAAACAGAGATATAGATCAATGGAACAAAACAGAGCCCTCAGAAATAACGCCACATATCTACAACTATCTGATCTTTGACAAACCTGAGAAAAACAAGCAATGGGGAAAGGATACCCTATTTAACAAATGGTGCTGGGAAAACTGGCTAGCCACATGTAGAAAGCTGAAACTGGATCCCTTCCTTACATCTTATACAAAAATCAATTCAAGATGGATTAAAGACTTAAACGTTAGACCTAAAACCATAAAAACCCTAGAAGAAAACCTAGGCATTACCATTCAGGACATAGGCATGGGCAAGGACTTCATGTCTAAAACACCAAAAGCAATGGCAACAAAAGCCAAAATTGACAAATGGGATCTAATTAAGCTAAAGAGCTTCTGCACAGCAAAAGAAACTACCATCAGAGGGAACAGGCAACCTACAAAATGGGAGAAAATTTTTGCAACCTACTCATCTGACAAAGGGCTAATATCCAGAATCTACAATGAACTCAAACAAATTTACAAGAAAAAAGCAAACAACCCCATCAAAAAGTGGGCAAAGGATATGAACAGACACTTCTCAAAAGAAGACATTTATGCAGCCAAAAGGCACATGAAAAAATGCTCATCATCACTGGCCATCAGAGAAATGCAAATCAAAACTACAATGAGATACCATCTCACACCAGTTAGAATGACAATCATTAAAAAGTCAGGAAACAACAGGTGCTGGAGAGGATGTGGAGAAATAGGAACACTTTTACACTGTTGGTGGGACTGTAAACTAGTTCAACCATTGTGGAAGTCAGTGTGGCGATTCCTCAGGGATCTAGAACTAGAAATACCATTTGACCCAGCCATCCCATTACTGGGTATATACCCAAAGGACTATAAATCATGCTGCTATAAAGACACATGCACACGTATGTTTATTGTGGCACTATTCACAATAGCAAAGACTTGGAACCAACCCAAATGTCCAACAATGATAGACTGGATTAAGAAAATGTGGCACATATACACCATGGAATACTATGTAGCCATAAAAAATGATGAGTTCATGTCCTTTGTAGGGACATGGATGAAATTGGAAAGCATCATTCTCAGTAAACTATCGCAAGGACAAAAAACCAAATACCGCATGTTCTCACTCATAGATGGGAATTGAACAATGAGATCACATGAACACAGGAAGGGGAACATCACACTCTGGGGACTGTTGTGGGGTGGGGGGAGGGGGGAGGGATAGCATTAGGAGATATACCTAATGCTAAATGACGAGTTAATGGGTGCAGCACACCAGCATGGCACATGTATACATATGTAACTAACCTGCACATTGTGTACATGTACCCTAAAACTTAAAGTATAATAATAATAATAATAATAATAAAAAGAGAGCTACCATTTGACCCAATAATCCCATTACTGGGTGTATACTCAAAGGAAAATAAATTGTTCTACCAAAAAGACACATGCACTTGTATGTTCACTGCTGCATTATTCACAATAGCAAAGACATGGAATCAACCCAGGTGCCCATCAGCAGTAGACTGGATAAAGAAAATGTAGGCTGGGTGTGGTGGCTCAAATCTGTAACCCAGCACTTTGGGAAGCTGAGGCGGGTGGATCACTTGAGGTCAGGAGTTCAAGACCAGCCTGGCCCACATGGTGAAACCCCCTCTCTACTAAAAATACAAAAATTAGCCAGGCATGGTGGCAGGTGCCTATAATCCCATCTGCGTGGGAGGCTAAGGCAGGAGAATCATTTGAGCCTGGGAGGTGGAGGCGGCAATGAGCCAAGATCGCGCTACTGCACTCCATCCTGAGTGATAAGAACGAGACTCTGTCTCAAAAGAAAAAAAAAAAATGTAGTACATATACACCATGGAATACTACACAGTCATAAAAAAATGAAATCATGTCCTTTGAAGCAATATGGATGCAGTTGGAGGCCATAATCCCAAGTGAGTTAACACAGGAACAGAAAACCAAATACCTCACTTTCTCATTTATAAGTGGGAGCTAAACACTGAGCATCCATGGACACAAATATGGGAATAATAGACACTGTGGACTACTAGAGCAGGGAGGCAAGGAGGGGAGCGTGGGTTGAAAAACTACCTGTCAGGTACTATGCTTGCTACCAGGGTGATGGAATCTGTACCCCAAACCTCAGCATCTTGCAATATTCCCATGTAACAAATCTACACATGTACCCCCTGTATCTAAAATAAAAGTTGAAAAGACTGCATGTTTCCTTTTAACGCTAGCTTTAAATTTATCCTACAATTTTTAACAGCTTTATCAAGCTATAATTGACATACAATAAAATACATATATTAACGTATATAATTTTATGTTTTGACATAGGTACACACCCAAGAAACCATCACCACAATCAACATAATGAACATACACACTATGCCAAAGAGTTCCTTCGTCTCCCTTTATAATCCCTCCTTTCTGCTTCTCCCTAGCACCCTTGATTTAGTAGATTTGATTTTACTGAGCAAAACAAAAAACATAACACACATCAAAACTATACAGGTCAGTGAATGGTCACAAAGGGAACACACACGAAACCACCACCCAGGTCAAGAGACAGAACATCAGCAACACCCCCAAAAGGCCTTCCCAGCCTCTTCCTCTCACCATCCCCTCCATTCTTCCAAGTGGTAGCTCCTAGTTTTCTACTCCAGTGACCACTGTTAGAGTTTTCTTGTAAAATCTTTGGTGCGTTTATGTTCCACCTAGGAGTGGAATTGCTGGTTCATAGAGTGTGCCTGAGTAGCTTCTACTAAACCATTTCCAAAGTGGCTCCACCAATGCACACAGCCACCAGCATCTCTGCCAACTCTTGGATTTTTTATCTGTTTTTCGCTTTTGTTGTCATTGTTTTGGCCATTCTGGGGAGTATACAGTAGTATCTGCTTGTCTTAATTTCCACGGCTCTAATTACTATTGGATTTGTACACATTTTCGTATACTTATTTGCTATTTGAATGTCTCCTCCTTTGTGAAGTGCTTGTCTCAATTCCTGGGCTGTTTTTTTCTATTAGGATCTCTGGTTTCTCCTTAGAAATACATAGCTCTTCCTACATTCTGCACTGTAAGTCCATTGTTAAAAATGAGCACTGCAAATATCTTCTCTCACTCTGTGTCTCATCTTTGCACATGCTTCATAATATTTTTTGATGAACAGAAATTCCCAATTCTAATGCAGTTGCATGTAAGTCCATCAAACTTTTTCTTTAGAATTTATGCTTTTAAAAAATCCAATGTAAGAACACTTTCCTAATCCAAAGTTTGAGGTTTTCTCCAAAACTACTTTTTACACTTAAATATATGAATCTTTTAGTATGATATGATAGAGGAGTCCAGTGGAATTAGTTTTTTGCCTAATAGCTAGCCATCGGACCCAGCAACACTGATTGAAAAATTGAAGACGGCATGCAGGGCAACCTTTGCCATCCATCCGACTCGCAGCATGCACCAGCCTCTTCCTAGACTCTCTTTGTGCCACTTGACTCGCCAGCAATACCACAAGATCCTGTTCACTGTGCCTTCATAAAATGTTCTGAAACCCTGTAGGAACATCACCCATCTTGTTCATGTTCAACAGCATGTTGGAGATGCTTAGACCTTTGCATTTCCATATCCATTTTAAAATTGCCTTGTGCACTTACACAAAAAGATATGCAAATTTGCATTGAGATTATAATGGATTTTTGTTTCATCGTGAGCAGAAATGACATTTTTACAATAATGACTTTCTATTTCATGAGCATGAACTCTCTTTCCATTTATTTAGGTTTTTTAAAATGTCTCTAAACTGTATAGTTTGGGGGGGAGATTGTATACGTCTATCATTATATTAATTCTATGTATATGATATTTTAAGACACTGTAACTATCTACTTTTTAATTTATTTTTGCTATTTGTTACTGGCTGTGTTAATTCCAGCAGGCATGAAATGGGCTGAGCTGTTTTGCTGGGGTAAGACCTACCTGCATGGCTCCAACCCCCTCCAACCTACTCCACCTTAGTAGGTGTGAAATGGACTGATTCACAGTGAGTCCCAGCTAAGCTTGGGTGTCGCTTGTACTGTCTTGTCACCATAGTTTATTGATAACAGTGAAAGTGATGATTGTTCAAGTTCTCACCTGGTCTTGGTGGCAACGCGGAAGGGCTCTTGTACTAGAGGCTAGTCCATAGACAGGACATACTGATGTGGCCAGCAGGATATAAAAAGCCCAACTGACACTTCATTTGGAGCTCCCTGCTTCTGAGGGGTTCTGTGCACACAGGCTGGCTTCTGATCGGAGAGAAAAAATGCATCCTGGCACTACCCTGCAGAGAGGAAAGTTGGAGCTGGGGCCCATTCCTTCCTGACCCTTCACTGTGAGGCGGCCTTTGGCTGAGGTGCTTTTACCACTCCTGATGCACGTCTTCGACATCTTTGCTGTATCAAATCCTTTTCCTAAAATAAACTGTACATTTCTAAGCTTTGTCATTTTGGGTCCTGTGTGCCCTGGTGTCTAGACACACAGTTGATTTGTTTATATTGACCTACATTTAGTAAGCTTTTATACTCATTTAGCTATTCTGCAATTTACCTTTAGATTATTCTAGTTTTGTAAAGTACATAATCATAAATTCTTAAGCCTTCATTTCTCACCTATTTCACTTTCTAGAACTTGCGGTATTATGGTTGATTGTATTTGAATATACCAGACATAACTGAATTGGCCCCAACATGGACTGCTTAGACATTTCATCAATAAGTATAAAGGAAGTTACCTTGTGTTTCTAGTTTTTTTAAATGAGCTCTTCAAATGATGGATAAGGGCTGAATTTTGTGAAAGCCCTTTTATTCATAAATTGGATGAATCACTTGTTGTTTTTATTGTGGTGAACAAAACAAGGCTAGAAAGTTCCTTCTAATCATGGGCTTGACTGAATTGCTGGGATTTTTTAAATTTATTTGTTTATTTATTTTTGAGACAGAGTCTCACTCTGTTGCACAGGCTGGAGTGCAGCGGCACCATCTCAGCTCACTGCAACCTCCGCCTCCTGAGTTCAAGTGATTCTCCTGCCTCAGCCTCCCAAGTAGCTGGGATTATAGACACATGCCACCATGCCTGGCTAATTTTTGTATTTTTAGTAGAGATGGGGTTTTGCCATGTTGGCCAGACTGGTCTCTAACTCCTGACCTCAAGTGATCTGCCCGCCTCGGCCTCCCAAAGTGCTGGGATTACAGGCATGAGCCACCACGTCCAGCGGGACTGCATTTTTTAAACGTGATGTCTTCATTGCCATTTAGTTCTATATACTTTCTAATCTCCACTTGATGTATTAATAGTTGTTTTGATAGGGTATTGCCAGTTCATTTGTAAGACAGATATGATTAATCTCATCTCATGGTTAGAAAACTGAGAGGTTGAGTTTCCAGTTTGTTGCCGAAGGTCCTAGACTGACTGAAAAATTTCCCCTCCTTGCCAAGTTCTTCCCTTCCTCTGTAAAAACAGTGCTCTCCAATTCAGGAGCCTGGGTGGACCTCTCTCTCCAGCCCACCATGTCACTGGCCTACCTGTGAGGAACACTGTCCAGAGAAGGAATCTCTTGTTCATTAATTTAATGTGTTTTGATGCAGAAGATGCAGACTTTGACTCCTAGTATTGGCCTTAATAGGGGGATGCATTTCTGTGAATTTGAATATATTTTTAAATCTCTTCTTAAAAATATCATTGTAATTCTTTTCCTTTATCCCTCGTACTACATGGCAATCTAAAATCACAATGCAGGCCGAGTGCGGTGGCTCATGCCTATAATCCCAGCACTTGGGAGGCCAAGGCGGTTGGATCACCTGAGGTCAGGAGTTCGAGACCAGCCTGACCAACATGGTGAAACCCCATCTCTACTAAAAATACAAAAATTAGCCGGGTGTGGTAGTGCATGCCTGTAATCCCAGCTACTTGGAAGGCTGAGGCAGGAGAATCACTTGAACCCAGGAGAGGGAGACTGCAGTGAGCCGAGACCACACCACTGCACTCCAGCCTGGGCAACAAGAGCAAAATTTCATCTCAAAATAAATAAATAAGTAAATAAATATTTTTAAAAATAAAGTAAAATAAAATCACAATGCAAAGATCGCCTTGTTCCTGCACACACAGGACATTCGGCTCTAGATCATGAGGAGGCAGCCCCTCGAGCATTGCCCCTTTCCTTGCACCTGCTTAATGTGAACTTCTCTGAAAACATTTAGCAGAGTCTCCTCTGGGACCTGGAGATGATCACTGGTTTGCATCCTGTTCTGCTGGACCATAGTCAACCACCTAAATGTCACTTCGATGGGTGTCCTGAAAACAGCAGGCTCCAGGTCTCAGCTACCCTTGGAGACCAAAGAACAGAACTGTGTGTGTTAGTGTATTCTATTTTCCTTTATCATTTTTATTTTAAAACAATAAGGTTTATCTTGAAGAGAAATAGGCATGTCTTTGAGAACATCTCACTTGAATGCAGATGTTTTAATTCCTGAATACAATCCTGCAGAATTCACCTTACAGCCTATCATTGAGCCAAGGGAACTGAACACTGGCCCAGTGTTAAGTGGATTTTTAAATATTCTTTGGCCTTTCAATCTCTACTTTATACCCAGATGCTATGGTCCAAATATTTGTCCCCTCCAAAACTCCTTTGAAACTTAGTCCCCATTGTAACAGTATTGAGAGAGTGACAAATTTGAATATGATATTGGAGAGGTGGGACTGACCTTTGGGAGGTAATTAGAATTAGATGAGGTCATGAAGGAGGGGCATTAGGGGCTTATAAGAGGAGAAAGAGAGTTCTGAACTGGCACTCTCAGCCCCTCTCACCTTGTAATGCTGTCTGCCATGTTATAACACAGCGCAAGTCCCTCACCAGAAGCCAAACAAATGTGGCCCCTAGATATTGGACTTTCTGCCTCCAAAACTGTAAGAAATAAATTTCTTTATAGATTACCTAGTTTCCAAGATTCATTTATACCAACAGAAAATGAGCTAATGTGGCAGATAAAAACAGAAAAGAAGACAGCAAAACAATCACTTAAAAAAATCCTACCCTGAGAGTAAGCACAAAGGGTTAAAAATTAAATTATATTTCCTCAATTAATCAGAGCTAGCACAGAGAAGATGTTCATTTGTAAACAATTTCAATTCTACTTATGACAAGATGGCAATGGACCATATTCATGAATACCTTTATAACACGGAAAACACTCTCAGGCATGAATAAACTTCACCAAGGGAAACTATTAGGAAATGATGATGCTCACTTCCACCAGGGATATAGAAAGCTGAAAATAGTGTTGCCCTAACCACAAGAAAAAGCCAGGTACACCACAAGTTGAAATTTCCTTGGACCAAGCCAAATGTTTAGGTCACAGGGAAACCAAAAAGCCTGAAATTCCAGGAGGGGTAGCCTCCTCTAAGGAGAAACTGGACAGGAACCAGGTTCACTTACGGCAAAGATGTGCAGATGCGGAGGGATCTGCATTCACTCACTAGGCACTTACAAGAATGCTGGCAGCTGGGCAAGAGAAGAGGATGAGCCTCATCAGTAATACAGGCATGCAGGATGGACTGGGCCATGTGCATCAGACATGAACCCCACCACCCCACCTAGAACCTTCTCCCTCAAAATGCAAAAGTCTTAACCCCATGAGCAAGGAGCAAGGAAAGACCCACTGCAGGAGGGAAAGGGTAGAAGCAAAAGCCCTGGACACTCAGGGGAGGGCAAGAAGCCATCCTGGGCCCAGATCCTCTACTGAAACCAAGGAGAAGTCTGCTGCCCTGGGGGCGTGTGGGGCTGAAGCAGGAATCCCCCACTCAGGTAGAATTTGAGCACCATATGGAAGAGGGGCAGGAATGACACAGGGCCAGGCACACAGAGCATTTACAAGAAAAAAGCTGGAGCAGAACAACAGCAAGTTTCCCCTGACCTGGATCTTAGAACCAAATTTCACCCAGCACCAACTACCACTGGGGAGGTGCAGAGTATGGAGAAGACCTGATACAGTGACAGCCAAAAGCTGAGCATGCAGCACTAAATCTGAGGAAGACTTTCCAACACGCCAGCCATACCCCACCCTGCACACAAGGTGAAAGGAGGAACTGAAAGCCTGTAGACAGCAAGAGCCATGACAACAACAAACCTCAAATTCAGCTCATCTTTTGTCCAAATTGTATCAACCCTCCACATTAATGGCTTCACAGCATAAGAGGCATGCCCATTTCCGGGGGTAATTACTATATACCTCCATCATCCCTGGTCTCCAAATAATGTTCAGTATTGAATAAAAAAGATCATGCGCACAAAAAAAGCAAAATAGTAATAATAACCCACAATCAAGAGACAAGTAAATCAATAGAATCAGATACAGAGATGGCCCAAATGATGAAAACCTCACACGAGGACTTTAAGATAATTATGATTAATATGTATGTAGTGGAAGGGGTGGCCAGCATCCACGAGCACAGGGACCTTTTCAGCACAGCAATAAAATCCACACCGTCCGCATCAGCCTTGGCTATAGCATGCCCTGGTGCAGCACTGTTCATGTTCTGACATGCAAAGGCCCAGTGCTTCTGGCCCATAGCTCCTGTTAAAGCCAGACATATTCCTCAAGACAAGAATGCATTGCCTTCTCCTGTTCTTATGTCTCTGTTCCATTCTGATGTCCCTGACATACAAACAATGCCAGTCTTCTTTAGAAATGTCTCATGTAGGGAGAAGAAGAGGGAGTGTCAACAACAACAATCAAGTCACTTTTTCAAAGGCAGAAGGCAATCTCAGATCACTGAGGGCAGAATGATCCCAAGGAAAGTATTAGATGCAGCAAAGAAGTCAAATCAGTAGGGACAAGAGCCTGCAGCCTCTGCAGTGTGGTGGAAATTAGCGATCTTTGCCAGAGCAGGTTTAATGAAGTAAAGGAGGTGAAAGACTGCAGTAGACTGAGGAACACATGCAGGTGAGGAAGGAGAAGCAAGTTCAGACAGTTCTTTCACCCAGTTCTGGGAAGAAAATGAACGCCCAGGGAATATATTTAACTGTTTCAACAGGACAGACAATAGGTAGAACAGCAACCTATGCTCCTTATCTGTATGCATGTGATATAGTTTGGATATTTATCCTCTCTCAAATCTCATGTTGAATTGTCAATTGTAATCCCCAATGCTGGGGGTGGGGCCTGGTGGGAAGTGTTTGGATCATGGGGGCAGATCCCTCATGACTTGCTGCTGTCTTTGCAATAGCTGGTGAGTTCTTGCCAGATCTGATCATTTAAAACTGTGTGGCACACCCACTATGCTTGCTCCTGCTCTGGCCACGTGACGTACCTGCTCCCCCTTCACCTTCTGCCATGATTGGAAGCTTCCTGAGGCCTCCCCAGAAGCAGATGCCACCATGCTTTCTGTACAGCTTCAGAAGTGTGAGCCAATTCAATCTCTTTTCTTATAAATTATCCAGGCTCAGATATTTCTTTATAGCAGTGCAAGAATGGCCTAATACAGCATAACAAGACAGATCTCCTTTCCGCATGTAATAAAAACACTCACCACCTCCCCACACAAAGAGAATAATCATGTAAGAAAGGGAAAGAACATACACATACATGTATCCCCCAACACATGACAGGAGTTATCTGGACACATCTCATTCTATCTTCAGAATGCTGTAAAGTACAAGTGCTCATTTCTAATTTAGAAATGAAGAAAATGAGACTCCAAGAGCTACGTGTGCTGCTCAGCATTGACAATTCCACAGGAGCCTGTACACAGTGACAGACACTGAGGTCAGCTTTCTTCCCCTGGGCATGTTGCCTCAATTGTGAAGGTTAATATTTAGTGAGTAAGTATTATAAAATAAAACAAATACAAACACCTAATAAGTGCTAAGAAAAAATAACTTCAGCAGCCCATATTAATACACTATTAATAGAATAAAATGAGACATAGCAGAGAGATACCTCTTTGGACCTCAGGAATAAGATTGACCTCAGAACGAAATTAGCAAAAGGATCAAAGAGAAATTCGCTGTGAAGTGGAATAGTCCCTCCCAGGCTGGCCAGATTAAACCACCACAGGCTTCAAGGAATCTGTTTTGAAAACAAAGCATGAGATACACAACTGTGGAAGTGTCTCAGAGGAAAGTGTCACAATGCCCACTGCAAGGGCACAGGGAAGGTCACCTTGCAAGGACACAGATGGCCTGGCTCAGTGAGTTCACCATCGAGCACTGCATCAGGTGGAGGTGGGAGAGGCGGTGCCCAGTCATTAATATCTTGTTCCTCCGACTCATTTTTGAAATTGCAGGCACAGTCAATTCTGATGAGCTTAATGAATTTATTTTTTAATTGAACTAGTATATGATGTAAAATAAAACATCAGAGAGTATCACACCTTGTGAAATTAAGTTTTCTTCAGTGAAACTCTTCTTTCGATTTTTCAAGAGTGTATAGGTGTATACGAGGTTGGAATATAAAATATATTTTATACCAAGAACTGAATTATAAAATACATGAAAACCACAAGTCACCGATATTCACTCATCTTGCCTTTGAAATGTGTTCACAAGGTTCCTCTTATTTGTAATTTATGTATCATGCACATCTGCCTACTGGAGGGGAAAATACTTAATAGGTCTCATTACTACCCATGTCTGTGCCCGTGTCCTTGTGTGTGTGTGTGTGTGTGTGTGTGTGTGTGTGTGTGTAGTGTGTGCATGTGTCTGATCACAGGGACACAAACAATACTCTCTTCTCTGTCCTGTGTTGCAATTGCCCACTGCTCCAAGGCCCCAGGCCTAGAATAAAGATCTCAGTGCAAATGCACCTGCGCATGTCATTCAAATGAAATTTGGGGGCGGGGGTTGTCACCATGAGTAAATGTGGACAGTAAGGCAAGGCGGGTGGAGTCTCAGGTACCTGAGAGTGCAGGGGCCACCTGGGCCAATTCAGTTGTCCAACAAACAGTGCTGCCTCCATCCTTGCCGGGAGCTTTCTATTCCTTTTGTTCCACAACCGTTTCTTCCATCACCTTCACCCCTACACTACTGATACCTCTTCTCTGAAGATGAAACCTTTCTTCCTCACTCCTGCCTTGTCCATTCGCAAATGTTGTGGATGAGGTGCTGGAGCTCCAGGAACTGCAGGCTGGCGTCAGGAACCCTCCAAGGCTATTCATGCCCCGGTACTGTCTCTTCCTCCTTGCTTTTGGGTTCTTGGACTCTGTCCCATCTGCTTCATTCCCACACTCAGTTCTTCCCACTACTCATCCTAATTCTGTGAGGCAGCAGCTATATGAAGAGCTGGAATCACCTGAGGGCAGAGTAAAGGTGTTACCACCCTGATCAGGAGGAAATGATGATAATGCAGAGGCTGGAATTGCCCTGTCCACCTTTACGAGCTTGGAGCAGGCTCTTTTCTGAAAAGCGTGTATTGACGTCTAACATGGGTGCTTAGGATTCCAAATCATAGAATTACCATTAACCAACCTGGAACCTTCTCCAGATGGAGCAGCTGTAAGATGCCAGTGCCACCACCAGCACAGGTTCCTAAGTCATTGTGTGGAGTACTAAGCTCCTCTTGTTGACCTGCACAAGAAGTGGGGGCAAAAATAAATTCTCCTCTCTGGCCATTAAGATAAGATCGTTATTATTTAATGCAGAATAACAAAGTCAAATTAGGTGGGAATTACAATCTGCTCCAGGTTTCAGACCATACATGGGGAGCATGGAGACACACAAAGTTGAAATAACAGGATGGGGCATTCAGAGAGATGAGGCCACAGGAGTTTTCAGGGCGGAGTCCTGGAGATGAGGTAATGATGCAGAGAGAGAGGGAGGAGAAAGAAAGACAAAAGTCCCAATAATATGTACACACGCCCCAAAGTATATGGACAAATACAGCTTCCCACAGTCATTGCTGCAGTAGAAAGATGTGAGCAGGTGCAAAGGGTGAAGAGAGCAATAATGTGCATGATCCAGGGCTCCATGAGGCTAGGAAATGTGCCAAGGGCCTAGTCAAACACACAGGAGAGGTGCTCCACCTGGAATGGGTTCTGTCCTCTCCTTTCTTTTTGGACTCAGCTCTCTCTGCTGGACTCTGTCTAGCTTCAGTGATGTCCAAATCTCCTTTATTCAAGATTCCAGATAGAGTTGCATTCTGATATCCCCTCCCCATCTCTCTGCCTCTTAGGGAGAGTTTACATGTCACTTAGCATGCAGTCTCTAAAATTACATGATTCTGGGCTATAATCCCAGCACCTTGGGAGGCGAAGGTGGGAGGATCACGTGAGGTCAGGAGTTTGAAACCAGCCTGGCCAACATGGTGAAACCCCATCTCTACTAAAAATACAAAAATTAGCTGGGTGTGGCAGCGCACACCTGTGATCCCAGCTACTCGGGAGGCTGAGGCAGGAGAATCACTTGAACCCAGGAGGTGGAGGTTGCAGTGAGCCGCGACTGCACCAATGCACCACCGCACTCCAGCCTGGGCAAAAGAGTGAGACCCCGTCTCAAAAATACATAAAATAATTTTAAAAATAAAATTACGTGATTCCTGGGTGAGCTGAGAGTGTGCTGGTGTGAAAAGCTCCACAAATCTAGCCCCCAGCAAAACTAGTAAAAATTACAAAAAAAAAACTAAAAAATGAAAACAACCATTTAAAGTCACTGATAATGGTCCCAAGGGCATACAATGAATGACATTTTACTCTCATCCAGGAACTCAGTGCAGTTCAGATAGAATAAATACAAAGAGATCTACAGACACATTATAGTGAAAATGCTGAAAGTTAATCCCAAGGAAAAAATTCTGAAAGCAGGAAGAGACAGCAGAAAGCAAAAGCTTTGAAATTAAAAAGGATCCTCTTAAACTCTTCAATGGGAACCCCAGCAAGATTAACTGCTGATTCCTCATCAAAAACAATATAGGCCAGGAAGAAGTGGGATAATATGCGCAATGTCCAAATTTTAAAAATTCTCAACCAAGATTCCTATAACATAGCACAGCTATGTTTCTAAAATGAAGGTATAATAAAAACATACCCAGATTAACAAAACTGAAAGAATATGTCGCTGGAATATCTGCCTCATAAGAAATCAAAAGAGAAATTCATCAGGCTGGAAGCAAGTGATCCCAGACAGTAAATCAAAATCACACACAAAAAACATAGGGCACCATAAAAGGTAAATATGAAACTACAAAAGGCAGTATAAGTGCACATTCTTCTATTTTCTTCTCTTAACCGATGTAGAAAGCAGTTGTATAAAACTGCATATATACAATGCATTCTTCTTCCTGTACCATATATAAATGTAATGTGTTCACCAATAAGAGTACGAAGGAGGTCATGGGAGCAAAGCTGTATTGGGTTGAGAAAATGGCTCCAAATATTAACTCAAATTTATAAACCAAATGAAGAGAACCAAAAACGAAGACCAGACAGCAGACAGGCCCGGCATGCAGGCCCCAGTGCCAGCTGAGCCTCCCAGCTGGGCCTGAAGGACGTACAGCGGGCAGCCCCGGCAGGCCGGCCCTGTAGGCAGCTTAGAGGGCAACCCCGGCAGGCGGGCCCTGCAGGCAGGACAGCGAGCAGCTCAGGCTGGCGGGCCCTGCAGGCAGGAGAGCGGGCAGACCCGGCAGGCGGTCCCCGGGGCCAGCTGAGCCTCCCAGCCGGGCCTGCAGGCCCTGCAGGCAGGACAGCGGGCAGCTCAGGCTGGTGGTCCATGCAGGCAGGACAGCGGGCAGACCCGGCAGGCGGTCCCCGGGACAAGCTGAGCCTCCCAGCCGGGCCTGCCAGCAGGAGAGCGGGCAATCCCGGCAGGCGGCCCCTGCAGACAGGACCGCGGGCAGCCCAGGCTGGCGAGCTCTGAAGGCAGGACAGCAGACAGGCCCGGCATGCAAGCCCCAGTGCCAGCTGAGCCTCCCAGCTGGGCCTGAAAGATGTACAGTGGGCAGCACCGGCAGGCGGGCACTGTAGGCAGCTTAGAGGGCAACCCCGGCAGGTGGGCCTTGCAGGCTGCACAGCGGGCAGCCCCGGCAGGCGGGCCCTGCAGGCAGGACAGCGAGCAGCTCAGGCTGGCGGGCCCTGCAGGCAGGTTAGCGGGCCGACACGGCAGGCGGTCCCCGGGGCCAGCTGAGCCTCCCAGCCGGGCCTGCAGGCAGGAGAGCGGGCAGCTCAGGCTGGTGGTCCATGCAGGCAGCACAGCGGGCAGACCCGGCAGGCGGTCCCCGGGGCCAGCTGAGCCTCCCAGCAGGGCCTGCACGCAGGAGAGCGGGCAATCCCGGAAGGCAGCCCCTGCAGACAGGACAGCGGGCAGCGGAGGCTGGCGAGCCCTGAAGGCGGGACAGCGGAGAGGCCCCGCATGGGGCCCTGGGGCCAGCTGAGCCTTCCAGTCGGAACTCGAGGACGTACAGCGGGCAGCCCCGGCAGGCCGGCCCTGCAGGCTGAGCCAGCTGAGCCTCCCAGCAGGGCCTGCAGGCAGGAGAGCGGGCAATCCCGGAAGGCAGCCCCGGCAGGCGGGCACTGTAGGCAGCTTAGAGGGCAACCCCGGAAGGTGGGCCTTGCAGGCTGCACAGCGGGCAGCCCCGGCAGGCGGGCCCTGCAGGCAGGACAGCGGGCAGCTCAGCCTGGTGGTCCATGCAGGCAGGACAGCAGGCAGGCCCCGGGGCCAGCTGAGCCTCCCAGCAGCGCCTGCAGGCAGGAGAGCGGGCAATCCCGGCAGGCGGCCCCTGCAGACAGGACCGCGGGCAGCCCAGGCTGGCGAGCCCTGAAGGCAGGACAGTGGACAGGCCCGGCATGCGGGCCCCGGGGCCAGCTGAGCCTCCCAGCCAGGCCTGAAGGACGTACAGCGGGCAGCCCCGGCAGGCAGGCCCTCTAGGCAGCATAGAGGGCAACCCCGGCCTGTTTTCCAGGGACGAGTTCCACGAGGAAGATGGGGTGCTGGGTGATGGCCCAGTTGTCTTTGCAATAAATTAGGCGTTCCACACTTGGAAGCAGAAAATAGGACTCCCCTCTGAAAGAGCACCCTTCTGGCCTGAACCTTCTCACTGGAGCTTCAGAGCAGAATCACAGAAAGGCATAGATCCTAGTTTTGCATGACCCAAGCAGTTATTGATCCTACTCCCTAGAATGCACGGTATTTGATTGATAATAGCTCATTCAATAGCTATTAACAACTGGTGCTTTTGGAAGGTTTAGGCCAACTTTCAGAAAGGAGAGGTGAGTTTGAGAAGACTAGGCAGGGGCCTAGGAAATGTTGCTTATAGGAGGGAGCTTGAAGGTGTCATCTGGGGTGTAGGAATGACCTGTCCTACCGTAGACAGTGCTCCCTAAACAGTCGTCCCATTCCTTCAATCTCCCCTAATTGTCCCGTGTCTGAGCTGTCTTAAACATAGTCTAGCACGAAATTTGGTATCTACAGATATGTTGATGCTCCCTCTGTCCTAATAGTTCTTCCTGGTAGTTCAGGAAGTTTGCCGAGGTATTTCTACGTTAGATGGAGCAATTGGATTTGAGAAGTTATTTACTTGCCCAAGATCACTTGATCTGTAGATGTTAGGCATCCCGACCTTTTGGCTGGTGTTACTCATTTTGCCACAAGTCAAAACAAGTGTTTGTTTACTTTTTTTTTTTTTTTGAGACGGAGTCTCGCTCTGTCACCCAGGCTGGAGTGCAGTGGTGAGATCTCGGCTCACTGCAAGTTCTGCCTCCCGGGTTCATGGCATTCTCCTGCCTCAGCCTCCTATCTGGGACTACAGGCGCTCGCCACCATGCCTGGCTAATTTTCTGTATTTTTAGTAGAGATGAGGTTTCACCGTATTAGCCAGGATGGTCTCGATCTTCGGACCTTGTGATCCGCCCACTTCGGCCTCCCATAGTGCTGGGATTACAGGCGTGAGCCACTGCACCCGGCCGTGTTTGTTTACTTTTGAGATTATTTTTGCAACACTGACAGCATAGAACAAACATTGCTTTAAAATATTTTGCCTTAAACATCCCTATCCTTTTTTATCCCCAACACTTTCTATGGATTATGTGACTTCAAAGAGTTTCATTTGAGGAAACACAAGTGTTTCCCACTTAATGTCAGTAATATGTTCTTAAAAATCATAAATTCTGCATGAAAATAATGGGAGATTATTTGACATTAATATGGGAAAATTAGACTGTCATACTGCTTCTCCAAACCTATTTCTTAAAATTTAATAAAATGAAGTACAATGCTCCCTTGTAACAGACTCTTTTTATGTTTTGTGTTTTTTAAAGTAAACAAACTTTTTTATGATGTAAAAACTTTAAAACATAGACGGCTTTCTGATGTGCAAACAGTTGCTTTGTATGATTCACACGGTCTCTATTAGCACCAGCCACCTACCTCACTGAATTCCATCCATTTGATATTCATTGTGATTTTCAAAATTTCTTTGTGTGCTTCCAAAGTGGTGTTGATTGTATTTGACATACACATTAAAACTTTCTTCCCCACATAATTTTCTTAGATATATATCAAGTTCTGGCGGCTTAGATGTATCAGTTAGCATTTGCTTTATAAGAAAGTAATCAGACCTTAGTGGCTTAAAAAACCACCACCATTTTCTTTGTTCAAGCTTCTATGGATCTGTATTTTGTGGTGGGTTCATCTGGGCAGTTCATATTCTATGTTAGTGTTGCTTGGATCACGAGTGACAGTTGAGTCACCTGGTGCCTTGACTGAGGCTGGTTGGCTTAAGATGGCTTTACTCACATGTCTTGTGATTTGTGCTGGCTCTCTGTTAGGCACTGTGTTTCCAGCAGGTAGCCCCAAGATTCTTCACAATTTGACTGTGTCCAAGAAGACAAGCACCATTAGGCAAATACTTTTTGAATCTGTATTTGCATGACATTTGCCTGTGTCCCATTGGCCAACGCAAGTCAAAAGGCAAAGCCCAGTTCATCGTCAGAGCACATTACATGAGGTCTTGGATACAGGGAGACTTGTCATTGGGAAACATTACTGGAACAGTGTACCATAAGAAATATACATTATGTACATTTGTTTCTGATACAGTCATGGGGCAAAAAAATGTTGGTTTGCAAGATCCATACTTTGTATGATATCTAGATATATAAAAGAAAGATGTGTTAGAGAGAGTGAAAATACCATATAGAGTCCTGCATGGAATCCACATATTCATAGGAAAATAGTTAAAACAGCCAAGTATATTTCCATGACATTGATTTTAGTGGAAATATAATGTTGATTTCTTTGGTTTAAATTATTACATCTTTAGGTAACATTCATTGGTGCCAAATTAGTAAAGTATGTTATCACTAACCCAAAATGAAATATATGTCTAATGTCAACCAATTACTGTACTGGCAGATGCATTTTTAATGGATCTTGGTTTCCCCTTATTTGATGTGTAGAGGACTAATCTCTCCCAAGGAGATTCCTGTTTGTGGTTTTTGTTGATGTAGTTGTTTCTTTTTGGGGAGGGAAGTCATTTTCCAGCTAATTTGTATAGAGTTTTGGACACAAGAATCTAGGACCAAGCCACACCAGTTCTCTCCTTAATCCACTACATTTACCTTCTGTCTTAGCCATGTTTCCAGAGTCTGTCTTGCCGAGACCAGCTCGGTCAGGGAGACCCTAACCCAGCGGCATTAGAGGAATTAAAGACACACACACAGAAATATAGAGATGTGGAGTGGGAAATCAGGGGTCTCACGGCCTTCAGAGCTGACAGCCTCGAACAGAGATTTACCCACATATTTATTGACAGCAAGCCAGTGATAAGCATTGTTTCTATAGATTATAGATGCACTAAAAGTATTCCTTACAGGAAACAAAGGGATGGGCCGAAATAAAGGCATGGGTTTGGCTAGTTATCTGCAGCAGGAGCATGTCCTTAAGGCACAGATCACTCGTGCTATTGTGGTTTAAGAACGCCTTTAAGCGGTTTTCCGCCCTGGGTGGGCTGGGTGTTCCTTGCCCTCATTCCAGTAAACCCACAACCTTACAGTGTGGGCATCATAGCCATCATGAACATGTCACAGTGCTGCAGAGATTTTGTTTATGGCCAGTTTACGGCCAGATTTTGGGGGGGGGGGGGCCTGTTCCCAACATGTCCCCCTTCTTTGATCTGCAAAGCAATAAAAGCAAAGGCAGCTTTGTCATGGTGAGCTACTTGTTGCAGGAATCAGGATCTGCAACTGCAGACTATACAAAGACAACACAGATTAAAAGCACAATCATCATTGAAATCACAGAGCTTCCAAGTGTTTTTACCCATTTTAATGGGTTACTAGCTGCTAATCTTTCTGCAGCTCCTTCAAGCATTCCAGTTCCTAGCATTAAGGTAAGGTGTGCCTGGGATGCTTTAAATATTTGTTCTTTTAATTTTGAAATATCCAAAGACAAGTTCGTAGAGTGTCCTTCTAGATGCTTTTTTATTCTTTCCCAAGTTTTGATCCTATTAAGAGCCATTGATAGTTTCCACAGATCCTTATGTTAAGCTCCTAGAGTGGGCCATATCATTTGAGGTTGAGGTGCCATGGTTCCAGATAATAGGAACTCTTGCCATACTTCTTATCATTTCTACCATCTGACCGTTTTGTTCAGACCAGCTGAACACAGTGTGGCCGTGGCACACAGACTGAGAGGTGCAGTTTAAGCTAAACATCCCCTTAGGGGACCAATCAATAATGATTCCATAGGAATTGTTGTGTAGCACCTCTGCCTGTTCTGTAATGCAGTCTTTCCAAACAAGTACGTTCATTTTTTCTGGCCAGGTCCAATTCTGTTTACAAATAGGTTTTTGAGGGTGGTATGCCTCAATTATAGGAGCAGATTTATTACGGTAAATATTGAGATCAGAAAGCGTATGTAACTGTGTCATAGAGTGATTACATCCAGGCATTATTGCCAGCCAAGATTGACAAATATGCCCAATAAGTATAATTGTTCTCTGTGTCAGCCCTTGTTGAAGGAATACTCATGGCAATGGTGATCACCACTATCATAGCTACCATTAAATTACTCATTGTGACTGGTTGTCCTGCTTTCCCCAGGTTTTCTTCTGCCATCTGTGACAACTTCTTGATCTGTCTCCAGGTGGGTGGCTGTGTTAGACAGGTGTTGCTCATGACAGTTGGGGTCCTCCTCAGCATCAGCCTCAACATGGCTGCAACCAGGGGGTCCTTGGGTTTCTCCCAGAATCTCTTCCTCGGCATCTGACTCATGATAAGGTTTCAGGTGTCTTGATGGTATCCAAATAGGCTGTTGATTTTGGCCTGGAGAAACACAAGCATAGCCTCTACCCCAAGTTATTATTTTACCTATTTCCCAACTTTTTGTTATCGGATCTCTCCACCAAACCAGTTGTTCTGCTTCTGTCTTTGCAGCTGGTTTCTGCAGCTTCTGTTCAGCTGCTGATAACATCTGGCCTTTGGGCAGGCTCAAAAAATTTAAAGTTAATAATGCTAGATTCAATTATATCTGCAGTGTTCCATATTCTCTATTTCCCCCCTCCCCCCACCGCTTTCGCAACTGCTGTTTCAGGGAGAGATTAATTCTTTCCACTATGGCTTGTCCTTGAGAATTGTATGGGATACCAGTAATGTGTTTAATATTCCACATAGAGAAAAATGTAGCTAGAGCTTGGCTAGTATAGCCTGGGGCATTATCTGTTTTAATAGAAGCTGGGATGCCCATCACCACAAAACACTGCAAAAGTGACGTTTAACACAGGCAGAAGACTCTCCTGATTGGCATGTAGCCCAAAGTGAGAAAAGGTGTCCACACATGTACATAAGCTAGTCTCCCAAACGAGGGAACACGTGTGACATCCATTTGCCAAAGAGAATTAGGTTCCAATCCTCCTGTAAAAGATGAGGAATGTACCATTTGGCAAGTTGGACATTGCTGGATAATAGCTGTAGCTTCTCTCCAGGTTATGCTGTATCTGCGTTTGAGACCAGAGGCGTTAACATGGGTTAAATTGTGAAAGTGTCAGCATTAGATATTACATTAGCAACTAGGCGATCAGTCATTTGATTCCCTTCAGACAAAGGTCCTGGAAGAGGTGTATGAGCCCTAATGTGAGTGATGTAAAAAGGGTGCATTCTACTCCTAACTGCTGTTTACAATTGGGTAAATAAAGTCATCAGTTGTTCATCTGTATGAAATCGTAACTGAGCATTTTCAATTAACTGTGTGGAATGAACCACATATGAAGAATCACAAATCACATTAATAGGCATATCAAAAGCAGTGAATACCTCAATTACAGCTGCAAGCTCCACTTTTTGAGCCGAAGTATAGGGCATCTGGAAAACTTTACTTTTTGAGCCAGAATAAGAAGCTTTACTGTTACTAGACCCATCTGTAAAAACATTCTCAGCACCTTCAATTGGTTTAAATTTAGTTATTTTAGGGAGAATCCAATTAGTTAATTTCAAAAATTGAAACAGTTTCATTTTAGGAAAATGATTATTGAGAATACCCACAAAGTCAGCTAAATGGGTTTGCCAAGTAAGACTATTTATAAAAGCTTGCTGTATTTGTGCCTTCGTGAGAGGGACAATAATTTTTCCAGGATCATATCCATGTAATTAAACAATCCGAGTTCTCCCATTTCCTATCATAGTAGTAATTTGATGTAAATAAGGAGTTAGAGTCTGTGAATTAGTATGTGGAAGAAAAAGCCACTCTACTAAGTCCTGTTCTTGGACAATAACACCAGTAGGTGAATGCTGAGTTGAAAAAATTAGCAAATCTAGAGTCTTCTCTGGATCTATTATATTTATTTGAGCTTTATGGACTTGCTTTTCAATTAACTGTAACTCTGCCTCAGCCTCCTTTGTTAATTGCCAAGGGCTAGTGAGACTAGGTTTTCCTCTAAGGATAGAAAACAGATTACTCATGGCATAGGTAGGAATGCCTAGTGCAGGTCGTATGCAATTAATGCTAGTAATTAATGCTAGTAATTTTTGAAAGTCATTTAATGTTTTCAATTGATCCCTACATATGGTTACTTTCTGTGGCACAATGGTAGTATCATTTACTAAGGTCCCCAAGTAGGAGTAAGGAGCAGTAGTCTGAATTTTGTCAGGAGCTATAATTAAACCAGTGTGAGAAATCGAATTTTGCAAGTGATCGTAACATTGGAGTAATATTTCTCAAGTGGGGGCAGCACAAAGTATATCATCCATATAATGAATAATGTAACACTGAAAATTTTTTATGAGTAGGTTCAATTGCTTGCCCTACATACGTCTGGCAAATTGTTGGACTGTTGAACATGCCTTGTGGCAACACTTTCCAATGAAAATGCTTAGCAGCCTGCAGGTTGTTTACTGCAGGAATTGTAAATGCAAACCATTCACAATCTTGCTCAGCTAAGGGGATAGTAAAGAAACAGTCTTTTAAATTTATGACTATTAAAGGCCAATTTTTTGGAATTACAGCAGGAGAAGGCAGTCCTGGCTGTAATGCTCCCATATGTTGTATAACTGAATTGATGGCTTTTAAGTCAGTTAACATTCTCCATTTACCTGAATTTTTCTTCATTAAGAAAACTGGAGAATTCCAAGGGGAAATGTTGGAGCTATGTGCCCATTTTCTAATTGTTCAGTAACTAATTCCTCTAAAGCCTCCAGTTTCTCTTTACTTAGCAGCCATTGTTCTATCCAAATTGGCTTATCTGTTAACCATTTTAAAGGTAGAGGTTCTGGAGGCTTAACAATGGCCACCATCAAAAATGATATCCTAATCTTTGGCGGGAATTTTGTCTTTCTGCTTGAAGCGGTTCTTTCAAACCTTGCAAATTTTTTTCTAGTCCCATACCAGGGACATACCCCATTTCATGCATCATATGTTGATTTTGAGGGCTATATAATTGTTCTGGAATTAGAACTTGTGTTCCCCATTGTTGTAATAAATCTCTCCCCCATAAATTTATAGGTACAGAAGTTATAATTGGTTGAATAGTCCCAGGTTGTCCATCAGGCCCTTCACGATGCAAAATATAACTACTTTGATATACTTCAGGGGCTTTACCAACTCCAACTATGTTAAATTGTGCAGGTTGAATTGGCCACACGGACAGCCAGTGCTGTAGAGAAATGATTGAAATGTCTGCTCCTGTATCTACCAAACCTTTACATTTCTTTCCCTGAATAGTTATTTCACAGGTAGGATGTTTATCAGTAATTTGATTTACCCAATAAGCTGCTTTGCCTTGTTTATTTGTGCTTCCAAATCCTGCTCGTTTAATTTCACTTTTCCCCATTCCCACATACGGCACAATCAGGAGCTGTGCTATGCGCTCTCCTGGCTCTCCTTTCCAGGGAACAGAAGTAGATATAACAATTTGAATTTCCCCAATGTAATCTGAATCAATGACTCCTATATGTATTTGTACCCCTTTTAAATTTAAACTAGACCTGCCTAGAAGTAATCCTATCGTCCCTGCTAGCAAGGGTCCACAGACTCCTGTTGGGACCTTTTGCAGGGGCTCCCCAGGCAGAAGGCTCACAGCTTTTGTGCAGCATAAATCTACTGTGGCACTACTGGCTGTGGCAGGGGACAGACATTGTACAGGGGTGAGGGAATGGCCTGAGCCAGAAATGCCCCATTTGGAATGGGGCCCAGGACAGGCCCCTCATGGCATTTCCCAAAATCGGGTTCCCATGTTTATCAAAACTAGAGTGACACTGATTAGCCCAATGTTTTCCTTTTCTACATTTTGGACATATTTCAGGCTCAACACTTTTCTTTCTTCCTCTATCTGGCGGCCTGACCTGCTGATTTTTTCTACATACTTTTTACTATGACCATGCTTTCCACAGTTAAAACAAGCTCCAGGAAACAGAGTATTTCCTTTATCCACTCTCAGTCCTGCCATTGCCTGTGCCAACAAAGTAGCTTTATGCAGATTACCTCTGATACCATCACAGGCCTTGATATAATCAACTAAATGTGCTTTCCCTCTAATAGTTCGCAGAGCAGCCTGGCAATCGGGATTAGCATTGTCGAAAGCTAATGACCGCAACACTATATCCTGAGCAGCCAAATCTGCAATCACCTTTTTAAGAGACTCTTGTAACCAAGCTATAAACTCCACATATGGTTCTTTTGGTCCCTGTTTGACAGCACTAAAGGAACGTTATTGTTCTCTACCTGAAGTGATTTTTTTCCCCAAGCTCTATTGCGCACTCTTCTATGCTGTTCTATGGCATCATCCTGCATGACCACTTGTGCATCTAAACCAGCCCAGCCACCAACCCCCAAAAGCTGGTCTGAAGTTATATTAATTTGAGGTTGGTCCTAAGCGTTGCAAGCAGCCTGAATGGAAGCTTCATCTGCCCACCAAGTTTTAAATTGTAAGAACTGAGCAGGAGTTAGACAAGCTCGAGTAAGAGTGTCCCAGTCAGTAGGAATCATCCGACTGGAAACAGCAACATTCTTTAGCAGTCCCATTACAAAAAGAGAACCTGGTCCATACTGATTAATAGCTTGTTTAAATTCTTTGAGTAATTTAAAAGGAAAAGGCTGAAATGTAATTATAATATCTCCCTGTTGATCTTGGGGGTGTATTCTAACAGGGAATTGCCAAGCCTCTAAATCACCCTCTCATCTAGCTTGCTGAATTCCTGCCTGAATAGAACTGAGAGTGGTCGCTTGAGGCACTGCTCGAACAGTCACTGGGGCAACTACTTTTCGCCCAGTGTCCTCCGGAAAAGAAAGATCTGGAGGGTCTTTTTCTTCAAAATAATAATGAGGGGGTGCAGAAGGGTAGGGATGAACCTCTCCCTCCTTTGCCGCTTCAGCTGGCAAGCAAACCTGCTCTGTAACCTCTTCTGTTACTTCATTATACTCTCCTTCCTCCTCATCATTAGTGTGAAAAGGTTCCAAGATGGAATGAACCAGATCCCACACTTCTCCCAGTGTCACCCTCATGCTTCCAAGTTCCCCTTCTTACTCACCACGGGGATTGCTTTAAGAGTACTCGGGTGCCCTCCAGCTTAGTTCCATTGCTTCTGCGACCCTTCAACCTGGGTTTGAGCCCCCACGTATGGGCACCACTTGCCAAGACCAGCTCGGTCAGGGAGACCCTAACCCAGCGGCACTAGAGGAATTAAAGACACATACACAGAAATATAGAGATGTGGAGTGGGAAATCAGGGGTCTCACGGCCTTCAGAGCTGACAGCCTCGAACAGAGATTTACCCACATATTTATTGACAGCAAGCCAGTGGTAAGCATTGTTTCTATAGATTATAGATTAACTAAAAGTATTCCTTACAGGAAACAAAGCGATGGGCCGAAATAAAGGGATGGGTTTGGCTAGTTATCTGCAGCAGGAGCATGTCCTTAAGGCCCAGATCGCTCATACTGTTGTTTGGGGTTTAAGAATGCCTTTAAGTGGTTTTCTGCCCTGGGTGGGCCGGGTGTTCCTTGCCCTCATTCCTGTAAACCCACAACCTTCCAGCATGGGCGTCATGGCCATCATGTACGTGTCACAGTGCTACAGAGATTTTGTTTATGGCCAGTTTTGGGGCCAGTTTATGGCCAGATTTTGGGGGGGCCTGTTCCCAACATGTCTACTATTTGTTTTCAAGAGCAACAAAAAATTAAATGTTCAGTGAGTCAAGGTTTATTTTTAATTTATTCCTCACTTTCTTTTACATTGTATATGAATTAAAGTGGAAAAGTAGAAAAAAGTAGAGCAAAACTTAAGGGAAATTGACATAATAAATAAGATAAAAATAACCTGTAAATATGGACAGATTATAAGACCTTAGAGTTTTTGTCTAAATTGAGTACAAATACGTCTCTGATCTTTATGATGCCATGGTAAAAGGGCAGTCACGTTTGTTGCATGATTGGAATGGGACCTAAGAAGAGACCATGCTACATTCTCGTGAGTCAGGAAGACTTGCTGGCACCAGAGTCTGAAACACTGACTTCATTAGTGACATAGATGATGTGGTGGAAACTTTTTCACTACCAACCTGGAAGGTAAATGCTTTTCACATTCTGCAGTTGAAATGGATCCCTGGCACTAAAACACAACTTCCAGAATAAGGTATTTCTGGAGTTACTAAAATATGTTGTCCTAGACAGGTTTTGGAAGGTCAAACTTCATTCATAAGTAAAACCTGGAACATCTAGGGGACTGAGTCAACCACAGACCCTTAAATAATTATCTATACCTTTCTCTCAGTTCTTCTGTATATACAAGGTGTACAGCAGACTGTTCAAAGTTCTTTTTTCTGGCATGTATTCTCAGCACAATGTGGTCTTAATTCATTTTTTCTAAAACTCACCAATAACCTAAATTATAGTAAAATCCAATGACTATTGTCTAGTCTTTGCCTTACTTGAATCTTTTGCCATATTTGAAACCACTGTTCATGATCTGCTGGAAATTCTTCTGTGTTCGTTTCTATCATGAGCTCACTGATCGTTTCTTCTCTTTTTCCCTGAATTCTCCTACTTTCTTCTCCTTAATGTACCTCATACAAGTGTACTATCTCATTTCCCACCCATCCCACTCTACAGTTATCCCTGTCTGACTCAGCCCTCTGTGATTTTGCAGTCCTGTTTCTCTCCAGCTTTGATGTCTTCCCCAGCCTTTAGAGCACAGGGTCAACTCCCTATTAAATGCTTCTTTGTAGCTATCCAAAAGACCCCTCAAGACCAACAAATCCAACATGAAAACCACATTCTCCATTATTCCCTTATATGTGGTATTATGACCTTATAGCCAGTGATCCAAACCCCTATTTCTCCTGGAATCCTCTCTCTTACGTCTTACCTCATCTAGTGTCAACTCCTGCTACTTACGTTTGTTTGCTCTTTGTATTTTATTCTAAAGTCTGTTTACAGTGCCAGTTTAGGGGGAAGAGCTGGTTTGTGATTTGGTGCTCACAGACATCAGTAAGTTTGTCACATCTGAAATGTGATTCTTGGCAAAACCTTAAGGGTGTGTTTTCTAGGTGACAAGGTTCAGTCCCTGGTGAACCTTGCTTTTAGCCAGCACATGTGACATCCTCCAGATTACATTGGGAAAATCATTCAGGAGTTACTGGGATGCATTTGGACAAGGGTCAGTACAAAGATATGCAAAGAATAAAATGCACCACAGATTTTCATAATTTGTACCTTTTCCTTATATAAATTTATCTCGGTGATTCTATCTAGTTTTCTTAATATACAATTGTAGGTTTGTAGTTGAAAATACCTGTCACGTTTTCTTTTTTAAAGACTATACTCAATCTAATACTGAACATTTTAAATTCATGACTATAGTCTAGAGTTCTAACATAAAAAGTGAAATGTGCTTTATTCATTTCTGTTGAAGCTACTATTCACACACCCTGTTTTTCAAACCAATGCACCCTATGTTTCAAACCAAAGTGCTACGTATGGTCTCTAATAACTTTTTCAGTCAGTGTTCCAGTTATCTGTTGTGTAACAAAGTAGTACAAAACACTGGCTTAACACGAAATTATTCTTATTACATATGAGAATGCTGTGGGTCAGGAATCTGAACAAGGCAGTGTGTGTTGGCTGCTTCCTGAAGTCTCTGGTCTGCATCAAGGCAGTGTAGTCTGCTTCATGTGGTCTCTGATCTCAGCTTGAAGGACAGCCAGGTCTGGGGACATTGAGGAGGCACCCAGGCCTCTCCTTGTGGCCAGACTGGACCTCCTCCCAGTCCAGCAGTCTCGGAGAACTAGGTTTATCTGGCTTCTCCCACAGCAGGTATGCGAGAGGCCCAGGAAGCGGCTAGAGGCTTTTCATGATCTCCCCTCAGAATTCCCAAAACATCTCTGCCAACACATTCTCCTAGGCTCATCACAAAAAGCAGGCCAGTTCAAGTGCAAGGCAATTCGATTTCAACTACCATAAGAGGAATAATAAGATTTGCAACAGTCTTTAATAAACCACTTTGCCCTCTGGCTACAAATTATTTACATTTCTTCCACATGCAAAATGTACTATACCCCTTGTGTGCCCCTCTGAAGAGCCCCAGAAATCTTTTCCTACTATGGAACTGGCTGAAAGCTTATCCAAATCAGGTACCGGCGGCCTGTCTTCTGCCCCTCCACAAACAGCCAGCACAGAGCGAGAACATGGTGAGCACCTCCCTTCCACCTGCTCCAGTTCATTGATTAGGACCTAGTCCTAACATGCTTCGTGCCTGTTCACTCTGCCCTCTGGGCTCTCACCATTCTCCATGTTCTTTTTCCTTAATTCCTGGGTTTGCAGCTGACCAATTTTCTCCACCTATTTTTTCCTTACTGTAATTTGGGAACCCAGTGACCTCCTTTTCATTTTCTTCTAATGCTGGACTTTTTTTTTTTTTTTTTTTTTTTGAGGCAGAGTCTCGCTCTGTCGCTCAGGCTGGAGTGCAATGGCGCTATCTCAGCTCACTGCAAGCTCCGCCTCCTGGGTTCACGCCATTCTCCTGCCTCAGCCTCCCAAGTAGCTGGGACTACAGGCACCCACCACCCCATGCCCAGCTAATTTTTTTTTTTTGTATTTTTAGTAGAGACGGGGTTTCACCGTGTTAGCCAGGATGGTCTCGATCACCTGAGCTTGTGATCCACCCGCCTCAGCCTCCCAAAGTGCTGGGATTACAGGCGTGAGAACGCTGGACTTTTGATACAAAAAATTATTCTGTAAACATGTCTTTGAAAAACACAAGCTTCCTGTGGACCAAAATCCATTAGACCAAAATGACCCTCCCCTGACCACACACTCACACGCACGCACACACACACTCACTCCAAGACAGGCCTTTCCGTCTCTAGTCTCCCCTTCTCTCTAAGACCACTGTGGGAATACAGCCTTAGAAGTCCTGTTGTTACCAGGTACACTCTTGTCACACCCTAAGGTCCTTAAAATGCTGAAAATATTTTTGACTTTTCACATTTTTACAAAAACACTGGGTTTTATCTTTGCCATAAAGCCATGTCTTACCTTAAACTGTTTTGGTGGGAAAAATTGAGGATAAGAAACATTTTTATTTCAAACCCAGCAAGTGCTGGCTCATTTCCCCTAAGTTCTGTTTGAAGACTGAATTTCCTTTTTTAGATCATCTCTATCCTCTTATATTTTCTCAGAGGCAGAGGGATGAGACCAGGTAGCTCTTTCCATATTCTTTCCGTTCATCTCCTTAGGCCGACCCTGACATGGTGAGATTCCCTTTTAATTTTTTACGTCACGGCAGGCAGTCACATTGCCCACAATCCTCCAGTTTGTAACCCACATGTCTTTTTCTTCAGTTTCCAGTGTGATTTTTCTTACTCTACTTCAGCCCTCACCAAGAGTCTTGACACCCTTCCAGCTTCCATGAACGGTCTCCTTGAGGCCCAGCTTCTGCTCAGTCTTAGGTCCAGTGCTGCATGTCATAGCTTCTTATTACCACAGCACCCCATTCCAGCTGCCAAATTCTGTTCCTGTTATCTAATCTGCTTTAAAAAACCACCCCTGAAACATAGCAGTTTCAAACAGTTTACTAGTACTTCTGTTTCTGTGGCTTAGGGAGTCTCAGCAGGCTGGCTTGTCTCACCCACCGGTGCAGTAAGGCAGCAGCTATGATGGGTCATCTGAAAGCACAGCTGGGTTGGCATGCATGATGGCTCAGTGGTAGCTGGCAGTGGGTGGCTGGAGGCTTGGTGGGGGCTGTCAGTGAGCATACCTACATGTAAGATACACACACACAGAAGGGCAAATTCCCAGAAAACTGTGTGACCCAGGCCCAATGACTTGAGAAATAAGCCATTATAGGGGTTGGTGTCCTTTGAAGATATGGCCATGGACTTTACCTAGGAGGAATGGCAGCATCTGCACAATGCTCAGGGGACCCTGTAAAGAGATGTGATGCTGGAGACCTATAGCATCCTCGTATCATCGAGTGAGTGAAACCTGCCAGTAACTCCAAGGAGCAACACTTTATTCCTTCCTGATAAATACAGGAACCTGTATAAATTTACTGCTATTTAGGTATCAGATTCCAGTCCATGAAGAATGTGTCATCCTCTCCAACGAAAGGCTGAAATTGGCTCCTTCATTGCACAGCTCCTGAAGCCAAGCTGTTGTCATTCTTCAAAGGACCTGACTTAGCATTTTGACAAAGTCTTACATTATTTCCAATTAAAAGGGCATTGCATTACCAAACCTGAACTGATCTTTGAGTTGGAGCAAGGAACACAGCCACGGAGGGTGGAGGAAGCCCCAAATCAGAGCCTCTCAGGTCAGTCAGCATGTGCTAGACAGGGACACCTGGAGCAGTAAAGCCCAGCAGATGCCAATTTGTTTTCACCAATTTTTACCCAGGTCCTAGACCTGAGAACAGTTAGTCTGCATGCACCAAACACAGGCACTATATAGACCCCAAGAATACCTCTCATACATATAACCCAGCCTTTTATTTTGATGAATAGTCTATTTGCTCAAAACCTAATTCCTGCCTTCCTATTCTTAGACATCTTCCTTTGCTTTTTATTTTCTCAATATTCTCAGTTGTCCTCCTTTCCTCTATTTGCATGGACGGGTCTTTTTTCAGACATGTATTCATACATCAGTTTATTCTTTCAACACATCTTAATTCAGCACGTTTTAAATATTGGTAATTTTATAGTTATAACTGTGATCAAAATAATGCTCCTTTTTCATGGAGTTTCTGTTCTGATGAGAAAGAAACAATGATAAATTGGGTAGTTTAAGAAGCACAAGAAATACTTAAGAGTAAGAAAGAGAGCAAGAGTATAGGATGTGATAATTTAGGAAGAATCATCAGAGAAGGCAGTTTCAGAGTGATTATTAAGTGTTTACTTCAGCATAGATTCAGTTTGAGTTAATGCTTTCCAATTTTGACATATAATAGGTGAATATAACATATAGTTTCAAGAGTGGACATTCCTATTGGAGATAGAAATTTGGAAATGAGTAGCTTAAGGCTGGTATTTAACATAATACTTATAAAGAAAGTCTCTGAGGGAGTTGATAAGCAAATGAGAAGTCTGTGAGTGAACCTTGTGTACTACACCACCAGAAGTCATGAAACTGAGGAGGACTCAGCATAGAGGCATACAAAGGAGTGGTCCTTGACTTGGGTGGAGAATCAGGAGATTCTGGATGCCAAGGACGAGAGAATCAAGGCTTTCATTTTGAAGAGCTCAGATTTCTGTTTGGGAGTAGAGTTTGAAGTTAGCATTTTCCTCTTCTATTACTAGAAATCATTCTGAAACAACAAAAAGAATGTGAAATGTATGGGAGACATATTTTCTATGAAACTAAGAACTCAAACTCCAGCACACAAAATGAAAGCCTTCAGAAGCAGTGAATTATCAAGCAGTGGTGTGTGGACTAGAAATGGAGAAAGAATGTCAGGGAAATTTATCTTACAAGGAGCCAAAAGTACATTTTTTAATATGGGCACAGCCTAGGCTGCAGAATGAAAACCTGTAGGGTAGTAAGGAAGCGGTGCCCAGGGTGGTAGACTGGAGCTTTCTGTACCTGTTATGGTTCTGAGAAGCAGAGGAAGGTAGTTGCAGGAATGTGTCTTTATCAAGCATAGGGAATGAGCGATTTATATTTGAAAAACCCCCAAATATCTATAGCCATTCCCAGAAAAGAGTGAAAACTAAAACATAGATGGAAAATCCTGTCCCTAAATCATAGGATACAGACAAATGGCCTTCCCCTGTACCTGCAAGTAACTGATCCAGGGAAATGTTGCCATCATCAAAGCAGAAGAATGAGAAATACCAGCATTAGACACCCACTGTTGTTTTCAGAATAAAATAAAAAGAAGTGAGAAAACAAATGGCAGGTGATAAGCACTTAGGTGACAACTACCGTTAGGCAGGAGGTGAGTATAATTAGCAAATATTTCTTCATGAGTTAAAAAGAAAAGGAAAACACAGTGTAACATTGGAAAATAGATTCCTGTGATTCATTACATTAAGTCAGTAGTAAGGAAAACCATATATTTATAAAACCACTACCAAAACCAGTGGGATAAGAAATAACTTCTTTTTCCTTACATGAGAAGCCCATAAGAAATGGTTAATATGTGCTTAATGTTGTGGTTATTTTTTCTCATTTCAGATGTTCAGACAGTTGATGACCTAATTGAGAGGAGCCAAACACAGGACAAAAATTCTATGAATGTGAGAAAATCCTAGTTAGAAAATCAGATCTTTTTTTTTTTTTTTTTTTTTGAGATGGAGTCTCGCTCTGTCGCCCAGGCTGGAGTGCAGTGGCGCAATCTCGGCTCACTGCAAGCTCCACCTCCCGGGTTCACATCATTCTCCTGACTCAGCCTCCTGAGTAGCTGGGACTACAGGCGCCCACCACCACACCCAGCTAATTTTTTGTATTTTTAGTAGAGACAGGGTTTAACCATGTTAGCCAGGATGGTATCGATCTCCTGACCTCGTGATCTGCCCGCCTTGGCCTCCCACAGTGCTGGGATTACAGGCATGAGCCACCATGCCCGGCCAAAATCAGATCTTACAGTACATCAGAGGACACATAGAGGGGAAAAAATGTGCATGCAGCCAGTGTGAGAAATCCTTCAGCCATAGTCAGGCCTTGAAATCCATGAGAGAATTCACACAGGGGAAAAGCTCTATGGATGTAATGAATGTGGGAAATCCTTTGGCCAGAAGTCACACCTTATTATCCATCACAGAATTCACACAAGAAAGAAACCCTATGAATGGGACAAGTGTGGTAAAACCTTCTGTGAGAAGTCAGCCTTCCATGTACATCAGAGAACTCTCACAGAGGATAACCCCTGTGAATGTAATTAGTGTGGGAAAACCGTTAGCAAGAAGTCAAACCTCAGGATGTATGAGGGTACTCCCACAGGAGAGAAACCATATGAAAGAATGTAGGAAAACTTTCTACCCAAAGTCAAAACTCACTACATATCAGAGGACTCACACAGCAGAAAAACCCTATGGATAGAGGGAATGTGGGAAACAGTTTCACTGCAATTCAGTCCGCGCTGTATATCAGAGAACTCACACAGGAGAAAACCCCTATGCGTGTAAAGAATGTGGGAACTTATTTCACTGCAAGTCAGTTCTCACTGTACATCAGAGAACTCACCAGGGCAGTGGGGGGACCCTACGAATGCAATGAGTGTGGAAAAACTTTTTCTGTAAGTCAAACCTAATGATTCATCAAAGAACACACAGGTGAGAAAGCACATGAATGTAAAGAATGTAGAAAAACTTTCTCACAGAGGCCAGTCCCCAGAGTACATCAGAAAATTCACCCTGGAGAGAAACCACACGAATGTAAAGAACGTAAGAAAACTTTCTCCTAGAAGTCAGCCCCCACTGTACATCAGAAAATCCACGCACGTGAGATATCCTGTGAATGTAAAGAATGTAGGAAACTCTATCAGAAGCCAGCCCTCACTCTACATCAGAGAACTCACACGGGGGAAAACCCTATGAATGTAGGAAAACATTCTACAAAAAGTCAGAACTCACTACACATCAGAGAACTCACACAGTACAAAAACCCTATGAATGTAATGAGTGTGGAAAATCATTTTGCCTGAAGTCAGTCCTCACTATATATCAGCGAACTCACAAGGGGGAAAAACACTTTGAATGCAATGCATGTGGAACAACCTTTCCCCTGAAGTCAGTCCTCACTATACATCAGAGAACTCACAAAGAGGTGAACCCCCTATGAATGTAGTGGATGTGGGGAAAACTTCTACCAGAAGTCAGTCCTGACTCACATCAGAGAACTCACACAGGTGAGACACCATGTGAGTGGAAAGGGTGTAGGAAAATTCTACCAGAAGTCAATCCTCACTGTACATCAGAGTACGCTGGAAAAATACATGATCAGTGTGTTGAGTGTGGAAAATCCTTTTGCCACAAATCATACCTCAAAAAGCATCAGATAGCTCATAGAAGGGAGAAATTCTGTGTGTCAGAGACCAGCTATGTGTTTCCACAAAAACATCCTCTTTTCTCCGACACACATTTCGCAGCTTCCCACCATTATGGATGGCTTCATGCAACAGCTCTGTCCAGGAGAATATGGACACAAGTGGTGAACATTACTTCCAGGCCTGGCAATGAAAAAGGTCATCCCTGATTTCTCATGGCACCTCGGACTGAAGTGCAGATCATGACCCCCAAGGTGGCCTCGGGAGCCACGCGTGAGAGAAGTCCACCATGATTTAGGACAGAAAGAATTCACTGAAGAGAGCAGAAGTCTTCCCACCTCTACGCTAAAACCCTCCATTTGTGCTTTACTTGAGTAAGAAATTCCTGCTCTGTTGAGCCATTGTTTATGTGGTGTGTTTGCATTACAATACAAACAGCCCACTGTAGCTAATCTGTGAGCTTTCTGAGAGAAAGTACTAGTTTTTCTAGATCAGAAAATTCACACCTATATTGTCACCTTTGATCCCAAGTCAGTTTATGGAAAAGTCAGTGAAATGTGGGGAGAAACAATTTGGAACATATTTGGAACATCTTGTCACAGGGACATCTCACTAAATGCTGAGAATAAAGCGAATCTTTATGAAGATTTTTAATGTGTCATCACTTTCAAACAAAACTTCCAACATTATTATGTCAGAGAATTTAAAATGAAGGAAAACTATCAACGTCTAATATAGATGTAAATTTTCTAACAGAAATGTTAAAGCATTAAAAATGTTTAATATATTTGACTATACACCAGTAGTTAAATATGAGAGATGGCATACCCTGGCAGGGGATATTTGGCTATGAGTGGAGACATTTTTGGTTGTTACTAGAGGCTGGGAGGAGCTACTGGCACCCAGTGGGTAGAGCCCAGGTTGCTGTTAAACAGCCTGCTGTGCACAGAGCAGCCCCCTCAAGGAGGTGGCTGATGCATATGAGTGTTCTATGTTAACAGAATTTTCCCTGATAGGACCAGGCATAATTGTGGGTAGGGAATATATACATTTAGTGTAATAAATATTGTGACTTACATTAAATGCCACTCTAGCCACTTTATAGTTTGTTAAATAGATTAACCCTAAAGTATTAAACTAGGTACATTTTTCCTACTCTCCTAGTGTACGTAAATCATTGTGACCAGTGTTACCAAATTGTCTCTTAATATATTTTTCTAAAGTTTGCTGCTAACACAGTGCCAGCCAGTGAGTCTAACAGAAACATTACTCACATAGAAATGCACACATCAGACACACAACTGTTAACAGCTTAGGCCTGAATTTTTAAACAGCTCTGAACAATAGTACTCATTTTATTCTACTCAGCGAAAAGCAGCCCCGAACAGACTTTCCCCTTTGCTCCTATCCCTGGTATCTTTAATGGGACAGCCACATATGTCATGAGTGTGCGCACCAAGTGCCGTGTGGCTGAGGGATCTCGGCATTTGCATTTCTAGTGATGGACTGCTGCGCTGTGCCTTGCCAATGATGGGGCCAGCAGGTAGCTCTCTGATCCGCACGTTACCTGTGTGACTGCTGGCCTTAACCTCTCAGGGTTTCTGTTTCTTCATATTCACAAGGCCGTTAACAACAGAAACTTCCTCAAAGGGTCATTGTGAGGAACAAAGTAAGTAAAGTGCTTTGGATATATCAGCACTTGGTAAACAACATATTCTCTATAGCTGCGACAGTTTACAAAATTACTCTGTCATGAATTGGTGGGAGGCAATAAGCTATTATTTGCCTACTCCAGAGCCATCTTCAGCTTTTTAGCAGTCTGGATTTGGTTATGTTACTCACTTCTACACAGTTATTCAGGGATTTAACTTGGTTGAGGTTTTATGATTGGCTGAGACTAATTTTCCCTTTTGTGGTCCTTTTGGACTCAGCATATGACCAGAGGTTAATTTTATAACAGTACTCACTTCAAAAAGTATTACATACTGCAGTTATAGTGTCCAACTACTAATCAGAAAATTGCTTCAAGGATGCCTATGATTGTGTCCTGGGTAACTACAAGCACTGGAAATCAAGTTATTTATTATTCTATTGTTTGAAGGAAATATGTTTGTATATTGATGAGCAATAAAAACGTTCTTGGAATCATAGCATGCCATCAGGTCTTTCTGTCCCTTAAACCAGCGGTCCCCAACCTTTTTGGTACCAGGGACCAGTTTTGTGGAAGACAATTTTTCCACAGACCCAGGGTGGGGTGGGGGATGGTTTCAGGATGAAACTTCCACTCAGATCACCAAGCATGAGTTAGATTCTCATAAGGCGCGTGCAGCCTAGATCCCTTGTATGCGCAGTTCACAATAGTGTTTGTGCTCCTGTGAAAATCCAGCGCTGCGGCTAGTCTGACAGGAAGCAGAGCTCAGGAGGTAATGCTTATTTGCCTGCTGTTCACCTCCTGCCATATGGCCTGGTTCTCAACAGGCCACATTTCAGTACCAGTCCAAAGCCCAGCGTTGGAACCCCTGGCTTAAACTGTTAAAACAGATGTTGTTGAAATTGAATTGCTTGGCCGGGCGCGGTGGCTCATGCCTATAATCCCAGCACTTTGGGAGGCCGAGGTGGGAGGATCACGAGGTCAGGAGATTGAGACCATCCTGGCTAACACGGTGAAACCCCATCTCTACTAAATACAAAAAAAAAAAAAAAAAATTAGCCAGGCATGGTGGCATGCACCTGTAGTCCCAGCTACTCAGGAGGCTGAGGCAGGAGAACCACTGGAACCCGGGAGGAGGAGCTTGCAGTGAGCCGAGATCGCACCACTGCACTCCAGACTGGGTGACAGAGCGAGACTCTGTCTCAAAAAAAAAAAGAAAAGAAAAAAAGAAATTGAATTGTTTGATTGCTATCCCTCGTGCTGATTGATTGAATTTGGTGTGAGTTGAGCGTCTAATTTTAGTTTCTTCTAATGGCACTTCTTTATACTAAGATTCTTGACCAATTTACTCCTAACCCATTCTGTTAGTCTGCTCAGGGTGCAATAACGAAATACCACAGTCTGGATGACTTAAATAACAGACATTTATAAAGTTTTGGATGCTGAAAGTGCAAGACCAAAGTGCCAACGGGCTTGTGTCTGGTAAGGCCTCTGCTTCCTGGGTGGCAGACAGCTGCCTTCTCGTCATGTCCTCACATGGCCTATTCACTGTGCTCCTGGAGAGACAGAGAAACCACTGGCATCTCTTCCTCTTGTAAGGACAGCAGTCCTATAGGGTTAGGGCCCTACCTCATAGCATCATTGAGCTTGAGTACCTCCTTAAAGGTCCTGTCCACAAATGCAGTCTCCTTGAAGGTTAGGGTTTCCCTGTGCAAGTTTTAAGGAGGCACAAATGTTGAGTCCATAACATGCATGGATTTGAAATACCATCTTCTTCATTAACCATGAAGTACTAGCTAATGATTTGGAGTGGCTGTTAACTTTTGTCTGTCCAACACTATTTCCCCACATTCTATTCACAGGCCAGCTGTGTGACCACAGGGGGTTACCTGACCCCACTGTGTCAGCCATAATGCTGCATGTCCTGCCTGCATGGTGAGTCTTTTGTTCAGGGTAGAGAGTGACTCTCTCATGATATCTGTAATTGCCATCATCACAGACCTATTTGTTTGTGGGCCTGGAGCTGCCCACACTGTCAGGAGTTTGGGTTTATAGGGTGGAGAGAGGCTGTAGGCAGAGTTTTCTGATGGCCTACAGGTCCAGGTAATCTGGACACCTCTGAGGCCCATACCACGTGCCTCTTCCAGTGACATAGCAGTGTGTTTTCTTGGTTTTGCATACACTCTACTGAGGCAGGTTGCTCCTATTTGTAATTGGGTCCTGACTTAACTGAATTTATTTGGCCTATGTCTGACCTTTTATTGATTTCACTGAACTATTTGCAGATACTTGTGCTTAAGTACAAGAATGCCTAAAATTATAATAGCATTATACTCCTTATAATATATCATGGAGTCAGTATTTTATTTTCACCCCTCACATTGAGTCTTAGTAGTATTTGAGATGTTCCAACTTCCTTTCCACATTTAAAAAAAAAAGGCGTTTCTGGCTTCCGGTTGGGTTTTTATTCAGTTTAGGTCTCATGATGGTACCCACACATCACCAGAAGGCGTGGCCACTGCCAGCTAGGAGACCAGGCTACAAACGCACTGATGGTGGTTCTGGTGACACCTGCTTCTGTCCCGCAGCTCATCCTGGTGATGGCCTGCAAGTTACCCCTGCTGCCTCCAGTGCTACCCACAGGGGACAGCCCCACTGGTCCTGGCCACGCTCCCAGTTGTCTCCCAAATAGTAGTCATGACATGCAGACCTCAAATACTAGGATAAATACAGATTTAAAGGGAAAGTAACTGTTATGTGTTTTATGGGGAAAACTAACCAACATGAAGCCAAAATAACTATACTTACTCCAGACACAGTTGACTTTAAGGCAAAAAACACTTTTAGAGATAGGGCAAAATCAATACTGATAGTCAGGGTTATGTAATGATTCTGAATGTCTGTGCTCCTCACAACCCAGCCTTAGCATATGGAAGGTGAGTCAAAGAAGTGACAAACCCACAATCACAGGGGGAGACAGAGTCTCCACTCTCTTTGGGGTGGGTGGGCCTGCCTTAGCCATTGCATCATGCTGCTGTCCACCCCAGGCTGACAGATGATTGGAGTCACTGGGCAGGCTCAGCCTGTCCCTCACAGCCAGAGCTCTGTCACACAGGCAGCTCCAGACCTCTGCCAGGATGCTGGCTGAGCAACAGCCTGGGGTGCCTGACTTTGAGAAGAGCCTCCGAAGTACCCTCTGTTTTGACATCTCCTACAAACGTGGCCACCCTCCCTGCTGGCAGTGCCGCAGGGAATACAGGGACAGGCCAGAAGGCAGCCTACCTTTCTCTTAGACCTTAAGGCCTGAGCAGCGTGGTGCCGGAAGCCAACCTAATGTGCCATGGGGGGTGGGGACAGGCACTGGGCACACACCCCATGGCCCATTTTCTGGCCCTGGGTGGGGCATCTTGCAAGGTACATCCATGGTTTAAAGGTTCCATGCAAGCTTCTGGGCTTTTCCCAGGGCGCTGTGTACTAGAGTGCTACGCTGTCTTGTTCTGAGTTGCATTCCTTTTCAGTGAGGTTACATTGGGAGATTCTCTGAATTTAAACCAGATTGTCTTTCAAGGCAATCAATTTCTCTCCATGTCCAGAGCCCCCACCCTCATCTCAGCCACCCTCATCTATCCCCTGGGTGACCCCAAGGGCCTTCTAGCAGGGTCCCTGGATCACTCTGGCCCTAGCTGGTCCATTGTCCACTGGCAGCTGGGAGATTATTGTTAAACTCCATTTGATCCCATCTTCCCACTGTTTAAATCCCTCTATATGGCAGTCTGTTTTATATATGGCTTTCTGCCACCTGGCCTCATCACTCTCCTCCAGGCTCGTGCCCTTCTTGTTAATTCCAGGGCATTTGGTGCTGTTGAAGTTGAAATTAAAATGTAGAGATGAATCTCTGCAATGATGTTTCATTTGGGATACAAGAACTGCAACTTGGGGCATAAACCCAGGCCAGGTAGTCTCTGGTATGTCTGAAGAACAAAGAGAAGATTGGGGGTTTTATAAAAAAGAGAAATGTCAGCCGAGGTCTTGAAAGTCATTGGTATCAGTAAAGGTTTGGGGAGACGGGGAGCTGAAGCTGCTGAGCTAAGGCACTGGGTAAAATTAGTCTTAGAGCTACTGCAGGTTGTTTCGGCCACTGTTAGCTAAAACTGGTCTCCCATTAAAACAGGTTGTTTCCACAGCCAGACTCACAAAGAATTTCATTTCTGGAGCAATGTCATGTGTCCCAAATGCTTTTTTCCCCTTGGCTTCTCGACTCTGTTTTAATTGGGTATGACAAGAATGACCCAGTTCCTATGATCAACTTTCATAGTGCCTGCAGGTCTTACTACCAGCTGTCCCCTTTGCTAGAATACCTCCCTCCCTCTGAGAATGTCTGCTTATCTTTTAGCAATCAGCTCCAATATGACTTCTTCCAGGGGCCCCCAGAAGTGAGGTCAGGCACTTCCTACACTCTCAGGGCTGCCTGCCCCTCTCTCACTCTTACTATATTTTCAATTAAGTGATGAATTAGTGCCCATTGAAGAGCTGCTCCCTCCCGGGGAGCATCATCTGTCTGACTTTAGTGACTATCCTGTTCTCTGCTGGCATATCATGCTCAATAAATGTTCGACCCACCAATGAATGTGAACAAGACAACTAAAGGGATCCAAAGTGTGCCTGCAAAATCCAAGTATTTGATTGAATAAAGTTGACTGAAGTCACTGAAATCATCCAAAATCCAGGATCTTCTAACAAATGCATTTACGGATTGGTACAAACACGTGACATGTATATAATAGGGACCCCAAAATAGTATCATCTACATAGTGTTTCATAACATGTTTTATTCACTTAAGGATATGTCATAGGTAATGGCTAAAATTGTTTTGATTTTTTCCTGTGTCCCATGTACTTCAGGTCCTGGGCACTTTAACTCATTTAATACTCACAACAATCTTTCAAAGATGAGCAAAGTAGAGCCCAGAGCCCATGATAATTTACCCAAGGCCACACAGACATCAAGTGACAGAGCTCAGGTCAGTCCAGGCTGTCTTGTTCTGTGGCCAGAACTCTTAGCCACTGTCCAACGCTGCCTCTCCAAGAAAGAGGGCCCCGCAAGATCCATTTTCATCCTCTTAAGGGCTGTGGGGTTGTCCTTTGCATGTATGAGCACTAATTTGCATAACCAATCTCCTATCATGGACATGCAGATTATTGCAAAGGAATAACTTTGTACATATATCTGTGTGCATTTCCCAAATATTTCCTTAGGATAAATTCCTTGGAGTGGGACTGTCTCATTCTCATTAAAAATTCCCCTTAACTGCAAGGGACAAATTAGAGTTTCCCAGAGCCACCTGGAGGAGGAGGATCAGTGTTCCCAGCTTGCTTCAGGGAGGTAGAGCTGGCAGTGGCATCAGCCACACACCGATCTGGTGGTTTGGTAAACGTAGAGCCCAGACAGCCTCACAACCCACAGCTCTGTTCAGGGTGCTCCTTCGCCACAGATACTGCACAGAAGGTGTCATGGGAAGGTGTAAGCGCACTGGCAGTGTGGGTGGGAGTGCTTCCCAGGTCTCACAGACTCTGGCTGGAGGGCATACAACAGTTGACTCAACCTGGGTCTGGGGTTTGCCCTTGAAGCAGCAATGAAGAAAGTGGTAAAGAAAGAAAACTCTTGGAAGAAAGAAGCTCCTGTGTGTACCATGCAATTAGGGCTAATATGAAAGCAGGTCCCCAGAGGAGAAAGGTGAGTCCCAGACCCTCTTCAAGCATGAATAAACATTTCAAATGGTTGCCTTATTTTTGTAATTTTAGGTAAATATTAATTTAATATTTATAAAAGGAACGGGAGCTCAGTATTCAAACTGACCTGTGTATATACCTCTATATTTCTAGTTCTAATTCAAATGCTAGCTAGTTGGTTTTGTTTCCCTATCCTGATGTTTTCGAGGTCAGCTGGAACCTATCAGTGGAGAGTATGATATACTGAGTACCAGTATCATGCATTCATGCATTTGCTACTTTCAAGTTTGGGGAAGTCTTGAAATAAGCCTATTAAATAAGGACAGGAGATTAAAAGGCTTGTTATAAAATGAAGGAGAGAGTTTGGGCAGGGGGAGTAGTTGCACCAGAAACCCAAATAATGTTTAGGTAGTTACTAAAACACTAAATTCCACCTCCAGAGCAGTTACAGATGAAGGAACACAAGGATACTCAACTACAACATTCAAAGGAAGAGTTTGCTATGTACATTTGAATTCTAAAACACAAAGGAGGCATGGGGTCTGAATGGTGCCCCCCAAAAAAGTCCATCTCCCAATCCTCACAATTTGTAAATGTGGCCTTATTTGGAAAAAGTGTCTTTGCAGATAAAATTAAAGTAAGGATCTCACGATAAGGTCATCTCAGATTAAATCCAATGGCAAGTGTCGGTACGAGTGACAGAAGTAAAGAATGCAGAGAAGAAGACCATGTGAAGACAGAGGCAGAGACTGGACAGATGCACCTGCAACCCAAGAAAGGCCAAGGAATCCCCAAGGCCCCAGAGGCTGGAAAGGCAAGGAGGGATTCTCTTCAAACACCTGGGAGGAGCATGGCCCTGCCAACACCTTGATTTTGGACTTCTGGCCTCCAACACTAACAGAATAAATTTCTGTTGTTTTAAGCCACCTTGTTTATGGTAATGTGTCACAGTGGCCCTAGGAACTGAATACAGGAAGTGTGGCCCCTACATTCAATTATGGGGAAAAGCTCCAAGAAGAATGTCTTTAAATGCTTATTCAAGTCATGACCCCCTTGGGAATCAGGAAGACCCAACACATGTGGATTTTGTTATTGACTAAAACATGAAGCTCTGCAGCTCAGTGACTGAGATTTCCTCAGCAGCTGTCTGTGTTACAAACGTGGAGCTATTGAGTCAAAACTCCAAGGATTTAGGGAAAAAGGGCATGTTTTCCAAAATCCTTTTCCTGTCAACTAAAATATAAGTAGAGAACCTGAAGCCTCCAAGGACAGAAAGTTTTGATTTGGGGAAAGAGCTGGGCCAGGGGACCTGGGCACAGATATGTGTCTTGGAGATGCTTTCCACCCATGAAAAGCCTAGGGGTCATTTGAGAATGTAAAGCCTCCTTCTGGAGGGAAAGGAAACACGGGAGTATTCTTCTTCATGTAAAGAGGGATGAACTTTTGTTTACGGGAAAGAGGAGATCACAATGGTGTACACACTCCACACCCAGAGATGGGGTGAGTCAGGGTGGCAGATGCACAGCGACCTCACAGCCAGTCCCATGGTCCTGATGCTGCAGTCAGCTCAGCCCACAGCAGTGCCCAGGTGGCTGGCGGTGTCACACATCACGCTGCAGAGCTGTTCCCAGGAGTTCACACCTTGAAATGCACCTGGCTGGTGCATCCACAAAGACTATCCTCTTTCTCCAAGGCAGTGGGAAACAGAACGGCAAAGCAGCTGGAATACGGGTTCCCAAAGGTTCAAGTTCACCCACATCTCCATACAAAGTTAAAGATTTGTTGAATTTGAGGGATATAAAAATAACACAGTTTTTCCCCATGAAAACATGCATCTTTCCCATGACAGTCCAAATCATTCATAACATAACCTCAAGGAGATATACCCAAGCCCAAACCATCCTCCTTAGTTTAAGAATTCAAAGTTAAAAAAATTATGTCAATATGATTCGTGGTGGGTGGTAAATGATCATACTTTCTGTGGTTTATGTAGGGAGAACATTTCTGGCAGTTTTGGTTAAAGGACCACTGGCATTATTGAAACCTGGCGGCCCCCTGTAAGAATGCTAATGTGTTCCCGCTAGCTTGTTTATAGGCAGGCCTCCTTTCATCTGGAAAGTCAGTTCTCATCAAAAGAGCCTCCTCCCACGGGTCCAGGGTGATTATGCTGTTTTGGCGGCACGCACTCAACCATATTGCACATTTTCAAAAAAGTATCGATTCTTCATTTGTCCTTAAAATTCTTCAAAAATAAAAATAAAAAACTATTGATTCCACTACATTCACATTTAAAATTTCAGCACACCCTTACAGATCCCATGTTAGAGACTTTTTCTTAGATGGCTGATTTCATGGGTTCAATGCTTTCTCCAAAGGTTTTGCACAATGGAGGGTTTGTTTTTGTTTTTGTCGTCTACAGGATAGAGGCTTTCTTTGCCAAATAAAAAAGACAAGCTCTTGAGGGGGAAAAAAAAATCATGTTTCTAGAGAAAACTCAATATGGTCCCCACATGCCTACTTTGAAAGGAAAAGGTCACACATGAAAAGCGTTATTCTAGACAATGTGACTGGTGTTTCAACAGATGGGTAAAATTTACACATCCAAATACACATCGTTTCTTTAAAAAGGTCTATTTTTATTTCATTACTGGAAAAACCTCTTTGTCAGCTGCTTTCAGAAAGGTGTAACAGATTATTTTGAACAGGTAGAAAAATCTTCCAATTTTCCCGGGCACAGTGAGGCTGAGACAGGAGGATCACCTGAGGTCAGGAGTTCGAGACCAGCCTGGCTAACATAATGAAACCACACCTCTACTAAAATTAAAAAAACAAATAAAAAAATTAGCCAGGCGTGGTGGTGCAATCTGTAATCCCAGCTACTCTGGGGGCTGAGGCAGAAGAATCACTGGAACCCATGAGGCAGAGGTTGCAGTGTGCCAAGATCACACCATTGCACTCCAGCCTGGGCAACGCTGTGAGACTCTGTCTCCAAAAAAAAAAAAAAAAAAAAAGGGAAAGAAAAATCTTCAAATTTTGAGAATAAATTGGAAGTCTGGGAATAGTCAAAAGTCATTCATGGCAGGGTCTGATAAGACAGGAGGGTGACTGAATGGAAAGAATGCTGTCGGCGGCCAAAGGTAAACCTGGCTTGCCTCTGGCAGGTTGCAGCTGCACTAATGACAGCTTTGGAGGGCAGAGGGGTATTGACATGGAATCTCCACGCTGATAAGCTACACAGGGGCCCCATGCAACAGTCCAGTCCGTGGGCCAAATCCAGTCCTACGCCTGTGTTGTGTGGCCTGAGCGCCATGAGTGGCTTTTACATCTTTAAAACATGAAAGAGGAACAGGAGGAGGAAGACAGCAGGTGCAGGAGAAGAACCTGCCGGCAAAAATAGAAGTTCCAGGTCTTGGCAGGGGCAACCGATCCTAATCCTGGGGGAACAAGGCTTCTGTCCACACGGGGTGGGGCACGAAGAGACACAGAGCCTGGGAGCCTCCTGGGCACCTCACAGAGCTCCCTCAAACAGCTGCTACAGTAATGGAGAGACCCCATCCCGAGGGCTGGTCACGCCGCCACCTGAGCACTGAAACAAGTGTGGATGCTGGGTGAGGGGGAGCCGGTGAACACAGAGAGGGAGACAAAGAGTTTCACTTGGGGCTCAAGAGCACTGCAACAGTGGGGACTGAAGTTCATCCCACTCATCATCTTCCTCAAGAAGAGGCCTCTGCAATCCTTAGGGAGCTGCTCCCCAAATAGCTAAGGAGGCACCAGTGGTAAAGTGTGGTCATCATGGAGATGCACCTCCCAGATTCCCCTCCGAGCAGGCATTGCCTCCTCAGCTACCGGCTGCCATGAGCGAGGTCCCAGCTCCACCAGCACCCACCCAGTTGTAGAGCCGCCTTGCCTGCCACACTCTTCCCTGCCAGGGAAGCTCCTCCAGCTTGAGAGAGCCAATTGCTGCATCTCTTCCCAATTCCGTGTTCAGTCCCTAGAAACTAGCCCTCAAGAGAGTGTTTACGCTTTGGAAACTGACAAATGCTTCAAGGTATGGCCTGTGTCCCAGAGAACCAACTGTTACACAGTGACCCGCGTACCCTGCCTGGAGAGGCCAGCACCCAGAGAGCCAACTGTTACACAGTGACCCGCATCCCCCGCCTGGAGAGGCCAGCACCCAGAGAGCCAACTGTTACACAGTGACCAGCGTCCCCTGCCAGCACCCAGTGACGAGGCAGGTGGAATGTGAAAGCCCCAGGTCAGCCCAAGGGGGCACTTCTGATGGGGCCTCTTGGCCTCAGGGCTCCTGGCCAGGCTGGCACAGGCTGCCACTGGACATCTTTCTCTGCCCCATTCTGCCTCCTTTCCCTTCCTGCATCTTAAGCTCTGTCTTGGCATCAACATCAGGAGAATTCAGCGCACACCCTGCTTCCTCCTGGAGCGGACACCTGAACTGACCCCATACTCGCATCACGGCCTGACCGACACAGTACAGAAGGCTAAGGGTTATCGTATTAACTATTTTTTCCAGTCAATCAGCAAAAACATATCAAGTGATTTCTATGGGACAGACACTGTACTAGAAACCACATATGAAAAGATGAATAAGACACAGTCCTTCCCCACTAGTTCAGAATCTGGGGCACGTACAGACACTCAGACAAATAAGTCCCAAGCTACGTTACCTTTGGGGACAGGGCAGGGTGGGCCACCAAATCGTGCAGTTGGCTTCTGTTAAACTTGCTTTAAATTAATATAGCAATTACCTTTATAATTATATAAAAGCAAAAGAAATAACAGCATAAAATATGTTCAAAACATTTTATTGTCATTTTAAAAAATGAGATTTAATATCTTTGACATTAGAAAAATAGATATGTCCTGTTTTTAAAGTGGATTTAAAGTTAAAGATGAAAATCCAACTGGGTTGTCAGAATTTGCATAATTTGTTAACAAAACAGAGCGTCAAGCAATGGACTTAAAAACAGAACCCTCTGTTTCAGGATTTCCTAAGCCCTTCCTGGGCCAGCCCCTGTAGGAGAAGGATAGGGTGATATGAGAAACGCTCACCCTTGAGAGTGCTTCACCATTGCAGAGTCCCCACCGGGACTGGCCTCTTTGCAACCAACCCTCATCCCCCACACCCTCACGGGCTGGTTCCATTCTCCCCACTTTATGGCAGAAGAGACTGGAGCTCTAAGAGTTAGGGAACCGGCACCCTGGACAAGCTGTTCCAGCAGTTTTCTGTGAACAGGTCTTGGTGCTCACTATGAGGTGGCAGCCACTGACGCTTCCAGATTTAAACAAAATCACTGTATTACAAGGAGTCAACATTTCTAATTTTTAAAAATAAACCATCTTGAAATTAGGCGTCCTATTTCTTTAGGGATAATCCCAAGAGGCCTGCACCCCCACGTCTGGGGACCCAGAGCATAAGTGGATTGTCACTCAATGAAAAAGACATTTGAAAACCATGGATTTGGGAGATTTGGGGAAAGCACTTATATTTTCAAGTATTTCTCTAGGAAACCATCCAAAGCCCACATGTCACAGAGATAAAAGTGATGCAAAGTTATCAAGAAGTACTTTCAGGCTTCCAATAGAAAGCCCTTGAGAATTCAGAAGAGAGAAGCCAGGCAAAGGGAGAAGCTTCTCTTCAGCAGTAGCTCTGGGTCTGGAACAAACAGAATCCACAGGCAAAGCCCCAGAAATGAGATGTTCCCGCAACACCATCAAACTGAAAATGGTTTCCCAAAATATTAGTTTGAAAAGTGATTTGGAATTTTAAAAGCCGTATGTGGCTCTCATCAGATTTCATGCATACTCATTCCACTTTTCTCTGAGTTTAGAAACAATAAAATCACAAAAGCCTCTTTATTGAGGGTATTTCATCACCGTAATTTAATGTTAAATTGAATTTCAAAAACCTTCATTATCTGCAAGGTTTTTGTTCTGTTCGTTTAAACTTTGAGCAGCTTCCAACTTAATAACACACTCTTTTTTAAACTGATAATGGCTTGCGGCAGAGTAGGAAGGTAGCTAATGCACAGCAACCTTTAACTAAGTCTGACTTCATGCATTTGCATTTGAGAAGCCAACATGAAGAGCAATCACTTTTAATAAATGATAGTTAAAGCCAATTACAAATTTGCTATTAAAGTCACACTAATTCCACTTTGAAGCTGAAAAATTTGATTTCATTTTCAAGACAAAGCACACTCACGCCTTTCTGGAGCTGCAAAACACATTTCAACAGCTCTGTGTGCTCATCTTTTTTCACTGCTACTTGAGTCAGAATCGCATGAAAATCTCTAGTTGAACCCTTCTCGAGTCAAATTCTAACGTGCTCTCTTCCATTAGAAGGGGGCGGCAGAACAGAGAACTCGAACAACAAAGTGGCTCCAATCGTGGTCACACGTAAAAATAACAATTGCCATTTTCATTATCATCATCATCATAATACTCACCTAGAGAAATGATAGTAACTAATCTGCACTGGTTTTCACCATGTTCCCACATTTGCTGAGTGTTCTAAAGGCATCCTGTCACTGAATCCTCACACCCCCTCTATCATACATGTTTGGTGTCTTATGTAACAAATGAGGAAAGAGAGCCTCAGGAAGAGTAGTGTCTCCTGCCCCACAGACAGCACCAGATGCAGGATGCAGGATTAGATCAGTGGCCCCGATTCACGGTCGCCCTGTGTCCTCCCCTTTGCCCTGTCACTTTGGAGTCTCCCCTGACTCTGAGTCTTGACCCAAGGGATTATAACAAACTTGCTGTCAAGAACCTTAACAAGTACTTGCGTGTTTCCGCCTCCTCTCTGGCTTCTCTGTCATCACCATGAGCATCACTGCCACAGGAGCCTGAGGATGTGCCTGGGATAGCCCAGATGGAGAGAAGTGAGACAGTCAGAGGAGAGGTGGGGATGTGCCTGGGAGAGCCCAGATGGAGGGAAGTGAGACAGAGGAGAGGTGGGGATGTGCCTGGGAGAGCCCAGATGGAGGGAAGTGAGACAGTCAGAGGAGAGGTGGGTGGTCCCAGATGAGGCCACTCTAGACCAGTTAACCCCTGGCCAACCCACGAGCTGTCCACAGACACCCCAGCAAGCCCAGCCAGGCCAGGCCCAGAGCACGGACAACCACCCAGTGCATCTGCAGCCCGGGGAGAAATGAGTGGCCGCCGTTTTCAGCTCTCCAGTTTCAGGGTGGTTTGTTCTGTAGCAATGGAATTCTTAACCCTTACTCTACGCTGCCAGCCAGGGAGTTCTTTTCATGACCTCTGGTCAGCGGAATAATGGCCCCCAAAGACGTCCAGATCCGAATCCCTGAAACCTGTGAGTGTTTCTTATATGGTAAAAGATACTTTGCAGAGGTGACAAATTCAGGATCTTGAGGTGGGGAGATTATCCCAAATTATCCAGGTGGGCCCTAAATGCAATCGCCGGTGTCTTTATAAGAGGGAGACAGAGGGACATTTGAGATAGAAGAGAAAAGCGACATGACGACTGCAACAAGATGTTCGGATGCTGCTCCTCAGAGGACCTGAAGGTGGAGGAAGGGCCCCCAATCCAAGGCCTGCAAGGAGTGCTTCCAAGTGGAGGATGGAAGAGGCTGAGAAACAGCTTCTCCCAGAGCCCCAAGAGGGAGCGACACCCTACCCACACCTTTTGCCTCAAGAAGGTAATTTCAGACTTCTGACCTCCAGAACCATAAGAGAATAAATACGTGTTGTTTCAAGCCATCAAGTGCTTGGTAATCTGTTACAGCAGCTAAAAGAAGCTAACACACATACACCAATTTTAGGGAAACAGAAACGCGAACTCTGCTTTAATTCACATCGGATGGCATTTTATACAACCAAACTTAAAATAGAAGCTTATAGCGCTTTCCTGTCTGCAAGGAGCAAAGCCGACTCCACCCCAACCTGGGCCCAGACACTAAATGAGCACTGGGGGAGGGACAGTGCCCAGCGGGAGCCTCAGGACTGAAAACAAAGCCAGGGCAGGGGCCACAGGAAAGGCCCAGAGCACCAAAAGCTGGCATGAGACTGTGCCACTCACACATCCTCAGCCAACTGTTTAGAAAATCCTGTCTTCTCTGAGAATGAGATCTTTTAAAAACAACTGGCTCCTTTCAGATAATAAGCACAAGCTATTTTGTGCAGCACGGCCAGGCAGAGCTTTCCACAATGGCAGAAATGTCCTCCATTGGTGGTGTCCAGAATTGGCAGCCACTGCTGCCTGGGGCTTTTAAGAAAGGGAAACGCACATGTATACATACGTAACAAACCTGCACATTGTGCACATGTACCCTAAAACTTAAAGTATAATAATAATAATAAAATAATATAAAAATAAAAAAATAAGAAAGGGAAACGTGGCTGGTGCATTTGAGGAACTGGATCTTTAATTTTACTCCATTTTAATACATTTAAATATAGTGGCCACATGTGCCTCGTGGCTGTCACAACGGACCACGCAGATTGGGTCGGTAGAGGAACTTCGGGTTTGTATGTCTAGGCTAGGAGCATGTCTAGGAGCATGTCTGGCCTAGAGGCCTCTCTGTCCGTGTGATCCCAGCAGGGGATGGAGGCTAAGTCGACACTGACCTGCAGCAGCTTTGCTCCTGACTGTGGCTGTGACAATGCTGGGGGCTCAGTTTCCCTATCTATCTCCTGGGAAGATCTTCTTCTAGCTCCAGGGTGGTAAGGATTAGAGATAATCTCCATAAAGCCCTAAGCGCAGTGCTGAAGATCAAATACAACAAACACACTTCACATGGAAGCAATAATGAGTAGAACCAACCCTCCCCTCCCATGATTCAAAATTCGCTGCCGGACTTTGCAAAACCTCCAGGTAACCTCACCAGCATCTGTCACTGCTGTGCAAGACCACAGCTACCTAGAGCCTCAAACTCCCTCCAGAAACACAGGGCAACTTGTTTCTGCTCTGTTTTGTGTTGCTGTTCTGGGGGAGGGGAGGGGAAGGCCATTCGCACAGCAGACGGGTCACAAGGGGAGAGAGGGCAGCTGCCACAACACAGTGGCCACAGTGCTCAGGACCCAGCTGTGCCTGGTACTCCAGCGTGGCTGCACGAGCATGGCCTGGCCCAACCAGGCACAGAGCAGGGGCTCCCAGTGATGCCCACCTCCCTTCCTCCGGCCCCGTCTCCATCTGCAGCTTCGTGAGGAAAGCCCTCCCTCCACCTCCCTCCTCTGGAGCTCCCGGTGGGATCCCCAGGCCAGGGCTCCCTCCTCTCATCTGCCTCCCCTCCCAAACCAACTTGGCCGAGAGGCCTCCTCCATACTGAGTTTCCCCAAGGCTCTGCCCTGGGAGTGGTACCACCGTGTCCTCCCTGCCTGGGTGCCCAGGACCCGCGGCCCTGCCCAGCACGGAGAGCACATCCAGGCTGCTTCTCCCCAGAGGACAAACAGCCAGGGGGCATATTTCCTTGTGTGGGAATGTTTTATGTTGGATGACCTCTGTCTTAGCCCTTCTCACTACCCTCCCACAGCACCTCTGGCAGGAAGAGGGCGATGACGTCTCACTGTTCTCTCCTCGTGCTCCAGAAAACTGAAGATTCATCATTGTTGGTTGGAGTCGCCCAAACGCGCAGGGCAAACCCAAGGTCAAAGTTACTAAGCAACCCCAATTTTAAAACCAACAATAATAACAGCAGCACATCATGTACTGGAGGAGGCCATGTGTCAGGCACTGTCCAAATGCTTTCCACCACGGGTCTTCTGTGTAACTTTCACACAAGCATGTGGGGCATGTGCTACCATGACTTGAGGCTCAGAGAGGCAGTGGGACTGGCTTACCGTCTCAGTGCTATTAAAGGCTGGAGTTGGGATCAAAGCCCAGATCTGTGAATCCAGCAGAGCCCAAGCCTTCCGTGCTATACTACCTTCTTTCTGCTGACCTTTAGGCTGGGACCACTGACTAGACAAGGACGCCAACCAGGAAATGCCAACCACACAAGAGCCAGCACCTGCTGGCATGGCTGGAGTGCAATGAGTACCTGGACCTTGGCCAGCCTCCCTGAGACCCAGCCCCTGAGGCCAGCGACTCATAAACTAGGTTCTGTTTCCTTGCCTCTGGCCTTCGGTAATAATTCCCCCTCCCTCCCCATTTTTCAAAGGTTTCCAGTATCTTTGCATGTGAATCACACACACGAAACCTCAATATGACCAGCTGATATGGTTTGGCTGTGTCCCTACACAAGTCTCATCTTGAATGATAGCTCCCATAATTTCCATGTGTTGTGGAAGGGCCCCAGTGGAAGGTAATTGAATCTTGAGGGTGAGTCTTTCTCATGCTGTTCTAGTGATAGTGAATAAGTCTCATGAGATCTGATGGTTTTGTAAAGGGCAGTTCCCCTGCACACACTGTTACCTGCCTCCATGTGAGATGTGCCTTTGCCACTCCTTTGCCTTCCACCATGATTGTGGGGCCTCCCCAGCTATGTGGAACTGTGAGTCCATTAAATCTCTTTCCTTTATAAATTACCAGTCTCGGGTATGTCTTTATCAGCAGCATGAGAACGAATTCACCAGCATGGTGGAAATGAAATTTAAAGAGGTAAGAAGTCCAGCACGCTTCGCAGGTGGAAGCCCAGGGATATTTGTTGTGGGGAGGGAGAGGGGGAAGACCAGGAAGCAAGTGGACCTGGATGAGACCCCCAGGAGCTGGCGGCTCCAGCCATGGAAGTAGATAAGTCAGAGGTGAGAAAGATCCCGGGGTGGAAGAAGAGGGGAGGTCACGGGAAAACAGCAGCCCTGTTTTGGACTCTGTGGGTTTGAGGATCAGGGGACGCCCGAATTGAGGGCCTGTTGGGGAGCTGGAATTCTGCTCCAGGGCTCATCGGGGGCTGAGGCTGACCTCAAGAGAGAGAAACTGTGGGAAGACAGCAGTGAGAGGAGGAGGCAGAGGGAGGCAGAGGCAAGTCAAGGCGGGGAAGGAGCAGCCAAGGGTGGGAGGCCAGGCCAGGTGCCGAGCATGGGGACTGGAGGAATCAAAGTCTCAGGCGGGTGGAACGTCTTTAAGTCTGGCCTTGCTCCCCAGGGTCAAGACTCCTCCCTGGCATCCCCTAGATGGTCACTGGGCCCTGCCCCATGTTCTTTCCGGCACTGGGAGCTGTCCCCTCACTCAGAGGCTGAGACAGAAATTGCTTTCTGGGCATGACTGTACTTCCTACCCAGGGGTCCACCATGGGCCTCAGTCTCCCAAGGAAAAGCAGTGTGGGTATCTCAACAGCAACTGTGTGTCTTCACCCTTCCACAGCCCCCCACAGCCCACCTGTGGCTTACGAGGCTATGGCCGGCTCTGATGGTCAGCGAACTGCCATGTAATGCTCATCCCCCTGAGCATTGTCATTAACCCATCTAGCCTGACCCTCCACCCCTCCCTGGGGTGCTCCCATGATCATGACCGTGCACTTAGCCACGCCCCTGTGTCCCTGCCTCTGACCTCCAGGCAACGCCAGGCATTCATCAGGGTGAAAATGACAGGCCCGACAGGGGCACATTGAGACCCACAAATCTATGGATTACCCTGGCAAGGAAAGGAAGGGGCTGGGAATTGTAATCAAGTTTTTCTCAAATGGTAACCATGGCAACCAACGGCACGAGGGAGATATTATGTCTTCTCCAAGTTTTATGAGGCACAGGCAACTCTTTTATGGACTCTGGCATTAATTAGGCTCATGATAGGATGGGCTACACCGAAGTGGGAAGGTCGTTCACCCACGGGGCTTCGCTCAACTCACACACGTTACCCATAAAAGTTTAAGGAAGTAATTAGAAGCGTTCCCATGTGGGTTACTTTATTATTTAATAGTTGACGAGGCAAGGAATTAAGGTCAAAATATGAGCTTACACAACAGAAAAGAACAAGAAGAGGAGAGGGTAGTGTTGAATTTTCGGCAGAACAGAACATCCACTTGAAGCAGTACTATGGGAAAGCTCCTGTCTGATCAAGACAGACACTTAGACGTGTATGCAAAAAATAGTTTGACTTGTTTCAAAATCTACAGCAGATGGTAACACAGAATCAGGTCAGAATGTTGTTTTTTTTTCTGTTTAATCGTTCTAGATTCCATTCATTCAGAAATAAAGCAGATATTACTATTTCATTGTTTGAAATTCCTAAATTCTCAGTAGCACTTACTTACACAAAATGTTCTCAGCATATTTCAATTAAATAAACCCATCATTTAAACTTTAACTCTTGTCCTGAGGGCCAAACGTCCAGAGTTTTCTGCAAGAAAAGATGTTGGGGAGCTGGAATTCTGCTCCAGGGCCCATCAGGGGCTGAGACTGAGCCCAAGAGAGAGAAACTGTGGGAAGACGGCAGTGAGAGGAGGAGGCAGAGGGAGGCAGAGGTGAGTCAAGGTGGGGAAGGAGCAGCCAAGGGTAGGAGGCCAGGCCAGGTGCCAAGGGTGGGAACTGGAGGGGTTCCCTGGACTGGAGTCTGTGAGTGTTGTGCTGTGGATGGAGTCATGCCAATGGATGCTACTTTCTTAGGTCACAGAAATTAAAACGGTAGAGTCTGCCGCATCCGCAGGCCTGCCCCCATGGCTCACCATCCACTGATGCCCAAAGAACTCAGTCTCAGGCGCTACAGAACTTCCAAGCAGACAGGCAGATCAAACACTCACTGCTTTCTCTGTCCCTACCCGAAGCCCAGAAAACGACTGCAAAGGAAGACCCAGGGGATGGCCCCATGAGGACAAAGGCAACAAAGAAACTGCTGCAGACCCGTGAGGTCAGCGGCACTATGAGACTGGAAGGCAGGCTGGGGTGGGAACGGACTTCACAGAACGGAGAAAGCTGAAGCTAAGGCTTTGGGGAAGAAAGGGGTGCAGGGCCCAGGAACTCCCCAGAAGGGGAATGGGAAGCACCCGCTGCTCTGAGGATGAGCACAGGCCATACCTGCAAACAGCGACAGGAGCACAGGGAGCAGCCCAGACCCCGACAAGACCAGACGCAGACAACACCCCACCCCACCCCAGGAGAAAACAGAGATTGACTTTCTGGGGAGGCAGAACCGGGCAGGCTTTCGACTCCAGGACCCAGCTGAACATGGGAGAGGAATAAAGCAACAAATGCCGGGGGACTCGGTGAAAGCCGGCATTCCCTCAGCCCCGCCTGGGCTCACTGACTGCTAATAGCCACCTTACATCCCAGGACACGGGCAGAATTGTGTCCCCCAGAATTCACAGGTGGAAGCCCTAGCCACCCATGGGATGGCGAGTAGAGGTAGGCCCTTCAAGGTAATTAAGTTGACATGAGGTCCTAAGGGTGGGGCCCTAATCCAGGAGGACTGGGGTCCTTAGAGGAGGAGGAGAAAATGGCAGGGATGCATGCACAGCAGAAAGGCCAGGAGAGGACACTGCAAGGAGGCACCATCTGCAAGCCAAGAAGAGAGGCCTCAGGGGAAACCCACCCTCCTGGGCACCCTCTGCAAGCCAGGAAGAGAGGCCTCCGATGGAAACCCACCCTGCTGCACTTTGATCTTGGACTTCCAGCCTCCAGAGCCATGAGACATAAATTCCTACTGTTGAAGGTTGTTATGGCAGCTGAAGCCAACTAAGACACCCTCTGAGCAGGAGGTGGAGGAGGCCTCTCTAGGAAGCCTCTGCCCAGGAAGAAAGTTCAGACAGTGACACCTGGATCCTCTCTGTGAAGTGAGAAGGCCCCACCATCGCCACCTGGAGCCCACCTGGAGCCCACCTGGAGAACGGGCCACTCTGCACAAAGCTGCAACCCGCGTCTAGGACTGTGCCATGAAGAGTCCCAGGCCAGAGACCAAGCCAAGGAGAAAACAAAAAGAAGGAAAGGAAACTCATAGCATGCAGGTATGTGCAGAGGTCAGAGTGGGAACACTGTAAGAACAGAGCAGAGCTGTGACCTACATCCTGCCAAAGATAGCTTGCTGCATCCACAAAAGAACAGGAGTCTCTAAAACATTCAGATGATAGGGGAGAGGGCTTCGACGTTAAAAGTGTGATCGCAGAATTAAAGAAAAAGCACCAAAGGCTTGAAAGGTAAAATTAAGGACATATCCCGAAAAGGCGAATAAAAAGACAGAGATAGAAAATAGGAGATTTAAAAACAAAAGAAATTAGGTGACTTGTCTAGGGGGTCCAACATTCAAACAATAGGAATTCCAGAAAGAGGGGACAAAGAAAAAGAAGAAATTATAAAATAATGGGAGCCAACAGAAAGTCAGTAGACGATACTCAAAACAGAACAAGAACAAACCATCAAAAGTAGCAGTATAAGCCCATTTTCAGATGTAGAGACTTAAATTTCAGGAGAAAGAGCCAAAAAAGATCAAGGTGGTTTCTTCTCACAATGAAAATCAAAGTGGGAGAGGAGGGTCAGGGAGCAGCTGCGGTTTTGGGTGATCAGCCTGGTGATGTCATTTGACTTTTAAACCATGTTTATTACTTTGATTTAAACAATTTTAAAAGTGGCCAGGTGTCATGGCTCATGCCTGTAATCCCAGTGCTTTGGGAGGCCAAGGCGAGAGGAGGTCCCTTAAGCCCAGGAGGTCAAGGCTGCAGTGAGCTATGATCGCACCACTGCACTCCAGCCTGGGCAACAGAACAAGACCCGGTCTCTTAAAAAAAATTATTCTAAAAATTAAACATTAAGATACATCGAAAGTTCCCTTTCCCTTCTCTAAGTTTCTTTCTGTTTTTATGCATGTGTGTGTGTGCCTACGAAAACCCCATGTTACTGTTTTTCCTTCATTTTTACACAACTGACATATTTTTAAATTCCGGTGGAGTGACTAGATACTGGAATGTTCTGATTTTGCTCAGAAGCAAAAAATCCCAAACTCTTACCTTCTTCAGGAGCTGCACTGGGCAGTGTAAAATGGCTGCACAGCCTCACGAAGTTCCCTAAGGCTTGAATCTGGAGTGACGCTGGGCACTAACCCCATTGTCCTGCCTCGGGAAGGGAGGAGAGCATGATGCAGAAAGGCACCAGTGTCCCCGGAGAAGCAGCCAAGAGCCTCTTGGAATTCCATGCAAGGCCATGGGGTGCAGAGCTGCAGCACTTAACAGGCAAATTGAGCCTCCTTCTCCCACACTGGCTTCATTCCATTTCTTCCGTCTCCTTCCTGCTCTGACAACAAAGCTTCAACTCAGAGGCCGTCTCTTGCCCACCTTGACTTCATAAAAGTCGCTTTCACCTCTAATAGGCTTTGGGCATGTGGAATGTCATATTATTTGTACCACTGTAATTCAGTATTATGAAACGATGGTTGAAGAAAAGCCTAGTTGGTTATAAAAATAAACAAAGAAAATAATCTTGAGAAGACACAACAAAAGTGAAATAGCAAAAAAGAATCCTCAACTCTGGGTTTTGAGGATTAAAATCTAATCTTCGGCATCACTAAGGCACTCATCTACCCGTGCATCCTAAAAGCACAGGGATGCCACTCACAAGCTGCTGCTGGGGGCAGGAGCAGGTGGCCTGGCTGGCCAGTTAGAGCCATGCCCAGATGCTGAAGGTCAGCAACCCTCGTGCATTTATGCCAAGGAGGGCAGAGGTGGACCCTGCATACCAGGCCCCATAGCAAGAAAACGGGTTCCTGTATGGAGTCAACAGCCACAATGGACCCAAACGGGCTGTACTTGCAACTTATTAAAAACAGGAACAAAAGTTGAGGAAATAATTAACACAGGGCCAACGCCAAGGCCCTATCTAACATTATGTTCACTGGCATAAAGTGCTGTAGCTCTAAGGACCAGGGAAATGAAGAATGATTGACTCCAGTTCACAACTCCCAAGCCTCTCTGGCCTCTTCCATTGGTCACGTATTTGCAATGTCTGCTGGAGCAACATTGCAACAACACAATTAGGCAATAGTGTCTGCATTCAAGACAAAAAAAAATCTTAATTTCAAGGAACTTTGCATATAAAATATTTTTCCTAGTTTATCAGTCTCTAAGGTAAATATTTGCTTTAGTATAGTGGCTTGAATAGTGTCTCCCCAAAATTCATAGCATGTCCACCTGGAACCTCAGAATGTGATCTTATTTGGAAACTTACTAAGGTCACTGCATATGCAATTAGTTAAGGTAAGGTCCTAACAGAGTAGGGTGGGCCCCAAATCCAATGACTGGGGTCCTCACAAGAAGAGGAAAGTGTGGAGTCCTAATTCAGGAAAAGGAGTTAGGCTGGTGGGACCAGGGAAAAGCAAAAAGAAAAGTCAGATGAGCTATAAGTCTGCCTTTCTTCATGGTCCAGAACACATATCCCTCCTGGGCAAATAACTCACAATCTTCCTGTGCCCAGCTATCACCAGACCCCTGGCTGATAGAAAAACGCAAGTTAGCACACTGCAACTTTGGCATTATCAGTACTGATGTAGCTGTCTCCAGCACAAGCACCATCCTATCAAATCTCTAGCAAGTCTTTGTCTCCTGGTAGTCAGCTCCTCTCTTGCTGACTTGCCCATTGCTTTCTTGCAATGTATTTTCTTACTTTCTCTAATAAATCTGCCTTTCTTTACCTACAACTGCCTTGGTAAATCACTTTACCACCTGCACAACACCAGCTCCAGAGAGTTGCTCCCCGCAACAGAGAGGACACACACAGTGGAACAGAACACACAGGGATAGTTGCCCTGTGAACACGAAGGCAGATGCTGGAGCCATGTGGCCACAAGCCCAAGCCCAGGAGCCACAAGAACAAAACTGGAAGAGGCGAGGAAGGATATACCCCTAGAGCTTTCAGAAGGAGGATGACCCTGTCACCATTTTGACTTCGGAATTCTGGCTCCAGAACCACGAGAGATGAGTATACGTTGCCATAAGCCTAGTTTGCGATAACTTGCCCTAACAGCCACAGGAACTGTGACTATTTAGCATGTATACGATAGAGCAGTGCTGGGCTTCTACAAAATCACCACTGGATCTTTATTCGGCAAGTAAACCATGAATGGTTTTATACAAATGAGAGTTCCAAAGCCAAACATTTTTAGGAACAGACAGCAAGCAGGCCCCAACCCTTGGCTTGGGACAGCTGGGATTGGAAGGCAGGGAGGCTGCCCTCCTCTGGGGATGGGGCCTGACCAGCAAGTCCAGGGCCTCCTGCACTGGAGAGAGGGCAGGACTCACAGCCGTCATTCAAGCATTCCCCACGCTGGTGAGAGCACTTACAAGAAAAATATTTTTACCAAATATTTTATTCTTCAGGAAGAGATCCACTTAATAATGGGGAAAATACAGGTTTGAGCTTTTGTCAAAATTGTTTCCTTTGGGCTTCATTATAAATTTCTCTGCCTCATTTGAAGCTCAGAGTACTTGGTATAAAATGACCCTATTTTCCCTCTAAAGTCTATGTGGCCACATCAAAGTTAAAATTACTTTTCCAAAGATCTTATTGCTTTTACAGTTTTTCTGTGCTGTATTAATAATGTATGGGGTGTGTACATGACTTTCCTTCCAGTTCTGTTTCCTCACTGGAATAATTTGTAAACAACATGGAGGCCTTTAGGGCAGATGGTCAAAGACAGACACAGAACTCGGAGCTTACATGAGATCTATGCACGTCCTTTCCACAGTTCCCACAGGGTGATTGATGGCTTAGCAGCCACACCTACACACACGTGCAGGCCCGTGCACACATGTAGATCTGCACACACATACAGAGACGGGAGCAGCATCCACACCATTTTCCATAGAACCCTCGCTTCCAGCAACGGTGCCCTGCTCCAGAGCTGGACAATCACTAGAGCAGGGTGAACACAGAGCCTGAGGGTAGAATCTGGCTCTGTCACTCCCAAGGTATGACCCCAAGAGGACATCCAGAACCCCCTGGGCCTCAGTTGCTTGTCTGTGAATCAGGAAGTCACCCAGTCTTGGGTGGTGCCCAGGCCGTGGTGCCCCCACCCTCAGCAAGGGTCCCACACCTTCCCCAACACACATCAATCAAGTGTCTCCTTTCTCTGGAAAATAGCCTCGGACCATTGTCCTTCAAGGGCAAAAGAAGTAGGGCAACACTTATTGAATATTAATTATGTGCTAGTCAGTGGCCACGGGAACTACCTGTTATTTTATTTGAAACACAGTATAAGACACACAAAACACTGGTAGTTTAAAGTAATTTAAATTCTAAAGAGAAACCATTTCTAACCCTCATTTTTCAAAGCATCAACAAAACCATCAAATAAGACCTCAATAGAAGGCCGTGGTGACCAGCTGTCCTGATGGCCGAGAAAAAGAAAGGGCCCCTTGGTGTGGTGTTTGTGGCGCTGTGAATGGGCACCCATATGCAGGGATGTTCTCTTTGGAGAGCACTTTGGCAAGATCCACCAGTACTGTAAGTGCACCTGTCCTTGGACCCAACGATTTCAATCCTTGGACTGAATATCATGGAAACAATTGCCTGCAGGCACCAAGATGTGGGCACCATTATGCTGACTGCCTGGTGGTTTGAAATAGCAAGCTATAGAAACTGCCACTAGGGGACTTGTTAAACAAATCATGGTGCATCCATTTACTGTGAATCTAGGCAGCCTGTTAGAAGAAGGGTGTAGATCTCCAAGTGCAAATATGGAACAATTTACAAGACACGTCGGGCAGATAATGCAAGCGGCAGAAGAGGAATGTGTGTTCATGTTCTCGTTAGCTTACACACGTGTGTAAGCGTGTGTGCCTTTGTATGCTGCCATGTATCTGGAATGACACCCACGGACCACAGACTGTGCTTGCCTCTCAGGAGATGCTACAAGTCTGCAATGGGAGGGAGGTTTTATACTCTGTTCCTAAATTGCAAATGTTTGAATTGTTTACCAATAATCGGTGAAAAAAAAATAACTAAACCATTCATTTGTTTAACAAACATTACTGAGCACATCTAAGCGTGCAAAGTCGTGAACTAGATGAGCCAAAGTGGGGCCCACAGCACTCTATCTAGGGGAGCACAGGATCTTGTGCGCAGAAATGACCTGCAAAGTTGCTAGTTTAGGATTGCTGACTCCATTCACTTCTTCAGGTGGATTTCCATGCTGGGATAGAGAGAATGATGGGGATGACTCACCTCTTTCCCAGGAAAGATCAAAGTGCCAGGCTCCCCACACCACATGCATGGGCTTAAAACAATGCACGTGCTAAGGAGAACCAGGACTGGAGCATCCCCGCCCGCTGAGTATGACAGTGGTGTCACCTTTCAGAACCAAAAGCTTGTGTTTCATCTGTGACATTATTCGAGTTTCCAAAGTTTGAAGGATGGTATTGCTTTGTGCACCAACAGTTGCCTTCCCCTGTGGGCCCCAGGGAGCTCAGGCACAGGCCAGCTGCAGGATTTAGAGTCAATTCAGAAAACAAATACAAGTGAGATCCAGACAATTCCATTCTTCCTTCATTAACTAGGAAAAAGTGCATTGTGGCTTTCTCTGAAATAATATATATTTAGAGGAAAAATTTTCACCTGCCATTCATGGGGTCCTATAACTCATAGTTATCTAAAGGTGTGCAGTTTGAATAGTGTACCCCAAAATTCATGTCCACCTGGAACCTCAGAATGTGACCTTATTTCAATTATGTTATTTCAAATCTGCAATTCCTGTTGCCTCCATCCTTAAAAAGCTTGACTGTTCTGCTCTAAAAGGTAAATTCATCTTGATCTGGTCTGCTCTCTGCCTGGGGTTTGCAACAATCAACTTCCCCTCCCCCACAAACCCCCAGGAACACCCCAGGCCTCTCCCTTCCCTGACCTCCCTCACCCAATCAGTGACCCTGCCTTCTGCTGAATTGCACACTCAGGGACCGTCTTCAGATGGCTACCTGACTAGGGGATTGAGGGGGCCGATCTCCATCTGGAGTCCTGAACCAATCAAGAGAGACTAGGGAGGAAGGAGAGAAGGACAGAAGGTCTGCCTTGTCCCTGTTGGAGAACGTGGCTTGGTGCCCTGCCACAGGGGCTTCCTAATCCCACGCATGGGAGGTAGGTGACTCCCACCCAGGCCCCTTCAACAGCCACAGGCTCCCCTAGGGCTGGCCTTGGGCTAGTACCTTTACTATCATCACCCTCCAACAACTGGACCATAGCCTGCAAATCTCACCAGGCATTCCATTTGGCACCAAGGGAGGCTCTTGATAAGAAATCAGCCCTCCACAAGGCAGAGCAAACATTTTGACTTAGAAAGAAAAGATGTAAAATTGAAGTGTGAAATGTGGAGCCAGTCTCCATCCTAAAGCCCTGCTGCCCCCAGGTGGGGAAATGGTTGTGGGATTCGTCTGCATGGCCGTGCACAGCCACCTCCACCATCGGAGAATAAGGTGGGGCTGGGAGCCAGAAGCGGGACAAGTCCATTCTCCTCAAAAAAAGAAACCTATTCTTGCTTTAGGTATCTCAGGAAGCCCTCTCTAATGTCCCTTTTCGACTCCTAAACTATGTTTCTAAGTTGGTAAAGAGCAAATGAGAAGAGGAAGTGCCATCCCCCTGGGCTGCGCTGTGGTGCCTGGGAGCACCAGCACACAGACAGCTCCACAGACATCCCCACAGACGACGGAGATGACGGTGCTGGGAACACTGGGGGCTGCAAGAAAAGCGTGCCCGGCCACGGGACACAGCCACAGCCACCGGCAGCTGGGTGTCTTTCAGAGGCAGCCTGTGACACATTCAAAGACAGGAGTTACAGCTGGAGCTCATCACGCCTTGGGTATCCATAACTACACATTCTCCCAAGAAGCAGTCAGTATTTGGACAGTTCTTAAATGTTCGGACCAACTTAAAAGCCAGCTTGTTTATCACTGCAAATCCCTGGGCAATTCACCGGGGAAGATAGGATGCATCCCTTGCTTATTACGTTCAAGACGAGACAAAGCACAAAACTCAGGCTGCAAAGGAAACTTGGTGTTTGCCAAGTTCGGAAGAAGTGACAGTTTATTAAAAAATATAGGCTATGCCGGAGAAAAGTAATATCGGATTTTATGATTATTTCATACTGGGAATTGTTACATAGTTGCAGGCCTGTTTATTACATAACTACAGATTGCAATAATACATTTTGTAGCTTATAAAGTTCTGAACAAGCAATTTTTACATAGCTAGGTTTAATAGGTTGATATTTTTTAAAGGAGGGGAAATCTCATGTTAAGAGAGAAAAACAAGCCTTTGGGAGAATAAAAACTATCATATTTTTCACATGATTTTCTTACAGTTTGACAGAACCTGTCTTAAACAGTGTCTATGCTGACACTCATGAGTATCGGTTTTGCAATTAGATTACTGGGTCGGGTGCTGGAATTAGTCCTTCCTGGAGCTTTTGCAAAGCCAACAGGCAAATGCTCAGCCCTGTGGCTCTCTTGGGATTCCGGAGCTGTGGGATACTGTTTAATGTATTCACAAAATTTCTTAAGCCTCCCCACAGTCAGGCGCCATGGTGGACACTAGGCACATGATTCTGAGAGAAAACACACACACACACACACACACACACACACACACAGACACACACACGACCCTGTCCTTGCAGGGTTTATAGATGAGAGAGAGACAAACATCAGTCAAATAAGTCATGTGCTGTAATGCAAGCTTACAGCTGAGATCATTTCTAGAAAGGTAAGTACGCAGACCATTAGGACCCAAAAAAGACTGTCAATCAATAACCAGCCCGTTCCAAATTCTGATTGAAATGCGTCCTTGTTGGTGGAGTGGAGTAATATGATTCTCCAAACATGAAAGAGTATTTCCATAAACAACATCTTAGTACAAAATGGTGCTCAAAATCACGAATCCTCTCGCTAGGAGAACCTAAGCCTTGTTAGCTGCATTGACAGCATCAATAAAAGGGATAAAAACTCATATTAAATCTCCCAACAGACCCACAAGGTTCTTATCCTGGAGTACCACTAACACATCCACCTCCTAACACAGCCAGCCACCGCCAGTGCAGGCCCCTTCCAGGAAGCCCTTTCGTGGGAGTTAAAATAAATCACTCCCTTGGTTTTGGGAGAGAATGAGACAAACAAGATCATATCCAGTAATTATTTGCCCCGGGTTTTAATAAGAAAATCAGCCTTGTTTGCTAGGATACCTGCTTTAAGACACATGAACTCAGACCAGAAGATGACACAGACATTGCTTTTCAACACATCTCACTGTCAAGGGCTCCTTTTCACAGTGATGTTTCTTTTGGGAAGAGTAAACGTTCAGTTCACCCACGCAGCACCTGGGTGAGCACTAGAAGGAGCCGCACAGCAGGGTCCCTTTGGAATGAGCTCCAATAACAAGTACTGCTTCAGGGCAATGCATGAGCCATTACAAACCCATTTTACCAACTGCTGCCCTCTTAGAGCTGGGTGTGCACCAGGCTCCGAGTCCACTCTCACGCCCTCTAACATGGACTCACTTTGACCTCTGAGAAGCGGCGCTCTCAAGGCTCTGCTGCAGCAGCCAATGTGCTGCATTCATTCCAAGGGGAGGGATGCATTTGTTGTGTTCAGGGTGGACCTGGCACAGCGAGGCCAGGAGCCATTAACAAAATCTGAGTGAGAGGACGGCCAGCGCCATCGCTCTATCTTTCTGTGTCCAGATCAGACTTCAGGGCCACACACTCGAGAAGCTCCATGGCTGATTAATGGCCACACCTCCATCATCATCTCCTTCCCCTCAAAATAAACATGGCCGTAAACTCAGTGCAAAAGGGAGGGTCACCAGAGATTGTGACAAGTCACCCCGCAAACCAGGCTGAGAGGCAGTCCGAGCACATCATTCCAGGGGCTGAGGAGGCCACACATCTCAACATGTGAGTCAGCCCTGCAGAGAAATTCAAAGGGTGACCGTCGAATACCACGGTCTAAAAGTGGGACAGCTGGCTGGGAGCAGAGCTTCTCCTCTATTGTGGGTTAAACTGTGCCCCCCAAAAAAGATGTGCTAAGTCCTCACCCCCAGCACCTGTGACTGTAACCTGATTTGGAGACAGAGTTTTTGCAGATGTAATCAACTTAAGATGAGGTCATACTAGATTCAGGTGGATCCTGAACCCAGTGACTGGTGTCCTTACCAGAAGAGGGAGATCTGCAGGTGCAGACACACAGGGAAGGAGGTCATGTGACGGTGGAGGCAGAGATTGGAGTGATGCAGCTACAAGCCAGCAAAGGCCCAGGATTGCCAGCAGCCACCAGAAACCGTGGAGAGGCAAGGACGGGGTCTTCCCTAGATCCTGCAGAGGAAGCACAGCCCTGTCAATACCTTCACTGCAGACTTCTGGGCTCCCAAACTGGGAGAGAATAAAGTTCTGTTGTTGTAAATCACCTAGCACATGGTCGCTTGTTACAACAGCCACAAGGAACTCATCCATCCTCCAAGATAAGGCATCACAGTTTACTGCACACCTGTGTGCATGTTTATGTATTTCCAAACATGTGAACAAAGGAATAAAACAAAAACTAACAAAACACAAAAAAGCATTCACTATAGAGTGGGGGTGAGGAGAGAGAGGAAGGGATAGGGAGGGAAGCCAACCTTTCTGAATATGCCTGATTTTATGTCTTGACTTTGGAACTATGTAAATGTTTTCTATAAAATACAAAAAATAAAAATGATCATCTTCAAAAACCAAACATAAACTGAAAAAAAAAAAACTTAATGGTACATCAAGTAGGTGGTACAACCACACAGAGAAAAAATACTGTGAATAAACCTGAAACAAGGTATCTCAGCTGTGCAGCCCCATATGGTATGAGAAAGGCTGTGGGCAAAAAGGAATCTTCAACTGCATGCAGTCATCTTATTTTTATTAATAATGTCAGTTTCCTAGTGGGCTATTCCCTGCCCTCCCTGATGGAGGATCTTACATTCCTGTCAATACCTTCCTTGCAGACTTCTGGGCTCCAGAACTGGGGGAGAATAAAGTTCTGTTGCTGTAAATCACCTAGTAATTTGTTACAACAGCCACAAGGAACTCATGCATCCTCCAAGACAGGGCTCCTCGTTGACAGGAGTCTTGGCTGTATGATTTGCAGCCCCTTTCTGCAGGAAGATGAGAAGTCCCCTCCCTGCTGCACTCAGGATTGGCCTTGCAACCGGATGCAGCCAAAAAAAAAAATGTGGATGGAAGTAATGTTGCAAGAAATCTAAAAGCCAAGTTCCAGTCCACTACATCTGTTTTTTCTCTGCCAAGACCATGGACCATGCTACATGGTTATTTCAAGTAATTCAAGAAAAAATAGAAAAATTAATAAAAATGGAACAGTCTTCACCAGCCGGGGCCTCTGGGCCTAGCCCAAGAAGCAGGACTCAGGTGGACACAGGGCAGGAGCACTAGATGGACTTTTGCTGCTGCAGCTCATGGAGATTTGAGGACCGTTGTCCCCACAGCATGATCTAGCTTGTCTCTACTGATCATGGCTGGGTATATAAGCAGCATAACTATTATACACAATTAGGAAGGTAGTCATTGTGCTCTCAGTGCAAAAGAGAAACCAACATAAAATCAAGGTAATTGAATTTAACACCTTGTAATTTTTCATTTGAACTGTTATCAGTATAAGCTCATAAATTTTTTCTTTCTAAAAAGTATGCATTGCCTACCTTCATTCATTGAAGGCCTAAAGCAATGAAAATCCAACAGCAATGAGCACCCCAGCACTCAGATGATGATCTCTAACTACCACTTCTCTCTAAAAAGAACAAAAGCGCCTTCGAGAAATGGCTCAAATCAGGTCTGGAGCAAGAAATGTTCAAGATGAGTTTGAGAATGTTTCATTGGCCCAACACACCACACACATGCATTTGCACACACACACGTGTGTATACACACACATATACACACATGCACATGCATACACACACATACACAATCAGAAGCCACTGGGATTTCATCTGCATGAGGAGCAGACCAGATAGAACCCTCACCAGCCAACTAAGGAAAGATTTGAACATCAGAAAGATCAATGTTAATTGTAATGTAGTATCTTGAACTGGATTCCTCAAAAAAGGACAATGGTGGAGGAACTGGAGGAACTCAAACAAGCCTGGAGTTTAGTTAACAGTCACATACCCATGTTATTTTCATGGGTTTGGCAAATGCCCCATGGTGACGTGAGGTGGCAACGATGGGAAGCTGTACCGAGTGTGCACAGACTCTGCGCCGCCATGGCAACCTTTCTGCAAACTTAAAATTATCCCAATAACAAGTGTGTTTTTAAAAGTATAAATGACTTAAGTTAAACTATAAGAAATAGATATGTTCAGGGATGCATAACGATGCCGAAAAAGACTCATTGACCACCTACGAAGACAGCTAGGGCACGAACTCAGTCAGAATATTGATATATATTCTAACTTTACTCTTTCGAGTAAGGCACCTCTCCTGCCTTCTTTACGGGACTCTATTTTCAGGTGAATCAAACAGTTAATGAAGGCAAGATTTTCTTTATTGACAGCGTACAGTCAGCAAATGCAAAAGGAATGACAGAATTAAAAACTTCCATGTTGCTGCTGTAACCATTCTAGAGGGTAGAGGAATATGGGAACCTTTAGAAAAATTACACATGCAATTATTCTTTTGCATCTTCAGAAACCTATCCTGGTGCACGTTAGACCTATGCACCATGCTATTTAACAAGAAAAGACTGGATTTAACTAAAACGATCATTAATGGGGGACTGGTTAATTAAACAATGATACATTCACAAGACGAAGTGCCACACAGCTATAAAAAGGAAAAGAGGAATTTCTCTATCTAATTATATGGTGTGATCTCTAGTATATTATTAGATGGAAAAAAGATTAACAAAAATACAGACAATATGTACTTTTAAGAAAGAAGACTGTTTAAAATATGTAAATCTATATTTGAATATATAAAAATAAATAATAAATGAAAAGATCATTTTAATGGCTAGCCTTTGGGAGAATAAGGCAGAGTAGAGGAGACAAGAAGAGAAGGCTGACTCCTGTAAATAGATCTCATTTTATAGATTTGACTTCAGATACAGGTAAATATTCTATGTATCTATAAATGAACTTAAATTATAAATCAATCTCTACAATTCAAAGTGGAGGGCCTGGCGCGGTGGTTCACACCTGTAATCCCAGCACTTTGATCAGCCTCAGGGCAGACTTCTGAGGTCAGGAGTTCAAGACCAGCCTGGCCAAAATGGTGAAACCCCATCTCTACTAAAAACACAAAAAATTAGCTAGGTGTGGTAGCACATGCCTGTAATCCCAGCCACTCAAGAGGCTGGGGTCGGAGGATCACTTGAACGTGGGAGGCAGACGTTGCAGTGAGCAGAGATCACGCACTGCATTCCAGCCTGGGCGACAGACCGAGACTCTGTCTCGAAAAAAAAAAAAAGAAGTCAAACCATTTGAAGATAACTGTGTTTTGATTCAATGGTATCCCCTCTTGGAGAGAAATTATTTCAAGTAATTTTAAATCACAGTGAGATAATCACACATCCCTAGTGGGAGACAGTCTAGGGACAAAAAGCCATGAGAAACTCAGACTGATTTCAGGAATCCCCTCATTAGTGGCGGTTGGCGGGGTTGGAGGGGGAGTGATGAGATTAGCATGTGTGATCCTGAGACTTGCACGTGTGTGCTGTGGATGATGCAAATCAGCAACTATGTCGGTGTAACAGGGAAATGAGTTTCACATGGAGAAAGGAGATACAGATATAACACTGCAGAGATGAAGTGAAAACTCTATAGTCTTTAATTTTAATTGAAACTACATGTATGAATTTATAACTTCTTTTTTTCTCCTTTTTTTTACCTCCTGCCTCAGCCTCCCAAGTAGCTGGGACTACAGGCATGCTCCACCATGCCCTGCTAATTTCTTTTGTATTATTAGTAGAGACAAGGTTTCACCATGTTGGCCAGGCTGGCTTTGAATTCCTGACCTCAGGTGATCCACACACCTTGGCTTCCCAAAGTGCTGCGATTACAGGTGTGAGCCACCACACCTGGCCTATAACTTCTCTCTCTCTAAAATCATCAGTGTGTCTTTTTGCCCAGCCACTGAAAAAGTCTAAAAATGGTGAGCAGCTTAGCAGCAATTAGCATTCTTACTACCCTATTTCCTGTACTGCTACTTCCCACTAATACTAAGCAGCGTTTCTCAGAAAAAGATCTGATTCAGTAAGGTGTGCCTGGAACATTTTGTCTCAGCAGAAAGCAAAGAGGCTAAAAAAGATTGGGATCATGTCAGACGTACTCAGAATCCAACCGGAAGATATCCCCTAGGCCACAGATGGGACAATCTTAGAATCAATAAAGATAACACTGCAGCAGCTCAAACACATCAAATAACTCAAATCCATGAGTTCAGAGCAGTGATTTTTTTAAAACTCAGTGGTCACCTTTGGAGAATGTTGGAGAACCAAGTCATTATTTTGAAAGCTGGTTTTAAAAAGAAAGAAAGAAGTAAGCATTTCCCCAGCCTTTCTTCTATGAATCGGATCTGATTCCTGGTATGAATCGTATAACTAATAATCAATGAGAAGTTTCTTTTTGTAAAAGTATTACATCTAATAAAGGAAGAAGCAACAATAGTTAATTAGAATATCACCATTTGTCAATCTCTAGTAAATGAACCTGGGCAATGACTATCATGGATTGCAACATCATAAAAAAGAGATCATCAGACACTGTTGCTCCTGATGGAGGTGCACACAGCTCCCTATTGCTAAAACAAACAAACAAATGAAACCATTGAATGTGATTGAGCCTCTAGATCTAATGACTAACTTATAGGAAATGCAGAGAAAACATGTTAAACATACATACACATACACGCACACACACACACACCCCACTACAAGGCATGTAGTCAGCAAAATACACACTGTGGGAGACTCTACCAATGAATTTTTTTTTTCAAAAATAAATTGCAAGGGGTATGAGAGGGTAAGGAGGAGATGGAGATGGAGGAGAAGAAGAAAAAGAACACAAAGAACAAGAACAAGAGGTAAAGAAGAAATGTACAGATGAAAAGAGGCATATCAGCTGGTTGAAGTGGATCAAATTCATTTGGATCAAACAAACTAAAAAAAGAAGCATGAGACAACCAGGAAAATTTGAACTCTGATTGGATGGTATAAAGGATTTATTGGTGACATTTTAGGTGTGATAGTGGCGTTTTGATTCTATGGAGAGACGGAAAGGAAAAATGAAAAAAAGTGGCCACCAGTCACCATTTCACATCCCCAAACACCTATCAGATAAAGGTAAGTTAACCGAAGATTTTCTAATAAGGTTGATGGTGAATATTGAGTGTCAACTGGATTGAAGGATGGAGAGTATTGTTCCTGGGTGTGTCTGTGAGGGTGTTGCCAGAGGAGATTAACATTTGAGTCAGTGGATTGGGAGAGGTGGACTCACCCTCAACTGGATGAGCACCATATCATCAGCTGCCAGCATAAAAGCAGGCATGGAAACAGCAGACTTGCTGAGTCTTCTGGCCTCCATCTTTCTCCCATGCCAGATGCTTCCCACCCTTGAACATCAGACTCCAAGTTCTTCAGCTTTTGGATTCTTGGACTTCTACCACCAGTGATTTGCCAGGGGCTCTCAGGCCTTCAGCCACATACTAAAGGCTGCACTATCAGCTTCCCTACGCTTGAGGTTTTGGGATTGGACTGGTTTCATAGCTCCTCAGCTTGCACATGGTTAATTGTGGGACTTTGCCTTGTGATCGTGCAAGTCAATCAACTCCCCTTCATATATTCACCTATCCTATTAGTTCTGTCCCTTTAGAAAACCCTAGGGGCAATCAGGCTGCCAGCATTGAACAGCCTGCTCTATCCTAACATCCCTAAAGGTGGGACACCCAAGCCCACTCGGTGGAGACATGGCCGACCCTCACCTCCTGATGCATCCCACAGGAGTGCTACCCTATAGAAGATCTTGACTGCAAGTTGTCCAGATTCTTGGTGCATTGAACAAAAAACTGAACAAGATGCACAAACAAAGCAACAAAAGAATGAAGCAAGGAAAGCACCAATTTACTGAAGTGAAAGTACACTCTACAGAGTAAGGGCAGGTTGGAGCAAGCAGCTCAAGAGCCCCAGTTACAATGTTCTTTAGGGTTTTGATAAAACTAAAAGAATTTGGTGGCTGGGCACAGTGGCTCACACCTGTAATCCCAGCACTTTGGGAGGCCGAGGTAGGCAGATCGCCTGAGGTCACGAGTTCGAGACCAGCCTGACTAACATGGTGAAACCCAGTCTCTACTAAAAATACAAAAAAATTAGCTGGGCATGGTGGTGTGCAGCTGTAATCCCAGCTACTCGGGAGACTGAGGCAGGAGAATCGCTTGAACCCAGGAGGTGGAGGTTTCAGTGAGCAGATATCGTGCCACTGCACTCCAGCATAAGGGACAGAGCAACACTCCATCTCAAAAAAAAAAAAAAAAAAATTGGTAACACCCCGAGGGGCCCTTTAGAGGCCTCCAATTTGTTACATCCTATGAAGGACTGGCCCACAACCAATCAGAGGCTGAAATGGAGACTTCTGTCTTGTTCCCCCTCAGGAGTGAGGACATGGCCCGTGTGCTGCCCTATCTTGCCTAGAACTGTCTGCACCTGCCATTCTCTTGCTTATGCCTTAACCCTTGGTTACTCTAATTCTCTAATTGTCTTGGCTTGTCCAGTCAAGCACACGCAGAGCCCAGATCCAGGTCTCCCATCACCACAGCACAGACGCTTATTTCCATGTGACTCTTGTGACCACGAAACACAAATGCAAAGGCTCCCCTCTCCCTATGAGAGGATCTGACCTCCACATGGAGGAGGTGAGGGGACAGCAGGGGGAGGTGCTGGCTTTGCTTCTCTTCCTGCTGGTGTGGAACGATGACCCTAGGTGGCCCCGCAGCAGCCTCCCGCTGCCTCACCACCTGCCCATGGGGCAGTGTAAGGAAGGGCTGGGTGCACCAGGAGAAGGGGAGGAGGTACATTTCTTCCTTCCCAATGTAAATGCTGGCTTAGCATTTCCATCATATCAGACCTGGGGGGATCACAAATAAAACAGGAAGCCAGGCCCAGGTGAGCCACACTCAGTTACTGGGGGATGAAAGGCAACGGCCAGGCTGGGGACTTGTCTAAAATGAGGGAAGGACCTCTGTTAGGGACAATGTGTGGTTGCCTGGCCCAGAAGAGCAAGGGCCTGGAAATCAGATGCACTAGGTCGTGTCCAGCACTAAGTTCAAAGCAATCAGCACCCACCCAGCAAATGGGACCAGGCCAGAGGAGACCACATGCTTGAGTCAATTTGCATGAGCCCCTGAGACAAGGAGCCCGGGGGAATGGAATGGGCCATATTGCTAGGGCACCTGTACCTGTAGCACTAGAAGATTCCTGGAGGCTAGCAAGTGCTCAGGAAATAATGGGTGAGAGAACGAGGCTGTCTTTTGCAGGGGCTGCTTTGTGCCCCAGAGCACAAGTAATGCCGCATGACAGGCCGGGGGGCAAGGGCACTCTCCTGTCAGTGAGGACCAGGGACACCTGTCAAGAGCAGGGGCAGGTGAAATGTCATGCCCAAGTGACTCTGTGGACTTCAGGCCACAAGGGACAGGGGCTTGGGAAGGAACGACATGAGAGGATCTTTTGCAAATACGCTCAGGTAGGGAGCCCCGGAAGTAACCAGAGGAGACGGTGGCCAAGAAAAGGGCCAGAGGCCGCAGGCTGAGGCTGGGGGCAAAGGGCCACAGGATGGTGCATCCTTGCAACAAGTGTGGCCTCAGTGGTGCTCATGGAGCACTTTCAGGTTTCTAGCGAGCAGTCAGGGCCAGACATAGCACCCCAGGCCTGGGGATCCAAGGCCTGCTCAGCTCACATGGGGAGTCCCTCCGTGCTTCCTGATGGGGTGGTAGCCAGTCAAGGAACCGGAGCAGCCCAGCTTTGAACGCCCCCAGGACCCACAGCCCCTTCCCTGCTGAAGCTTTAGCCACTCAGTCACCTCTGCAGACCATCAGCTCCTGAACGCCAGATGGCAGCTTCTCTCTGTGTCCCTGTGCCTAGCACAGATCTGCCGCAGATGGGGACTGGTAAATGCTAAACAGAGCTTCAACATTCGCCTAGGCTACCTCACACATGTGGGTCTCCAAAATTGTAACAATATCATCCACACTTGCTTCCTTCACCTGAAACTACCAATTGCTCAGGTTCAAGGTAACCATCAAAAAGGCAGAAAACAAAATGAGACAGCACCCTGCAAAGGGAAAGGAAACCCCTGACATTAGCATGACACCTGACATTTAGCATGTCCAACCTCTGCCCAACAGCTGGATACAGTAATTCTGTACATTAAAGCCCAGAACAGCACAATAAAACATCTTTTGGACAAATACAATTCTGGTACTTATTATTTTAATATTTGCTTTTTCCCAAATTTCACTAGTATTAAATACTGACCCAGTAAGAAAATTTTACTTTGTGTAGATCACTGGTTCCAAACCTGGCAGTAGATGAGACCTGCCCACAGAGCATGTTAAACACACATGCCAGACCTTCTAATTCAGCTGGTCTGAGACACTTGTATTGTAATGAGCTCACCAAGTGCTTTGGAAGCTGCCAGTCCTGGGAGGCATTTGGGAACTGTTGGGGTTGCCAGTGAGAACTGTCCCATTGATGGGATCATATCAAACTTCACCCTGACGTGAGTGAACATCTGTGGCCATGGACAGCAGTATCTTTACTGACATCAGCAAATATTTGCTGAACATTTATGCTATGACAGGCACTTGGTAGGTACCATCTCATTTAACCTTCATAACAATGCCCTTGAGATATCTGTGGTTATTGTCTCATTTTAATGACATGCCAACTGAGACCAGAAAAGACAATAAGCAATTTGCCCAAGATCAAACAGCCAGTAAAGAAGGAAGTCAGGACACAAACTCAGCCCAGGAAACCCAGGGCTTGTGGTCTTACCACAAGCCTTACGCAAAGTTAACTTTGAGGGTTTCATATAAGCCGCATTTAAGAATCATTTGCCAGTGTAATAAAATTTAATTCTCCCCTTTCTGCAGTTAGTAAACTTTCCAAATATACTGCGCTGCCAAACACTTTTGCAAAGAAAAATGTATTGTTCCTCTTCCCCTTAAATGTAAAAAGGAGAGAGAGGGAAATGACTTGAGAAAGTAATGTACCTGGCAGTTTTTATACCTAACACATCTCTAAATGTTGTACCTCTATTGCAGTGTTCCCAAATCTTCAGCACTTGAAGAGCATCAAGTAAAAGCCTACAGAACTCAAGGAGGAAAAGTCCACTCATCCGAATGTGGCATCTCCATGGCTCACTTTCCAACTCCTCAAAAAGACAAATCACCACAGGCTTCCCCAGGAGGGTTTCTGATGCCTCTTCCCTGCTTAGAGCCTGGGGCTTCTGCACACCTGCAGAGGGCAGGGGCCACTTCTGGCTCAGCAGCTGCCATCTCCCAAGAAGACAAGAGAGCTTTTCAATAATAAAGGACTCAGAAAATCCTCTTTCTAAATTAACTGCTAAGAACTTCGGCTGCCAGCCACAAAGGATTTACTGCTACAGGAGTTGTCCTCCCGCCATAAACAACTAGAAAACCAGACAAATACATAAAACAACTGTTTTCTGGAAAAAAAAAAAAGTGGAAAAAAGACAGTGCAATACTGTTGACCCTGACTGAAAGGAAACAAATGAGGTGAATCCCAGATTAGTGCCTGGACAGTAAACTAGCTGGTTCCAGGCCATGGTGCAGGTGGGGAGGACCCAAACAGAGCTTGGGGGTCTCTCTAAATTGAGAAGGTCAGAGGCTGTGGAGGTTAAAGCAGCTGGAATCTGAGGAGCAGAATTCCAGACTGGAGGGAGCTCTGTCAAGAAAGACTTTCAGCAATCTGCCTAAGGGCTCCCTTGAGTCTTTGGCTAAATATAAATCTGCACATGGATCCCCCCCAGGCTGGGCAAGATCAGCTCCTCCAGAAGAAGAGTGATCAGAATGCTATCAGACAAACAATTCCCAGAGCTCACACAGGGTTGGAAATTGTCTGGCTTTCTCCAGACAGATTGGAGAGACCTCACAGGCATTCCACAGAGACCCCAGAAGTGTAATTCTTTAAAAGTGGAGCTAAATTAGCTGTCCAATAAAGCTACTTAGACCTTCTCTAAAACAGCTTAAAAGCGAACCTCAAAAAGATCACACTAATCCAAAGGTAATTTGTATACCTGCCAGAAAAAGTCCACCACTCTTAAAGAAACGAAACAAAATCCTGAACTCAACAAGAAAATGTCCAGCATCTAATCAAAAAGACATACAAAAAGGCAAGAAAATGTGACCCATAACCAGCAGAGAAATCCATCAATAGAAAAAAAAACACAGAAAAGACAGAAATGATAGAATTAGCAGATAAGTACACTAACGTAACCGTTATAAATTTGCTCTACGTGCTAAAATAGGTAAAGAAAATAGGAATGCAATGGGAAGTGAAAGATATTTTTTAAAACCCAAATAAAACTTCTAGACATGAAAAATACAGCATTTGAAATTTTAATAATATACAGAATAAGAACAGCAGATTAGACACTGTAACACGGCAAAACCCTGTCTCTACTAAAAAATACAAAAATTATCTGGGTGTAGTGGCAAGTGCCTGTAATCCCAGCTACTCAAGAGGCTGAGGCAGGGAGAATTGCTTGAACCCAGGAGGTGGAGGCTGCAGTGTGCCAGGATCGCGCTACTGCACTCCAGCCTGGGTTTGGAGGCTTAATTGGCCCCATTTTTAGGAAAATTACATCAATCCAGGGGTAGCTGTTGGGATATCCATGATTAAAATAGAGCAAGACTCCATCTCAAAAAAAAAAAGAAGTCATCAGTGAACTTGATTACATAGCAATAAAAACTATACAAAATGAAGTACAGAGAAAAAATATGAACAGAGGCTCAGTAACCTGTGGGACAATACAAAGTGGTCTAATATATGTGTAATTGGAGTCCAGTGAGGGAAGAAGAGAGAAAGGAGACCAAAAATAAATTTGAAGAAATCACAGCTAAAAATTTTCCAAATTAGGAGAAAACTATAAACCCAAAGATTCAAGGAGCTGAACATATGCTATACTTGATAAATATAAATAAATAAACTAAGAAGTAATTAAAATAAAACAGGTATATCATAATCAAATTGCTGGAAATGGGGTTAAAAAGAAAAACTTAAAAGGAGCCAGAGAAAAACACATACTATGTGCAAAGGAATAAGGAATGATAACAGAGTTCTCACCAGAAATTACACAAGACAAAGGACAATGAAATTATATAATTAAATTGCTGAAAGAAAAAAACGTCAACCTAGAATTCTACATCCAATGAAAATATATTTGAAAAATAAAGGCAAAATACAGACTTTGTCAAACAAAAACTGTGATAATTAATTGACTCTATAAAACATAGAAAACTCTACCAAAAAATATAGGAAGCTCTTCAGGCAAAAGGAAATGTTCTTACATTATACATAAATCCTAGAGCGAACAAATATCATCATCATCGTCATCATCATCATCATCATCATCATCATCAGAGAAAAACAAATAAGCAAATAGTGGAGATAAAATTAAATATTAAGATTACTCAATCTAAAAGGACAGAAAAGAGGGAAAAGGATCAAGGAACACAAAGGTGAAAAATAGAAAATAAATTAAAACATGATAAACTTAAACTCAACTATATTGATAATTATGTTAAATGTAAATGGTCTAATCACTTCAATAGAAGGCATTAATTTTCAGACTTCTTCAAACAAAAAGACCCACCATATGCCGTCTACCATAAATCCCAGACTGAAAAAAATTATATACGTCAAACTGTAAGAAAAAGAAATCTTTAGTGGCTATATTTCTGTCCAACAAAGTAGACTTCAAAAAGAAATACTACCAAGAATAAAGAGAAACTCTTGAAAATAAAAAATAGGACCAATTCACCCGAAAAATATAAAAACCGTAAGTATTAAGCACCTAATAACAGAGATTCAAAATATATGTAGTAAAACTGATAGAACTGAAAAGAGAAATCTACGAGTACTCTTGTTTTGGTAATTGATACAAGGAGATAAAAAAACTGCTAAGGACATAGAAAACTGAACAACACTAACACACCAACTAGAATTGACATTTATAGGACACTCTACCCAACAATATCAGAATTTGCTATAGAACATTAACCAAGATAGATCATAATCTGAGTAATAAGATAAGACTCCATTTACTTTAAATAATCAAAATATTACACAGTATATTCTCTGGCCACAAAAGAATTAAATTAGATATCAATTACTGAAAGCTATCAGAAAAAAATTTCAAATATGTAAAAAATAAACAGCACACTCTACATATGCAAAGGGTCAAAGGAAAAATTGTGAAGGAATTTAGAAAATACTTTATATTAAAATAAAAATACAACTTATTAAAATGTGTATAATACAACTAAAGCAATGCTTAAAGAGAAATTTATAGTAATAAATGTTTATGTTAGAAAAAAGGACAGATTTAAAGTTAATAAAATAAACTTTCAACTAATAGAAAAAAAAGAACAAATTGGACCCAATGCATGCAGAGGGAAGGGAATAATAAACATTACTGGAAAGCAGTGAAATAGAAAATAGACAATAGAGAAATTTTATGAAACAATAAACAATAAAACAATGAAAAAAAAGCTGGTTCACTAAAAGAAAATCAGTAAACTTTATTAATGCCTAGCCAGATTGATCAAGAAAAAAAAGAGAGAAAACAAATTACTATTATCAGGAACGAAAGAGAAGATATCACTAGACCTTACAGACATTAAAAGGTTAGTAAGAGACTATAATAACAATTCTATTCCCGTAAATTTGAAAACTTTGATGAAATAATTATTTGAAAGACACAAAATAGCGAACTCACTCAAGGACAAATAGATAACCAAAATAGTACTTAATCAAAATTGAATTTATAGCTACAAATGTTCTTAGAAAGAAAATTCCACGCCCAAATCCACTCACTGGTAAACTCTACTAAATATTTAAGAAACAATGCCAATTCTACATAGACTCAGAAAATAGAAGAGAATGAAACACATTTAATGAGGCCAGCATTACTGTGTTACCAAAAGCAAAGATATTACCAAAAAAAAGAGACTACAATATGCTTATGCATATAGACTTAAAAATCCTTAACAAAATACTAGCAAATAAAATATAGTATTATGTAAAAAGGATGATAAATCATGATCAATTGGGATTTAAGCCAGAAATATAACCCTGGGTTAGCATTTAAAAATTGAACAATGCAACACTTCATAAAAGATAAAAAGCAACACCTCAGTGGAGGCAGAAAAATCATTTGATAAGAAATTAACATCCATTTGTGATAAATAAAATCTCTCAGCAAATTATAAATAAAAGGAAACTGTCTCAACCTGATAAAGGGCATCTACAACTAACATCATACTTAATGATGAAAGGTTGATTCTGAGATGAGGGACAAGGCAAGACTGTCTCCTCTCACCACTTCTATTCAATATTATAGTGGAAGTCCTAGTCAGTGAAAAGGGCAAATAATAATAATAGGCATACAAATAAAAGGAAGAGGTAGAACTGTCTATATTCACCAATGTAATTGTCTATATAGAACATTCTGAAGCCTACAAAAAAAACTACTAGAGACAATATTTAATTTATGAAGGCCTTAGGATACAAGGTCAATATATGATTGTATTTCTACTAGCACAGTATCAATGAACAATTGAAAATTGAAAAGCTAAAATGAAATACCATTTACAACAGCAACCAAAAAGAAAACTCATGAAATCTTTAGAGAGCCAGATATGTTCACAATTTGTACATTAAAAACTATAAAACACTGCTGAGAGAAATTTTAAAAGACTTAAATGGGGAGATGTACCATATTCATGGATCAGAGTACTCAATATAGCTAATAGACTGATGCTCCCCACATTGATATATGGATTTAATACAATACCAGTCAAAACCTTTGCACGCTTTTCTGGTAGAAATTGACAAGCTGATTCTAAAATTTATGTGGGAATAGAAAAGATCACAAATAGCCAAAACAATTTGCAAAGACTTTTTAAGTTGAAATTTGCACTTCCTGATTGTAATAGTTATTATAAAGCTTTAGTAATGAAGAAAGTGCAACATTGGCAAAAGGATAGGCAGATAAATATAGAGCATAATAGGGAATCCAGAAATAGATCCACACATAAATAGACTTGATTTTTAGCAAAGGTGCAAAGGTAGTGCAGACAAGAGAGGGCAATTCTCACAAAAGGTATTGAAATAAGTGGATATCAACATGAAAAAAAAAAAGCCCTCAACCCTACCTTACACCTTATACAAAACAAACTTAAAGTCGGTCATAGACCTAAACACAAGAACTGAAACCATAAAACTTCTGGAAGAAAACATAGGAGAAACCTTGTGATGTTGAGCTAGGTAAAGATTTTTTAAATAAGACACAAAAAGGCAACAACATGGATGAATCTCAAAGGTATGAAGCCAAGAAAAAGCCAGACACAACAGAATACATACTGTATAGTTCCATTTAAGTTACACTCCAGAAATGATTCATGTAATCTACAGTAACAGCAGATTAGAGATTGCCAGGCATGGTGGAGATTGCCTGGGAACTTACTGCAGTGAAAGAAATGTTTGATATCTTTACCGAGGCTGTGGTTGCATGGGTGTCTAACTAACGTGTCAAAACTCATCAAAATGTACATTACAATGATGTGTTTTACTCTATGTAACTGCACCTCAATATAATTGATTTTTTGGAAATTAGATACCAAGAATCTCTAAACTTGACCTTTGGGTTTTCATCAAACTGAACCCCAAGAAAAGTTAGGAGTTTCCAATCTGGTTTTCTTTTGTGGTGGAAGGGTTGATTTCTGAGCTGCCAGTTTTACACATTTATTTGAACTGAACATAAACCTGTGGTTACTTGGTGACCAGCTGCCAGTGAACAACTTTATGGTGGTGGAATTATTGTAGCTTTTCCATCAGAATATAGAAAGTGATTTCTCTTTAGACTGAAACCATTTTTGCTAACAAAACCATATTAATGTGGGTCATAAAAGTGGCCATGCTATATGCCCTTTACAGGGAAGGTGGGGACAGCCAAGCCTCCTAGTGAGGACCCGGGTCCTCTTTCCCTCACTGCATGTCCCAGGCAGGGGCCTTCTCTGAGGTTCTCTCCAGGCATGGAAGTCCTGTGTGCATAGCATCAAGTTCTACTGCCACAGTGCTGGCTCCTGGAGCTGTACCAAGGGGACACACACCATCCCAAAAGCACCCAGCCCTGCTAAAGCCAGGACATTTTTATCATCCCCATTGTAAACTGAGACACAGAGATTCTGAGGAGTCTTCTGAGCAGCATATCCAAGGCCAGACCAGGTTCCTCAAGTCCTGTAGTCCAGAGTTTACTCCATGTCTTTGCTGTATCCCCGCCAAGGTGAGGTTGTCTTCATCACATCATCCTTCTTCAGCTGAGACTCAACCCTCCAGTCCTCTCGATTTCCCGCCTGGAGTTGTGCAGAGGATCTCGCATTTCTGTGGCAATTCACAGTTCTCCATGACCTTTTCCACAAATTACCTTATTTGTTAATGTTCTCCATGACCTTTTCCACAAATTATCTTATTTGTTAATCAGTCAACAACCACACACACTCCTTCCACAAGCTGAAGACCCCTCCCCTGCAGCCATATCTTCTCAACCCTGCAGCTGGGATCTCAGTAACCAGCCAGCCTGCCTCCCACCACCCCAGATGCAGACAAATCAAGTCACTTCATGAGCAGAATCCCAGCTGTCTCTTCTGTGTTTCATGCTATAAATCAAACTTAATTCTGGAGGATTTTTCCTTAAGGCTGGTGATATTTACCCTTTAAAATGAACTTTTCCCCATTACCCATCACGGATAAGCTGAAATTCCCAGAGACTCAAAGGAATTTCTGAGGAACAAGAACATTAACAGAGCAAATAACCCAACTTCAACCAAATCCAGGAGGCCACTGCACAGCCCATCTCCATCACTGCTGAGTACCTGCTGTTTCCTGAAAGAAGACTTTGGAAATGCAACATATTCAAAAGGCACGCGGCTGCTGCCTGGGGTTCCCCACAGGCAGAATTCATAAAATTCCAGACTCTCTCACATAAAGAAGGCTTTATTAATTGTCCTATCTGATCATCTTCTCATGCTTGAAGGAAAACCACGTATGGTGGGTGTGCAACCTCAGCTTTATTGCCTTTTGTGATGGGAGGCTCACTGCACCCAAGGCAGCATCAACAGTTTTGGTCCACACAACCCATTGAAAGTGTTTCCTTACTTCATATAGAAATGACCTCCACGTAGCCTACCAGCTTTGGTTCTGAATTGAGGCTTTCAGTCTTGGCCATGGCTAGGGAGAGGGAGGTGGGGCAGGAGAGAAGAGGAGGAGCCAAGGGGAAGCTGGGTCAGAACTCTGGTCCAAATCAGTGTCCAGGACCACAGAGGCCTAGGCACCTGCCAGTGGGAGGGCAGCTGAGGTGGGAGCACTCTAGCAGTGGCAATGCCCAGTGAGAGAAATTCAGGCCCTATGACCTACGCCCTCTGGCATTACTCCCATGACTCTGTTACCATACATGGAAAAGAGGACTTTGCAGATGTAATTATGGTTACTGATCAGTTAATCTTATAATAGTGAGGTTGTCTTGGATAATCAGGGTGAACTCAATCACATGAGCCTTGAAAAGCAGAAGAGAAGAGCAGAAGAGAAAGTCAGAGAGAATCAAAGTGCAAGTAGAACCTGGCCCATCCTGGCAGGCTTGGAAAGAAGGAGAAGAAATTGAATTCTGCCAATAATGGGCAAGCTGGAAAGAGGACCTTGAGCCCCAGGTGAACTCCAGCCCCAGCCAGTACCTTGATTTCAGCCCAGTGAGGCCCTGGGAAGAGAGTCTAGCCTTGCCATACTGGAATTCTGATTTACAGAACATGGGGTGATAAATGTGTGTTACTTAAGCTATTAAATTTGTGGTAATTCATTGCAGCAGCTATAGAGGAAACAAATGCACTCACTCTCAGAAAGTTCTAACTGCTGGGTCCAACCAGCATGGAGGACTCCATGCAGTGGCTGGAGGCCATGGACAGTGGACAGGTCCAGACCCTGGAGAAGGCAGCTGGCACCAACTGGGCAGAGTTCCAGGGGCAAGGCCCCTCTGGGGGTGTTGAATCTGGCACAAGGTACTAATCCCTCCAGATATGGGAGTGTAAGCCCAAGCAGAAGCCCAGCCATGGGGGTAAAGCCTCTTGGCAGGACGGGGCAGCTGCAGGTCCATGGCCCACCCCAGTAGCAGTGAGAGGGCAGTGAGAAGCTAACTGCAAACAGTACCACTGGCCAGGGCTGGGCAGAGTGGTGCCAATGGTGGGAGCTAGACCTGGCAGGAGCAGCAGGGTACACTTGCAGGGTGTGTCTCAGCCGGCTCCCAGCACTGCCCCTCGCCGGCAGGCCTGCGGGAGTCATCATTCACCAGCTCTCAGCAGACCAGGGAGTGGAGGAGCAGTGAGAAGGGGGCCCAGGCAGGCTCTGGGGCCACTCTGCGAGCTCTGTCCATTTGCTCTGCTTGCAGTCATGATGGCAGTGGTACTGACCTCCACTTCTTCTGTGACAACGTCGTGAATGGCCTTCCTGGATTTGCATCTGGGGACATACCAGAGCACAGAAAATACTACTTACACAGGCACCTAATTACATGTCAGATAAAAGTGCAGCTGGCAGGGCCCAATGGACACAAGAGGGTGGCCCCTAAGTGACCAGGTCACCGTGTGGCCTGCCTGGACAGGATTTTGGAAAATGTAGAAAGCCAGGGAAGAATGAGGGACTGGGAAGATGCAGCTTGCTGGCTGCCTAACTCCCCAGCTGGGCCACGGACTCCCCTAGCTCTCCTTCAAGCCATCCTTGTTCTTCACAGGGTCCTCTTCATTTTAGGAAATCTTTAAAATGTAAATAAACCCCAGCAACCACAATCACCTGCACGCTATTACCCAGAAATAACCACAATTCCTGACCTGATGTACAGTCTTCCAGAAGTCCATCCCACAATGCCTATCTATATTTTTATATTGCTCACCTTGGATCATAATGATTTAATGTTCTATTTGTCTACTTAACATTTGCTTATCTTGCACCTGTTTCCTTGCATTAAATGCACATTCTTTCTCATGCAGACCCTTCTGGAGCTCCAGCCAGCAAGGACAGGCTCCAGAGTTCTTGTCTAGAGGCCAGACCTCATTCCCCACAGGCTAACTTCAGGGCATCTCTTCTCTGTAAGCCCTCTGTCCTGCAGAAAGGCTAACCTTGCAGGCAAGCACAAAGCCTCATTTACAAAGTCTTATGAAAATCCCAGCCCTGCAGCTTCTAAGAACCTGCAAGACCAACACTGGTGGCGCGTGGGCTCTGCCTGGGGTCACCATGGGTGGGACGGTGACAAGCATGCCAGCCAGAGGAGGAGGTGGCCACCACGGGCTGGAGCCCCAAGGTCCCCACCTGAGCACAGCCCACGTAGGATCACATCCAGGCATCACCATAATCGGCAGCTGAGGTACCCCTGTCCTTTTTGCATGGGATCGCTCTGCATCCCTGCACTATTCAGGCTGATTTTATGGGACATTTTACGAGGTGACCACTGCTGGGTATGATCCAGGAACAACTGGCCCTTGGAAAGCACACGTTTTTACGGTGCTTCCTTCACATTTGATTTCTATTTGTCTAAAATGACCTGCAATAAAATGAAAACGTGCATCGTGAAGTCGCGAAATTGTTCACCCTTACGGTATTTCAGGTGGCTGCAAATATCCACAGACCTTGTTACCTGAAGCCCGGACCCAGTGCTCAGTGGGAGTGCCCATAAAAATTAAATGACACATGAACAGTGCCTGCAGACTCGGGAAAGGACAGAGCGTCAGGTAGCACGAGACACATTTTCACTGACTTCTGTGTTTTAGAGATGCCTCTCGGCCTCCAGGTCCAGGAGAGGATGGGAGTCTGCAAAGCCAGAGCCAAGAGAGACTGCCGAGGGCCGAAAGTCGTTCTGCGGGTTGCCCACCATGCACAGACTCTCCTGCCATCCCCATCGGGCACGCGCCTTCTGTGCCAACACCCTCCTTCCCTTCCAGTCTTGGCACTGACATTTAGCTTCGCCATTCCTGGAACCTGCTTTCCTACCGGCACCGCCTCTGCTCCTGCCCACAGCCAGCCCTGAGAACTAGCTCTGCCTGGCATGGAGAAGAGAAGGTCTGGCCGTAGGGTGGCGTGAGAATCAAGGCAATGACGGGGTACGGCACTTAGCATAGAGCCTTATGCATAGTATTCTGAACAGTCTCACGACTGCCATTATCGCTGCTGCAAGCCTGGACTGCCCTGGGCTGGGCCTCACCATGGCCTCCATGATCCTCCCGGTCTCTTCCCCTTCCCCAGGGCAGCTGGCATCTTCCTAAAGCATCCACCTTTAGGAACTCCAACTCCTGTCTGCCCAGGCTGGGCTCTCACTCTGCTGGGCTCCGAAACCGCCTCTGCCCCTCCCTGCACGGCTCTCACCACCCTGTGACCACTGGCATCAGCAGCTCTGAGCTCCCACTGGGATGAAGGGAGGGAGGCGCCCAGAAGTGCCCAGCACGGCAGCGGTGTTTAAAAGACACGCACCACATCCAGTCGGAGCTGTAGCATTTATATGTGCAGACTGTGTTCCTAGAGAAATTCTACAACAAACCTCTGATGTCACGTTAATTTTAAAAGCTCTTCTGTTTGTATTACAGCAACCTGCCCGCTCGGGGGAGACGTTCCTGCTCCAACACGAGAAATGTATTACAAATGACGGAGGAAAACATGGTTCCCAGCCATTAAGAAAGCAAACCGTATGATCCCCAAATAAGGGAAGATTTGCTGACATTTTAAATACAGAACAGAGAAATGAAAAAAGGAAAAAAAGTAGTTTATGTAGAAAAACTAACTTATGTCAGTTGTATATGTGAGAGGCCCCCCAATATGCTGGATCCTATGCAGAATAAACAACTCTGTCACAGCCCTGCCAGCATTTCCAGCTCAGAGGCCAGGAGGACAGGTCGTGGACACTGCCCACACTGAACCTGGCAGAGATGTAGGCTTCCATTGACTTCATAATTCAATTATTGCCACTTTAAGTTGCATAAACTTTAAAAGCAGTGGCCCCGGCAGCCTCCTCTAACATTAGGTGTGATGGTTTCCTCCTGTCTCCAGCCTCCCTTTACCCCAAAACCAGAAAACCTCCCTTTACCCCAAACAACTAGCAAAGCAGGATTCCCGTCCCCTGTGTATACATCAGGAAGCTGAGCCCCAGGGTGAGCCGGGGTCAGGCCACTGGGGCAGCAGAGCCAGGCCTGGCCTGCAGAAAGGCCTGACTAAAAAGTCCTTAAGAGCAGGAGGCCAAAGAGGGTTAGGAAGAGTCCAAGTGGCCCCAGGTGCAGGAAAAGCCCGGAGTGGAGTCGGAGCCAGGCTGGGAGGCAAAAGTCTGAGTCCCGGGGGGAGCTGCACCAATCGATGTGGTCAGTGGAATTACAGATGCCTAGGATTCAACATCCACGGCCTGCGCATGCGTCACCTTCCACGGCAGTGGGGACTTAGCAGCTGTGGCTGAGCTGGAAGTTGAACCTGCATCATCTGGGAGCCCAGTGGTATCACAAGGGCCTCCTCACAGCGGGGCAGGAGAGTCAGGGCCAGAGACGTGACGATGGCAGAGGCAGAGGGTCGGGGGCCAGCCCCATGCCGAGCCGGGGACCTCCAGGAGTGGACACTGCAGGAGCGGACACTGCAGAAGTGGACACTGCAAGGAACAGATGCCCCTCCAGGCCTCGGGGAGCACAGCCTTTTGCCACCCCATTCTGGACTGCCGCCTCTTGCTAGATAACAGCTGTGCTATCTGACGCTGCTCAGTGTGTGGATATTTGTACCAGCAGCCGCCCCAGGAGGCTAGCATGGACATCAGTGCCATCTTTGGAGTGCTCTCCTATAACCACATTAGGCACGGAAAGGAGAACTGAGCTTCCCCTTGCCTCTCGGAAGGATACCAGGTCAGTCCCCTCACCCAGGAAGATCTCGGATTGTTAGAGTCTCCAACCTCCAGAGGCACAGAGACAGAGCTTCCCACGGATGAAAGCTCCCAGCTTTGCTGGGACTAAGAGAGACCGTGGCCCCACGAAGACAGGTGACTCCCCAGGCTGAGAGGATTCAGGGTCTGGGCAGCAGGCAAAACGAACCCACTGGGCAGTCACACTAGGGGTTGGCTGTGAGGCTCTCAGGGAGAGCTTGGAGAAGCAGCTCCTTATGCAGGTGGAGGCAGGTGCGGCCTCTGGGCTGTGGGGGCACAGCCACAGTCACTAAGGAGCAGGTTCCCTGGAGAACACAGGTGAGGCAGGGGCTGAGTAAAGGGCAGGAAGAGCTCCTGCCTGGGGCCACCTGCCCTGCCCCACCCTCCCTTCAGTGGAGGCCAGCTGAGCCTCTGCAGTGCCTCTCCCAAGCCCCTGGGAGGGAAATTTGCAAAGCCTCACCTCCCATTTTGAGAAGTGAGATGCCCATCCCCAACCCCACCCTACCCTCACCTTAAAGATTGAAGCCTCTCATCTTCCCTGATGATCTTGGACAGACGGACAGCGTCCTTTCCAGGTAAGAGCACTGAGCAGGGTGGGGCTGGGGTGCAGTCCTTCTATCCCCATCATCTCCTCGGAGTTAACCCTGAAAGTATCTGCTCTGGGGATTTCAGGGAGATTGGAGTAGGGGGAGTGGTGGGCTTGGCTCAGAGCAGAGCATCATGGAACACACAGCCCCCTGCCAGGTGCCCCATCCTGCCTGGGGACAAGTGAGTGGACACAGCCGTGGAAGTGACTCAGGTGAGCAGATCTGCCTGCCTCAGCACAGCCGCCCCACACAGGACCCTCAGCCGCGTCTCAGCCCTGCTCTGCTCATCTCTCCCCTCCAGGAATGTTGAGGACCAAAATGTTATTTACACCCACACCTATTCTTCTGAAAATGTGCATTTTAAAGAAGGCCCTGGGGAAGGTGATGACAAAATCCCAATACTGCATCTCCAGTGGTGGCGGTCAGGTCCTCACATCTGAGAAATGGGCTCTGTGGCATGGGGGCGGGAGACTTCTGTCCATATCTCAAGGACTGAACTCTAACCTTTTTTTCTTGCTCAAATCCCTGTCTAAGAAGCCTGGGGAAAGTCACCCTTACAAGCCATAAAACTGTGTTAAACGGGTCTCTTTGGCCCAGTATATCATGGCCTACTTTCCAACCTGACTCTGGCCTGGCCTCACATGACAGACAGCAGAGCCCCTTATCTTAACTCAAGCATTCTTTTCTACTGACTCCAAGGCTTTAGACAAAGCTGAACTCTTTCAATCAACTGCCAAGAAAGAATCTCTAAACCCACCTATGACTTGTAAGTCCCCACTTCAAGATGTCCGACCTTTGAAGACAGATATACACCAAACCAATGTGTATCTCCCATGTACTGATTTATGATTTTACCTGCAATTCCTGTCTTCCTAAAACGTATAAAACCAAGCTGTAACCTGATGGCCTTGGGAGCACTTTCTCAGGGCCTCTTGAGTCTGTGTTTCCCCAGGCCATGGTCACTCATATGGCTCAGAATAAACCTCTTTAGATATTTTGGCAGAGTTTGGCTTTTTCATTGTCACCTCATACTCTTCCCTCCTTCCCATCTCTCCATGCCAACCCCCTCTTGGAGCTCTTCCCACCTGCAGGACCCCAAAATGCCCTTCACTGACCTCCCCTACCCACGCTGTACCCCTGGGCCCTCCCCTAATCCTGGTTGACATAGCCAGAAAGTCAACCCAGGTATGGGGTTCCCCTCAGCCAAGGCCTTGAAAGCATTATCATGGCCTTCAAGATCAGAAACATCCAGCAGTAATTGGCTTTGGAGGTTTCTGTCAAAACAGAAAGAATGAACCTTCCTAGTGGGGTAGTATTAGTTCAGCATCAAACAAACAGAAAATCACCCTCAGCCTTTAAATGAATGCTTTCCTCCCAGGGCTGCTTTCCTGTCTGGGTCTAAATAAATAACAAGGGCATTAATAGAAAACACAGCTATTTACCTTCAAGAATAGAATTTCAAATCCCACAGAACAGTTGCTGGTGTTTCAAGCTTTGATGAGAAAAGAGTAAGTTTACACCAAATTGTATTTTCAATATGTTAATTAAATCAAAGAGTAACTATATTTGAGTTTCCTGATCTAATAATAAAAAGATATGTTTGGCTGACTATTTAAAGTGCTTGATGGAATATTTTATATGCTTTATTTGCATACTGAATAAATGCAAGACTAACATTTCAAGTTTTAGTAAACTGCTCAGAATTCCACGGATGAAGAGTTCTATACAATTGCAAATGATGCCCCCCTGTAATTAACTCTTATTGTTTAGAAAACCAAGGCTATAAACGTCTATTTAATCAAACTTCCCACCACGTGCTTTTTTTTAAAATTACACTTAGAAATCTATGCGCTGAGATTGTCATTTCAACCACAGTGAGATCATTTGACTAACTTGCATAGGAGAATCACAAATTAATAAGAAGACAATTAGCAAAACTGAATTCTGAAACTCACATAAAAACATCAGAGACCATTAGGTTTGATTAATAAGCATTACTTTTTACAAATCTGCCATTTGTAAACTTGCACTAACACTGGCTCCATGACACACTTTACCCATAAATCAATGGGAATATGAAGAGCACAAACCACATGTAACCAACCATATTTCATGTCTTCTGTGTCTTAGTCTCACTAAGCTTAAAAAACACCATACAATAAAGCTTTCACTCACTGAAGCTGGAGAGAAAACAATGGTTCAAGTTAACTGTTGTTGCACAATGAATCACTCCCAAAATTTGAGGACTTAACACAACAACAGGGTTCTATGATTAACTCTCACGCTGGAGGTTGACAGGGCTCAGCTGGGTGGTTTTCTTCTGGGTCTCTTCAAGCTCATTCAGTCACCTATCTAGAGGCTGATGCTGGCTGTCAGCTGGGCCCTCAAGTGGGCGCTGTCAGCCAGAACATCCACACATGGCCTCTCTGTTATCATCTCTGTCTCCTCACAGCATAACTGGGCTCCAAGAGCAAGTATAACAGTGAAACAGCAAAGAACTAACACAGCTAACATCATTTATGTTTAAGGGGCCTTTACCCATTGGTTTTTATAACTAAGTCTGGGATTAAAGGGGAACTACATATACAACTAACTATGTTTTGTTAAAAATTTATAGGAGCATTGTGACCTGACAAAGTTCCCAACCTCCTTGGACCCTGGCTGCCACCCAGATTTCTGCAGTCATCAGTCACCTCTGGATCTCAACCTCCTCCTCTTCTCCCTGTCCTTAACATAAAAGGAGCCTAAAATTTGTACTGGCATACAATGGTACTTTAGGATGCTAGCTCACCCCCTTCTCAGTTTTGCTGGCTCTCCAAATAAACCTGCTTTTCCTCCCATCAACCCTTGTCTCTCAAGTCTGGCTTTCCAGAGGCAAGCCGCTGAACTTGGGTTCAGTTACATCCTGAGCATCCTAAGATGGAAGACATAATGCTCTTTATGACACAGTCTCTCCAGTCACATGGTGTCACCTTCCCTGAAGACACAGTCCCATCCAGATTCAAGGAGAGAGAACCCAGACCCTGCCTCTCCAGTGGAGGGTCAATCCACATCGTAAGAAAAGCATGCAGGAGGGAGAGCAGTTTACGTTTTTCAGCTCCAATCCCTTTGGATCACACACTGCCTGCTCCCCAGCCTCTATCCCCAGCTCCAGATATGCATTGCCACTCCAGTCCATTTCCTCGTGTGCATCCCACAGGCTGCTCTAACCCAATTCATAAGTGTTATGGGCTGAACTTTGTCCCCATAGAACTTACATGCCAAAGTCCTAACCCCCCAGTACCTCAGAGCAGGACTGCATTTGGAAACAGGATCTTTAAAAAGATGGTTAAAGTTAAATGAGGTCACTAGGGTGGGTCCCTAGTCCAATAAGACTTCCATCCTCCAGAATTCTGGGGGAATAAATTTCCATGGTTGAAGTCACCCAGTCTGTGGTCCTTTGCTATGGCAGCTCAGCAAACTCCCACCCCAAGCCAAACCCATCTCCCCACCGTTCACCACCTTAGAGAATCGACATGTCTCTTCACCAGAACCCTAGAGTCCTTCTAGATGACACTAGCTCCCTCCCCACAGGTACTTAGCCACCCACTCCTGCCACACACTGCCCACACCATAACTGAGCCCATCTTCCTTCCTCCCCTGCTGTCACAGCTCTGATCCCAACGTGGACAGCTACAGCCCCTGCCCCAGCCATTCAGCCTGCACCTCCAATCCATCCAGAGCCAGTATGGCCTTTCTGAAAGACAAAGCCAATAGGTCACTCCTCCAATTAAAATGTCCCCATGGCTTCCCACTGCCTTTGGAAAACTTCCCAATGCCCAACCCTGACACCCAGACCAGGAGAGACAGTGGGATGTATGCATATGGGTATGAACACTAGAGCCCCGTTGCCAGCTCAGATACCAGCCCCACCTTTGCCAGCAGTGAGCACTTCTGTGGGTAACACACCTGTGCCTGCCTCAGTTTCCTCAGCAGGACAGTGAGGCTGACCCCACCCATGCAGAGAGTTGCTGGATGATTAAAGTAGCACATGGAGAGTGCCAACATCAGTGATGCTGCCAAATGCTGGCTGTTGTCACTGAGGGTCTCACTGCTGGCTCCTCTTGTGTCCCTCCCTTTGAGGGATCGGCTCCATCACACCACATTGCTGTGGACACCTCCTGTGTCCATTCCGACTCCTTCAAAGGCCAGCCCATGGGAGAGGCCTTCCAGGATCCCCGGGAGGGGCAAGCTCACTCAGGACCAGGGAAGCCAAGCAGGGCAGTGGTTGGGTGGGGTGTCTCCTCTCCAACTCAACACTTCTCTTCTGCCTCAGAATGTTCCCCAAAGCTATAAAAGCCCCCATAGCCCATGCAAGTCACAGCCCCAAACTGGACTCATTTATCCCAGAGAACTTAAGACTTATTTTCACACAGAAACCTGTCCAATGTTTATAGCAGCTTTACTCATAACCTTCAGAAACTGGAGGCAATCAAGATGTCCTTCAGTCTGGGAATGGATAAACACTGGTGCATCCATGCCATGGAATACTGCCCAGGGCTCAAAAGGATCATGCTGTTAATTCATGCGACAACAGGGGCAGGTCTAAGTGGAAGGAGCCAGCCCAACAAGGCCCCGTCATGTAGATCCCACCCACGTGGCATTGGGAAGGGATGGGAAGCACATCCGCACTGGCAAAGGACAGTGTGGCTACTGCAAAGGGAAAGCACAGCAGAATTCCAAGGGCACGGAATTCTCTGTGCAGCAGTAGGGCAGTGGAGGCAAGATCCCAGGCAGTTCTCAAAACCCACAAGACTGTGCATCACAAAAGTGAAGGTTCACATACACAGATTTTACAAAACCAACCGAGAAGACAGAAGGTGCCAGGAAGGAATGCAAGCTGGGTCAAGTGAGGAAAACACTTTTTTTTTTTGAGACAGAGTCTCGCTCTGTCAGCCAGGCTGGAGTGCAATGGCATGATCTCGTCTCACTGCAACCTCTGCCTCCCGGATTCAAGCCTCAGCCTCCTGAGTAGCTGGGATTGATTACAGGAGTGCACCACCATGCCCGGCTAATTTTTTTTAAATTTTTAATAGAGATGGGTTTTCATCATGTTGGCCAGGATGGTATCGAACTTCTGACCTCGTGATCCGCCCACCTCTGCCTCCCAAAGTGCTGGGATTACAGGCATGAGCCACTGCACCTGGCCCTAAGAGGGAAGCTCTTGCAAGCACACAACGTAAGCTGTCAGAAGGGGAAGGGCAGCGGACCTACGGCACTTTGGAAAATGGTGTTTTGCCTGGAAGCTCTAAGGCTAAAGACAAAAACAGCCATAAATAATCACTATACTCTCCTTGGAAAAGTTGTTACTCACAGGAGAGGGGCTGAAAAATCTGAATCTGCTTTGCACGTATATGACATGGAATAAACAAGTAAAAGAAGGGTGGGTGGTGGCAGCCAGGTCCTCACTGGCAGAGAGGACAACGACAGATAAGCACAAGGAGGGCCAGGATGGGCCATGCACCCCTGGATTAGAGGCAGGAACATAAGCATGGACTCAGGTTTTTCTCACTCTAGACAGAGGGCACCTAGAGGCAACAATATCCTACAAACATGTTGTTTTCTAAATGCCATTCTTCAATAAAAGGAGCTGGGACTGCTTGGAGAAATGACTGATTCTGGGATCAGGATGGAGAAGATGTGAAATGGGCGTGGAGCCTCTTTTGGTGCCAGAAAGGAAGAGCTCTAAAGAACAAAAGGATGGACACGTCAAAGGACCCAGGTCCCAATCTGAAAACCTAACCATCCAACAGCCAAAGCTGGAACAATGTGAGTGAGCAACAAAATAAATAACACAGGATCGAATCACAACCAAAAGTAGCAAATAAATATGCATGAGTTCCTAGTAATATAAATAAATGCCTGATAAATTGATGAATAAATAAATAAATGGGAAGAAGAGAGATCTTCTTTACAGAAGAATTTTTAATAATTTATGCAGCTATTTTCCTCTCCAAGGAGTGGAGCTTACTTCCCCTCCCCACTCTGAGCAATGGCTGAGCTCAATCACTTGCTTCCAAAGGACAGAGTCTGCGTGCGGGGGAAAGTGGCTGGACAGTGGAAAAACCTGGCAAACGTGACCTTGAACAAGTGTCAAGGTCACCATCCCCAGGGATGAGTCAGGTTGAGGGTATGACCCTCTGGCATGATGTGATGAAGAGGACAGTTCACCTCCATGGTCTTCCTCCACCCCCCAGCAAAAAAAAAAACAATGAAAAATAGAAGGAGGGTCTAGGAAATGCATGGCCAGCACTCCTCAAAGCTACTGAGCTCACTAAAGACAAGGAAAGTCTCAGAAATTGTGACAGACCAGAGGAAACTCAGGAGACGTGACAACCAAACGCAATTATCATATCCTGAATTGGATCCTGGAAAACAAAAACAACTAGTGAAACCCAAGTGAAGTCTGGAGCGTAGTTCATCGTAATGTGCCAGCATCACTGTCTTAGTTTTCAGAAATATACCAGGAAAAGAAGATGCAACATTAGGGGAAACCAGGAAAGGGGCACACAGATACTCTCTGTACCATCTTTGTAACTTTTCTGTAAATATAAGATTATTCCAAAATGAAGTTTACTTAAAAAAAAAAAAAGCATAGAGGTTTGGCATACTTGGGATGTCTTCCAAGTCTCTTGTTGAGAACCACTTCCACTTTCTTCCCTAACAATAACCAAAAACTAACTAGCAATTCCCCACTCAGCCCCTCCTCAGCCCTGCCTGCCCCTCACTCAGGCATGTTTTCTTCTGCTAAACCAGGTTCACACGAGGCACTGGTGCTGCCGTTACTCAATAAAGCAACCAGGTACAGTGGTTGGTTTTGCTTTTGTTTTAATCCAAATGATTAAATCAGCTGCATTTAAGAAAAAAAAAAAAGGGCCGGACACGGTGGCTTACGCCTGTGATCCCAGCACTTTCGGAGGCCGAGGTGGATGGATCACAAGATCAAAAGATCGAGACCATCCTGGCCACACGGTGAAACCCCATCTCTACTAAAAATACAAAAATTAGCCGGGCATAGTGGCGTGCACCTGTAGTCCCAGCTGCTCGGGAGGCTGAGGCAGGAGAATCGCTTGAACCCGGGAGGTAGAGGTTGCAGTGAACCAAGATCGTGCCACTGCACTCCAGCCTGGCGACAGAGAGACTCCATCTCAAAAAAAAAAAAAAAAAAAAAACGAAACAAATAAAAAAGTAGGTTTGACAGTGCATTGGACTACCCTATTCTCTGGAATCTTTGTAAATGCGTGGCCACAGCAGTTTCCCAGGAAGACAGGGAGGGGTAAACAGTTCCCTCTCAGTGCTGCCCTGTTGCATGATGAGACTGTCGTGGTTTTGCAGTCACATGGGATACGGGACCCCGGGGACAAGGAGAATCAGAGCAAGTTGAAGACAATTATATAATTGGCACGCTAGTGTATTTTTAAAAAGACATAAAATGTAAATTACCTGGTTGCAAATTACACTTTGACTATTTATAAAATGTGTGACTTTGAGTGCTTCGCCGTAACTCTCCAGGAAATGAGGACACCAGTACCTGCAGCAGCCACAAGCCCTGACTCGCAGACGAGTGGCTTTGGGCTTTTAGAGAATGGCCAGAGAGTGTCCCTCTGGGGTGAGAGGATTCCAAGAAGGTACTGGATACATAATCATTTTGTATGAAATCTGGATGCCAACCACCTAAGACTCCTGGTCTTTCAGAGGACAGAAGTCCATACGAGCATTTCCAGGCATCTGGGCCCAGTGCTGCGGCTTTGCTTGCTGCCAGAGAAGACCACCTGGGTGTGGTCACAACCACACCACTGGGTGGACAGCACACCCTACCCTTGCCCCTGGCAGAGCAAGCCCTGATCAGGTGTTAGCTACACCTTAACACAGCACAAGCCACGGGAACACTTCCACGGCACTGTCACACAGTGGTCGTGACGGCTGAATGAGCTAAGATCTGTGATGCACTGTGCCAGTCAGGACCTGCAGGAGAAAGAACTCGCCCCACGAGGTCCAGAGGAAAAGTCGCTAATCAAATTACAACTTTGTTACAAGAGAAACTTGGGACTGTAACACCCTTCCCCTACACCAGAAAGATGTTGAGAGACCAAAGAATGACTGGGGCCAGTCCAGTCTGGTGAGCAGATGCATTGTTTATTAGGATTTATCTTTGGGGCACTCCCGGGTGGCAGCAGGACTGCTCTAGAGATCCGCACCGCCTCCCATCTCTAAGCTGCTTTTAAGCTAATTTTCTGGCTCTTTGCCTCCTGTGTTTGAATGATGAGACTGTTTTTCTTGGTAGGTTCTCAGATCCTCTCCAGGATGTTTGGTTTCTCAGGGACACCTGCTCCTGGGCCAGGCACCATGACCTTGGCTCACTGCCCGGCCTTCAGGGTTCAGGCAGTGGACAGATACCCTTAAGTAACCTGGTGGGAGACCTGTCACACCACAGACTGAGATGGAGACACACCCAGAGGCCGGCCATTACCTCCCAAGGCATAAAGAAAGGCCAAGGGCCAAAGGAAGAGCATGCCCACCAGTGCAGGGAAATCAAGCCGTGAGAAGGAAAGGCTGCCAAGGGAGGCTGGCACCACAGCACACGGGAACAGGAAGAACACTCCCCATGCTCTCCTCCCACTCCCAATGTCCAGCTGGCCTCAACCTAAACTCTGAGCCCAACCTAAACCCCGCCAGCGAGGGAACAGAGCCCCGGAGATGCTGCCCTCAGAGGCTGGGCTTCAGGGGCACCAAGGAGGGCAGAGATAAGTGGAGACGGATGGGCAGGGGGCTCAGGAACTACTCCTGCAGCCATCGTGTATGGGGGCATGAAGACTTTGTCCTGACAGGGATGTAAAGCTGGAGTGGAGGAGTCCGCCACTGCCTTACGTGAATGTATGAGTCAAACACACACATCAAAAGCTACAAGGGGTCGTCACATGTGCTGGGGTCCCAGAGGAACCCTTGCTTCTTCACACCTTTCTCTAGCTCCATATTCTTACACTAGATTTTTCATATTTTATATTCAGAAAAAGACTTGTTTCTAAAATGTAACATAAAATATACACACATTCACACAGACATATCAGATTGAACCATAAGCAATGCTATTGTTGTAGTCAACATGGCTGAATGTTCAACTTAACACACACCCACTCACACACATACATATGCATTTGCACACAGTTACCTACACAGACACACACACACACGTATTAGACACACACATCCTGAGCATCCTAAAATCAAGACGGAGCAACAAAGGCCAACTGTGTACAGGGGTTGGCAAGACAATTAGCTGAGTCTTGCGTCTATGGCCATGCCTCTGTTGATGTGGGATGTTCTGGCTGGTCCTCAAACCATCGGCCCCTCTGTGTCATCACAGAGCTTGGACTCCACAGGGCTGACCAGGCCCAATGCCTGCGTTCACCTGTTACATCTGTGATGCCTGCTGACATAAAGCCTAACAGAGACTCCTCCTCCATTGCAGAGATGTTTTTCTTCTGCTGTGACTATTGGCCAGAGTTTTACCCAAATGTGTGCCTTGTGATCACCATCATCCTGCCCACGGGGGCAGGCTCAAGCTGCGGTGGGGACACCACTGTGTCCCCCGTGGCTAGCAGGCTTTGGGAGGGGGGCCCTTCCATTCACTGCACTCCCACCTGTGTGTGTGCTCACAGCTGACAAGGGCTGGCCGCCAAGCCAGAGTTACTGGAAACATCACATTATTAAAAAGATACACCTTGTGATGGGGAGCCTGTTACACAGCCGTGATTTTGCAGGAAGTTTATGGCAGGATACTTCCTCAGCCCTGAACAAATGTCTCCCTGGCCACACATTGTCAGGGAGCGCGGTTTCCCCACGTGAAGATACATGCTTGCTGTGGAAAGTTCCCTGCAGAAGTGATAGATGGCCAGCCCCATTGGGCCCTGCTACAGGCAATGTGTCCTAAATCAACGCCCTCCACCCAGCCTGCCCATTCACCGTTTGGGAGACACTTCTCAAAGACCCGCAAACGCTCTGAGTGCCTCGCGCCCACTGGTCCCAACTGCAACAGAAAGCCCTTGGCCCTTGCACCTGCCCTCAGCCCTTCACCCACAAGCACACAGCAGAAGCTCTGGGTCGGCTCCCTACATGCAGAAATCCCTCCAGGGCCAATGGCCTCTCAGGCCTCAGGCTGGCAGGGCCAGCATCAGCCATGGGCCTTTCAGAGGACAACTGTCCCTCTCTGTCTGGGGCTCTCTTCGCTGACATGTGTTTATTCTCTATATCTCTCTAAACTTTGTTGCAACCTTTCAATCTCTTAAAAGAAAAACTATAGACAAATTCAATTTAACAGAGTTTAACTGAGCAATTTAAAAAAACAATTTGCAGCCAGGCACAGTGGCTCACACCTGTAATTCCAGCACTTTAAGAGGCCGAGGCGGGTGGATCACCTGAGGTCAGGAGTTTGCAACCAGCCTAGCCAACATGGTGAAACCCCATCTCTACTAAAAATACAAAAAATTACCTGGGCGTGGTGGCAGGTGCCTGTAATCCCAGCTACTCGGGAGGCTGAGGCAGGAGAATGACTTGAACCTGGGAAGCAGAGGTTGCAGTGAGCCAAGATCGCGCCATTGCACTCCAGCCTGGGCAACAAGAGCAAAACTCCATCTCAAAAAAAAAAAAAAAGAAACAATTTGCAAATCAGGAAGCCCCCAGAATCACAGCAGATTGAGAGAGACTCCAAGGATGTCTTGTCAGAGCAAATTTATAGACAAAAAAGAAAAGCAACACACAGAAAACGGAAGGGAGGTACAGAAACGGCCGGGTTGGTTACAGCTTGGCGTTTACCTTATTTGAATACAGTTTCAACAGTCAGCTGCTGTGAGTGGTTGAAGTACGGCTGCTGGGATTGGCTGGGACTCAGCAACTACTACAGAAGCCTACTCCCAGGTTAGCTTTTCGGTCTGTCTACCTACTAAGCCAGGTTACAGTTCATCCACAAGGACTCAGCAGGTATGGAAGTACAGAGGCTGTCTCAGGCCATGTTTAGTTTGATTTAACACTTACTTCCCAAGCATGCTTTTTAAGAATGTATACCAACATGAGGCCCATGACTGACTCGAGGGTTGTACATCAAGCAGTCAGCCTCACTGTGTGACCTCGACCAAGAAACTGCACCTCTCTGGCCTCAGTGTCCTCACCTGCAAAAGGCAGTTAGTGCCCGGTCCGCCTCCCAGGCTGTTGTGAGGCTTGGCCCAGTGCCGGGCCTGAGTGAGAGCTCAGAGAGCACCTGCTGTCACTACTGCTCCTCCAGGCCCCCGACACAGGACTCCAGTGAACACGCCATGGGGTGGGCCAGTGAGCAGAATGTGAGCGGCCCTGACCCTAGTAACAGCTGCTGCATGACCCTGGACCAGCCACCTACCCCACATGGGCCTCAGCTTTCCCATCAGCAAAACTTAGCGCTTGGGTCAAATCATTTCTGAAGTCCCGTCCAGCCTTCCCATTCCTGTCGGCCAGATCTAGTAGGATCTGGTTTTGTCTCTGCGTCTACCTTGGCTACAAAAAAAAAAAATATATATATATATAAAATGGGCAAAATCCAGATACAATTCATCAGGCAATCGAAGTCAGGAACCCAGATCACAAGGAAAATCCCAGTGCTCTAGGGCAGGCCACAGCTTCCCAGGCCAGGGAGGGGACTGCAGTCAAGTCCCACTGTGGCCAAAGACAAGCGCCATCATGGGCAACCATGGCTTTAGCCACTCCAGACAAAATCTGGCAGCAACAGCTCCCTTGGGAAGGGCCCCTCCCACAGAGGCTTCTGGGACAGAGAAGCCCCAGTCCAAAGCAGCCCTCCTCTCAGCCAGGCCCTGGCCTTGTGGCCAGCAAGCAGGCCTGGTCACCGTCTCAGCACCTCCCCAGCACACAGAGCAGGTCCTGTCAGGTCTCGTGGAGGCCACAGAAGAGCCAGCCAAGAAAGTAGCTGCCGTCTACCCTGGGTCCTCCCTCCCGGCCTGACAAAGACCTGCTGCAAGCACCACGAAACAAACACAAGACAGAAACGTGCAGTCGCTTTAGGACACGTGCAGGCAGACTGTTTCAGACCAGCGCGGCGTGGTGACCAAAAGTACTCCCTCCTCCAAAATCATCATGTGTCACTGCCAGGAGTGGAAAATGGTGCCACTGCTGTAGAAGACAGGACAGCGGCTCCCCAGAAAAGTAAAAACCACAAGGCACAGTGACTCATGCCTGTAACCCCGGCACTTTGGGTGGACTACTTGAGCTCAGGAGTTCGAGAGCGGCCTGAGCAACATAGTGAGACCTCGTCTCTACCAAAAAAAAAAAAAAAAAAATTAGCCAGACATGGTGGTGCAAACCTGTGGTCCCAGTTACTTGGGAGGCTGAGGTGTAAGGATCGCCTGAGCCTGGGAGGGCAAGGCTGCAGTGAGCTGTGATCACAACACTGCATTCCAGTCTGGGTGACACAGTGAGACATTGCCTCAAAAAAAAAAAAGAAAAAGAATTAAAAACAATTACCACGTGATCTAGCCATTGCACTTCTGGATATATATTCAAAGGAATTAAAAACAGAGTCTTGAAGAGATATTTGTACAGCCATGTTCATCGCAGCACTATTCACAATAGCTCAAATGTGGAAGCAAGACAAGTGTCTATCAATGGATAAATGGATAAATAGAACATGGTGTATCCATGATGGAATATTATTCAGACTTAAAAAGAAAAGAAATTCAGCTACATGCTAAAACGTGAATGAACTTTGAAGACATTATGGTAAGTCAAATAAGACTGTCATAAGAGACAAATGTCCTATGGCTGCACTTATCTGAGGCCCTAGAGTCATCAAATTCATAGACAGAAAGTAGAGGCTGCCAGAGATGAGGGGAGGGGCACGGGGAGTCCGTGTTGAATGGGAACAGAGTTCCAGTTTGGGAAGAAGGAAGCATTCTGGAGATGGATGGTGGGGACGGTTGCACAACACTGTGAGTACGCTTCATGCCATGCAACTGTACACTTCAAATTGATTAAAATGGTAAAGTTTGTGTTATGTAAACTTTACAATAAAAAAAGAAAAAAGAGAATACAGGTAAGGAGATAGACACGCGGGAGGAGGGACCGAGATGCTGGGAAATGGCTGACCCAGAAAAGGAAGCAGAGTTGGGCAGGGCACAGGGCAACCAGAAGGTGAGCCTAGCAGCTGGGGGTCCAGAGGACCACAAAAGCACCCCCAGGAGAAGAGCTGGCGCCGGGCAACAGCCCTACAAAGAAAGCTCGGTGCCAGATGCAACCACGCCAGTCCAGTGAGGACATTCCCCACTGCACGCCCAGTGTGAAGGGCTGATAGCTGCAGCCAGCAAGGGGCGACCACAGGGCAGCCACCGGGCGCGGCGGCCTCTGTGTCAGTGTAAACCATCTTCTGCGTAAGAGCTCCAGAATGTACTTCCCCAGCACCTGCGCATCACCGCCCTCCAAAAGAAAGGGGATTCTAGGCCGGGTGCGGTGGCTCACACCTGTAATCCCAGCACATTGAGAGGCAGAGGTGGGCAGATCACCTGAGGTCAGGAGTTCGAGACCAGCCTGCCCCACATGGCAAAACCCCGTCTCTACTAAAAATACAAAAAATTAGCCAGGCCTGGTGGTGGGCACCTGTAATCCACCTACTCAGGAGGCTGAGGCAGGAGAATCGCTTGAACCCAGGAGGCGGAGGTTGCAGTGAGCCGAGATTGTGCCATTGCACTCCAGCCTGGGCAACAAGAGCGAAACTCTGTCTCAAGGAAAAAAAAAAAAAGAAAAGAAAGGGGAAAAAAAAGGGATTCTAGAAAATGACACCTACTGCACATTATTTCTGTCTTGCCATTTTAAAACCTACATTTGTATCACAGAACATTTTAAAACACACAAGAAAATGGAAGTTATAAGTAACCACACCACCCAGAAACGCCCCCCCGACATTTTGGTGTACGGTATATACTTCCACAGACTCATCCGTGTACACAGACACATATGTATATACACCTACATATTCAGGCGTATTATTTTTATTTCTCATCTTTAACCAAAATGAGATTTACTAAGTCTGTTCTTTTGATGCCATTTAGAACTTTATCTGTTACAAGCTTTTACCAAACGACCAGCTCTTCCTTTTTCGAATGTTGTATTCTAATGACTGCATCCTATGCCACCGTAAGGCTCAGCCGTGTTTCATTTGCACTAATTCATAATGGAGAACACTCAGGCTATTTCCAGTTTCCGACAGGAACACTGCAGAGCTGTACACCCTCTCGGCCAAGGCTAAAGGACATTCATAATTCATTCCCAGCTGAGAAATCTGTAGCTCAAAGGGCGCATGCATGCCCCTTGATGTAGGTCGCCCTCCAGAAAAGCCACGCCAAGTCCCACTCCAGCGGCAGTGTGTGACAAAGCTGAAAAGGAAGTCAACTTTGACTCAAATAAATTTGCTAAATAAAGGTCTATGAAGCAAGGGCACAAAATGAAGGCAACCAGGACAGGATGCGACACCACCTCCAGGGCCTGTGGGGATTCCCAAGGTTGTCTGTCCAAAAGCTCATCAGATTCTGCTGTCAACGTGAAGCTGATGTTTAGTGCAAACAGGCTGCAACTGACTGGGGAAGCAACAACCAGTGAAGTGCCTCTGCACCTGCCACTTCACTCTCCACCAATGAAGTGCCTCTGCACCTGCAGGCCTCCCCCACCAGCCAAGGCCACACCTTGCCAGGCCAGGTTAGGACACCCAGGATGGCCGGGCCAGCCATTCACCGCCTGGGCCCTCTTGGCCTCCAAGGAAGCTGGAGCTGGTTTTGATAGAGCTGCCAGCGAGCAGGACCAGTCCTGTGACCCCAGCCCACGGGGGTACATCGAAGGCCTCACCTCCCAGGCTGCTTCTGATGGTGCTGATGGCATTGATTTTGTGTCAGAAGTTAGCAGGATTCTGTTTTAAGTGGTAATCTTGCAGCTGACCCCTGGAATGCATTATTAATGAGCGCCGCATCTCCAACAGCCGGTACAGCCCTCTCAGGGCAGTGTGTATCTCCTGGGCCACAGGGTACAGAATCAGAAGCCCAGAAGGACCCAGGAGGCAGCAGTCTGCAGTCGCTTCCAGCACCGCTGTCATCAGGCCCTGACCCCAAATCCCCTGGGCATGCATTTAGCACGCACATGTAGGGCCCCAGCCCAGGAGGTGCAGATACAGTAGCTGGGGATGGGGCCCAGGAACCTGCATTTTCAACAAGCCCCTACTAAACCAGGTGGCCCCTGAGTTGGAGTCCCCACCTTTGGGGGCACTGCTGCATGTCAGCTTTCTCTCTGGTTTTCTTTTTCAAATTCACCTGGGTAAAACATTAACCAATATTTTTGAAATATGTGCACTATATACCGAGGGCCAGTGACGATAGGACTGTTAAACGAACACACTACATACTGACGGCCAGTGACGATAGGACTGTTACATGGATACACTATATACCATTGGCTATGGCCAATGGTGATAGGACTATTAAATGAACACAGCCAGATCCACCCCTCTCACCCTCCTAGGGCTCTCCAAGGCTGGCCACAGGCCTGGAAACCTGCGTCTTTAAAACTCTTCAGGTGATTCTGACATTCACACAGGTTGGGAACCCATCTATGATGTGATGAGTTTAGAAGCGAGACATGCTGAAATACATCCTAGTCACTCCCTCTTGCACTCATAAAGCATGGCTCCCAAGGTGCACAGCACACCACCTTCAGGCCCCGGAGCACGCTCTGAAGGCAGCAGAGGCAGCGGCAGCAGGCCTGTATCTTAGGATTCACCAAGTACAACTCCCCCTGGAAAATGGGCCCTCCCATGCCCAGACCTTCCCTCTCCTCCACCTCCTCCTGAGTGGCGATTACTGCACCAGGCCTTCCAGACCCTTCTTGACCCCCGTTGGAGGTGATGGTTTGGGACACCAGTGAGACCTCCTGCCCTAGCCTGCTTTGGATTCAGTCCTGTTTTGGGATCTCTGTTCTAACCTCCACCTATTTCCTCACCACGAGCAGTAAAACACAAAGAGGAATCCACCACCTGGAACACACTGGGTCCCAGAAAGTCCCTCAGGAAAACAGCTGCTGCTGGGAGGACTGGAAACTGCGCTTCGCTACCCATCCCCAGACCCCGCACAGACCCTCCTGGTGACCTCTGCAGTAGAGAGGGGTTCCAGCAAATGCACAGAGCATGAGCCAGAGGAGGCCAGGGACGAATAGGGTCCTGCGGTTTTGTTTCGATTTTTTCAATCGCATGGTAAGCCTTCCATTTGGAGTCAATTCAGAATTCTCAAAAGGACATGGGTCTATAGACTTAGGAAAGGCCCCGGAGACCCCCCTGTAAACTCACCTGCCATTCCGGGCCACACTGGCCCCGAGGCGCTGCAGGCTGGGGATCTGGGTGCTGGAGAGGCGCCTCCCTCCCCAGAGCTCTCCAAGGCCCAGCGGAGTCGCGCAAGCTCAGGAGGCCTTCGCGGGAGCGAGGGTTCTTGTGGGAATGGGGGAATGGAACGCGCTCACACATCAGGAGCCCTGGTCCTGGAGGCTGAGTGACGGACTCCGTGCACCCACAGTCTAAAGCAAGCGGTTAGACAGCCCTGGGCAGTGGAACCTCGCAGTCCTTTAGCGGTCCCCACGCCACTTCCCTGTCAGGGTGAGCCGAGGCCTCAGGTTTTCTTCTTCTTGAACCTAGGCTGCCTGTGACTGAAAGGTTCTCCCTGGGGCCTGAAAGCTGAAGGGAACGAAGAACTCCTCCCTCCTCGGGTCCCGAGGGGCAAGACCACTCGCGCCAGCAGCGTGGGTCAGCAACATAGCAGGAGCAGGAGGAGGGTCGGCCGGAAGACGCGCACCCCCGAAGACCCGGAGAGAGGCCATCCGGGTACCGCGTAGCAGTTACGTCAGACTGAGACACTTCCTGTTTCCAGGAGACCATAAAACCCCTGCCCCGCCCTCATTTGGTGCTGACGCCATTTTAGGCCTCGAGCCGCCCGCACCTGGGCGCTCGCTGAAACAGCCTGTCGCTCCACACCGCCTCGTGTTGTCTGTCGGCGCTCTCGGAGTTCCAACCAACACGAGAGCCTTGCGGTGACAAGGCCCAGGTCACAGACGGGGTGGCTTAGGATCCAGTTGCAGTTCCCTCTGCCCTTTCCGTCACCCTTTTCTTCCTTTCAAGGATCCAAATTCCACTGAACCTGACCATCTTTTCCTGAGCCCTCGCCTCTCACAGCCCCAGAGAAAGTTCAGGCCAGGAAACAGCTTCCCCCAGCTTTGGGACAAGTTTTTAGGCAGACAAGTTCTGACTGTACCAGATGTCCCAGCAGGACCTGCTAATATGAATCCATTAGCAAATATTTACTAGAAGTTCCTAAGTACATGTCCTTAATTTTGCCAATTAAGTTCCCAACTGCTATGGTAATGGGTACTGTAAAAATCCTAGGGCAATAAAAGCCATTAGATTTATGACAGCTGGGAAAGGCCCGGGGTAGGGGGCTGGGCTGTTCAGGTCAGGAGTCACTCTCACATTTGTTTATTCCAAAGGGCGATGTTTATTTCTGTGTCCAGCCTTGTGCTGGGCGCTGGGGACTGGCAGGGGTAAGATGGGAGGACATTGATGTGAGCCCCGTCCTGCCACAGAAGGAGATCAGAGCAGGAGAGTACCGGGCATTGGAGGCCGTCTGGAGGCAGGGGTCCCCAGTGGGAGGGGAGGGGAAGGGGGCCTGATGGGAGCTTCCCGCCCCCACCCCAGAAGCCTGTCCATCAGGCATAGCAGACGCCGGCTGGGGACCCTGGAAATGTTTCATTTCTGGCAACAAACAAAATGGTGAACTTCTTCACTATACTCATCTTTGCACCAACACAATCTAAAATACAATTTTTAATGTTTTTTGTAGAGTAAGGGCCCAGGAATGTCATCAGGAGGCCCTGGGAAGGGTCCAGGCAAAGGAGGGGTCCCAGTGCTCAGAGAGCTCTGATGCAGCCCAGACCACGGCGCTCCCCCACCCACCCGATGCCTCCTGAGAGACGAGGTGGCTCCAGCAGAAAGAAAAGTGTGAGAGGGACAAAGACTCCCTCAGTGGCTCCCCCCAGGAGGAGGAGCTTCCAGAGCAGGCGGCTAGTTCTGACCTGGGAGAGTGTTGGAGGAGCAGACCCTCCCGCTACTTGCACCCTGGGGTCTCCAGGGCTACCGACCAGCCCCAACAGCGCATCACCCACAAGACTGGTGTGTTTACACAAAGCAGGTAACCCCAGTGCTGAGTGGCCACCAGGGCTGCATGTGGCTGTGTGCAGGACCATCACCCTTGCCCACACAGCAGTTCAGCAGCCTTGGAGGAGGAGCGGCCTTCCCAGGAACCAACAGCTCAGCCACTCCGGGCCAGAGGCTGGAACTGAAGGGGAGGGAATTGTCCACACAGGTACCACTGGGCGTGGGGTCCTCACTCTGTTACACCCAAAGTCAGGCCAACCCCATGAAGGGAGTTTAGACCCAGCTGTGTCAAAGAGCAAGCTCTGGAAGTAATGCCGGTTGCCCTGCAGAAGCATCCGCACCTGAAGCCCCCGCCCCAGGTTGAGGCAATCCATTTGATGAAAGGGACAGGCACCTGCGGAAAGGGCGTGCATGAGCATGGCAGTGGCAGCTGTGGCTGACATCAGAGTCTCTCATCCCACCTCAGTCTCATGCCACCGCCATGGCTTTCTTTCGCCTATGGAATAAAGTCCTCTTGTTTTGTCATGGAGTTGAAAATCAAAGAAAAATTACCCAGGTGCATCTCAATCAACTTAGAGATTTAGTTTGCCAAGGAAAAAGGAACACAAAACCACAGGACCGTCTGTGCTTTTTCCAAAGAGGGTTTGGAGACTTCAGTCTTTAAAGGGGAAATAGCGGGCAGCAGGGGAAGGAGTAAAGAAAAAAAAAGGGGGGGAGGAGGAGATAAAAGAGGCAAGCGGTTGCATTCTTTAGAGGCTTTGATCAGCGTTCACTGAATCCGCATTTTACCTGGGAAAGAAGTGGGTAGAGGAACTGTCAACTGTGCATTTGTCTGGCGCTCAGTGAAACTGCATTTTTACCTAAGATAAAATAAACATAGAAGAAGCAGTCAAAGGTGAGTAGAGGAATGACTCGGGAGTAGAGGAATGACTTCTCGTTCCCCCTTTGGCCCTACTGAGCAGATAAGCTGTTAACTTACACTGTCAGGGTGAAACTCAACAGAAGTCTGTTTTAGGATAAAAATCTTGGGGCCTGAAAGGAACTTGCTTGTGAGGAGCCCCCATGGGGAGGTAGGCGGCCTCCATCTTTGCAGCTATTTAGGAACAAACTGGGAGGCAGTTTTGCATGATTTGGTTCCTAAGCTTGACTGTTTCCTTTGGCATAGTGAGTCTGGGGTCCTGAGATTCTTATTTTCCTTTCACAGGGTTCACATTCTCACGCCAAATTATCTTCCCTACCTAATAAACTTCACCTTGTTTTCTTCCTTCAACCATTAAGCTACCTACAGTTCCCAAACATTGGATCTTCACTTACAGTCTACAATTCCATATGCATCTTTGTTGATGTAGTGAATCGAATGGTGGCCCCGAAGAGATATGTCCACATCCTAAACCCAGAACCCATGAATATGACATTATTTGGAAATAGGGTCTTTGTAGATGACATTAAGGATCTCAAGATGGAGTCATCTCAGATTACTTGGGTGGCCCTCAATCCAATGACAAGTGTTCTTTTAAGAGACAGAAGAGAAGACACAGTGGAGAGGGCCATGTGAAGACGGAAGCGGAGGTTGCACTTATCCTGCCAGAGCCAAGAAGCGCTAGGATCTCTGGCTGCAGGAAGTGGGAAAGGACCCTCCCCTGGGCCTCCAGAAGGAGGACAGCCCTGCAGACACCTTGACTTCAGACTTCTGGCTTGCAGAGCTGTGAGAGAATAAATTGCCATTATTTTAAACCACCCAATTTGTGATACTTTGTTATGGCAGCCCCAGGAAACAAATACAGTTGACAAACATACGGCGTGGCTAGGGGCGAAGCTATACCCGTTATTATATTTCTGCCACGACAAGCACATCTGGGGGGAGAAATACACATAAGAAAAAAGAATGTGAAAAATTGCTTCCACTGACCCACTAGGGGAAACATGAGCGACTCCTTGCCAACCCTAGAGCAAGTCAGGGGAAAGGAAGGAGGACTGCTAAAAGCAAGAGATTCAAAAGCTCACAGTCTCTGGGGGTAACATTTCAGAGCCTCTTTCTGCAACCCACAGGCTGAACATTCAGAATTGCTTGTTCCAAGAAAGGATTTTCATAGTCTTGGGGTGGTGCTTTTATAACAGCTATGGAATTGCAGAACAACATGCATTTTTAAATAACCTGAAATCACTGGGCCTGGTTTTGTGGAATCCTCTACAAGCTGCCAGTGAAGAGGGGCTGGGTCCAGGTGACTGGCCTCTGTACTCTGGGTTTGGACCCCTGATGGCTCTGCACTGGCCATCCCCACAGGCCACAGACCATGCGGCCTACGGGACATGTGAGAACACTCAGACAGGTGCCCTGAGCTAAGCAATCCTCTCTGTGAAACACACACAGAGTCTTCTGAGGTTCCTGTCAGTTTCAGGCTGTATTGCTTTGGGGATTTTTTTCAGAGCAACAAATTTGTATTTTCTAAAGACATGAATAATTTCAAATAAAAGCAATGATGAAATATACATGAACATTACCATGCATGGTTTTTTAGTTGGAAAAATGTCCTTATAGTTACAAGAGCTATTTCACAGTGTTGTATTGCTGAGAGCTATTTGATTAGGTTATAATACAAGAGAAAAAACATTTACAGAAAGCTCAAATCCAGTAACCTCATCAGGATCAGGAAACAGCATTGTACTAACCAACGAGGAAATGAGAGAGCTGGACCCTGGACACAAAATGAGGAATCGGTATCCCTGCATCAAAATCACTGCCTGAACCATGCACCAAAGCTCAAGCCTGGCTGAAGGATATTGTGCTTCCCAGGAGGATACCTGGCCCCTGCTTCATAGGGGACATCTCTGAGGTCCTTATAGACTCATCCATGTCTCTGTTGCAGCCATGCCACAGTTCAACCCCTCACTCTGCCCTGACTGCTCCCATGTCCCTCACAGGCATCGTTCCCGAGCCTTCTCAATAAATGCCCTGTGCAGATCTTCATCTTAGAGTCCTCTTCCCAGGAATCAGGCCTGTTCTGGATGAATAACCCCCCAATTCCCATTTCAGGGATTCAGTTTCCTCCTCAGTCTTCCTTGAGATTCTGAACCCTCCCTCCTTAAAGTTGTTTTCAGATTGTGCTATTATTTCCATTTCCTTGGGTGTGCCTTTTCCCACGTGTACTGTCTACCAATTGATTCTCGGGGCTGTAAGTGTCTTGTGATTTGCAATTTTTGTTTGCAATGTCTCACATGGACATTGCTCCTCTCACCTGACTCTGCAGTTGCCTCGGCCTGGCCCCACAGGTTGCATGGTTAACAGCAGCTCCTCCAATAAGCACTGGAGGCTTGGAAAGTCTTGCTGGTCACTCACTCTGGTCCCCAGTCCCTTGAACCCACTGTTTCAGCCTCTGCTCACCTCCATGGGCCTTCTCACTCCTGGGCCTGCAGTTTGCCCTTGCTTTTGAATATGGTTATTTCTTCTTTTGTAAAACAGTTTACTTATAACCTGTGTTAGGAGCAGAGGGGAGAGGATGACTCCTGGCTCCATTCCCTCATCTGGGCTTAGAAGTCCAGCCCAGTCTTCAATAGACAGATCTTCATGTTAAAAGCTTCACCGGCATTGAGAGTCAAAATCAGCCTCTTCTAAGTTGTAGTCTTTAGTCTTACCTCTACCCTCCGAAGCCACCCAGAAACATTTCTGCTCCTCCTCCACGTGAAGTCCTTCCAACAGGTGATAACTGATGATGTTTCCCATGCCTTTACCGGACGAAGCATCCCCATTCTGCCTAAAGCATGGTTCTAAAACCTTTCATCCACTTGGAGATCTTTCTCTGGATGCATTTCCATTTGTCAATTAATGTTTAATTCTCTTACTGTAATTTTCTTAATTTTCAATACAAGTATTTCCTTCTCTACTGAAAAGTCTATGCAGACTCTCAATTTCATTGCCAGAATATTTCCATGTGCAAAGAGCCGTGCACCCCCAGCCCAGAAACCCCACACACACACACAACATCCCCAAGAGACAGCCCACCTGCCCTAATTGGGGCTATCCCAGAGATGGGACGTGCTGACTTCCCAGCCAGGTCTCAGGCCACTGGGCAGACGCTGAACATGTTGGTTTTTGCTTTCATTGAACAGAAATCTTCTTCCCATCTAAAGATGAACGTACAAGAACATCTGTTAGGACATTCCTTCTCATTGAAAAGTTGGGGCAGGAGAGGGGTGGGGGGCAGGCACCTAACACCCAAGTAACGGGATGATTCAACATAGCGAGGTGGATCACGCCATGGCAAGAACACATCCATAAATGCTGACAATGTCTCTCTAGTGACACAAACATGTCCACTACATGCTGCTGCCATATGTGTGTGTGTGTGTGAGATTGTGTGTGTGTGAGATGGTGGGGGTGAGAGTGTGTGTGTGTGTGTCTGTGAGTGTGTGTGACATAGTGTGTGGGGGTGAGAGTGTGTGTGTGAGAGTGTGTCTAAGTGTGAGTGTGTGAGATAGTGTGGGGGGGGGGTGTGTGTGGTGTGAGATTTTGTGTGTGTGAGATTGTGTATGAGTGAAATTGTGTGGGGGTGTGGTGTGTGGTGTGTGGTGTGTGTGATTGTGTGTGTATGTGTGAGATTGTGTGGGGGTGTGGTGTGTGTGGTGTATGAGATTGGTGTGTGTGACGTGTGAGTGTGAGTGTGTGTGTGTGAGATTGTGGGGGTGTGTGTGAGTGCGTGTGGTGTGTGAGATAGTGTGAGAGTGTATGAGATTGGGTGTGTGAGTGTGTGTATGAGTGTGTGTGTGAGAAGTGTGGGTGTGTGGTGTGAGAGTGTGTGAGATTGTGTGTGATTGGGTGTGTGTGAATGTGTGTGGTGTCAGTGTGTTAGTGTGTGTATGGGAGTGTGTGAGTGTGTTTGTGTGTGAGATAGTGTGTGAGAGTGTATGTGTGGGTGTGTGAAAGTATGAGTGAGAATGAGTGTATGTGTGTGTGAGTGTGTGCGTATGAATGTGTGAGTGTGTGCATGAGTGTGTGAGTGCATGTGTGCAAGTGTGTGTTAGTGTGTGAGAGTGTGTGTGTGGGGGGGGACAGGTAGTATAATGAGCACTGAGTGGCTTCAGTGACTGTAAACATGAAAGCAAGCATTTTATACGTATATGTTTGTATTTGTAAATACATAGGAAAAAAGATCTCGAGTCTCGATTCCAGATGAAGCCTGCCCAGGGCTGGAGTGGCTTTTTCCCTGCAGAAGACCAGAGAGGAAGGACAGAGTGTGCAGCTTTCAGTTCATTTTACACATAATTACCTCTGTATTGTCTGAACTTCAATGAGCATGCATTACTTTTGTAATTTATAAAGAAAAAGGAAAACATATTCCCCAAGGCCACATGCCGATGAATAACAGTTCTAATAGCACGGTGTCTGCCATCTGCAGACCTGAGCTGAGGGCACCACGTGCCGGTGCCTGCTGCCCATCCCACAGCGCACCCCACAGCAGGAACCACCGTCCCCTTCAGCAGACAGAAAGGCAGAAGCACAGAAAGGCCAAGTGTTTTACCCAGGCCACACAGCACAAGGCAGGCAGGGCCAGGACTGGCATCCCGGGAATCCAACCAGGAGCCCATATGCCCGACCTCTGCTCTGTGTGACCGTGTGACCGCAGGACTCCCTGCCTGCCAAGGTCCTCTTCAACCTGAGCTTGAGCAGACAGCTTTTAACGGATGCACGAGAGGCCTGGAGCGTCCAGCACAGCGGCCTCCTCCTTCAAGGGGCACCCACACGCCCAGCTCCCACGTGGGCCTTGAGGGCCCCAGTGACTCAGCCTCACTCATCTGTGCTCACGGAACTCAGCACAGTGCCCCACAGCAAACACATGATAAACCCACATTCTGTAATAGAATGTTCTAAGATTAATTCCACAAATACGTTGATATACATTCTGTATGAAGCTCAGCATTTGAATATCCTGCTGTTCTTGAATATGCACCTTGGTTGTATGACTTTGATCAACATTCTCAGATCCTTTACTTCTCAGTTGTCTCCCAAACATGACGAAGAGCACCTCCCAAGGTTGTCCTGAGGAGTAAATGAGAATTAAACCTACAGGAGGCCGTCGCCCACGGAAGTGTTTCAATAGCCAGCATAGGGTTCAATGCTGTCGTTCAGTTGGCGCCTTATTGCTGAGGAAGAGATGGGGGCGGCAGGTGTTGGGACCTCATGAAACGTCACTGCCATTTAGTGACATGAACCTGAAGCCCCACTCCCCCGTAGCAGACCCCAGGCCTCACAGAGAGCGGAGCTAAGCGACGTTCCCCGTCTCTCATGACTGTGGCCCCAGCATGCTAAGGCCAGGCATGTTACATCTGACAGTTCCTCTCGTCTTAAACATCGCCACAATAGCCCGCCTACCCTGATGTAACGCAGACACCAGCCTCCGACGAGGACCCCCCTGGGCAGAATGGAGAACCCTGGCCCCTCCCTGCAGGAAGGCGTAGGGAGGACCCCACCCTGGCCTCAGCAGGTGGTCCTTCCACCCGCTCCTTTCATAACCGCCTCTCCAAGCACATCCCAGCCCAGGCGCCTTCTCAGGTGAACACAAATGCTGCTCTGCACCGAAGATTCCTGACGTGTGTATAGACGCCGCATCCGGCTTGCTGAGTTAATTATCAGAATGAGAACAATGGAGCAGACAAAATGAACTAACGCCACTCACCATGGCAGCGGCAAGAGGAAAATAGAGGCCCTCGAAGTTCTGAATCAGACTCAAGTGAACCTGTTTATCAGTGTCTAATTAAATACCCCCATTCCTTTGGAAAATAAATTTCCATAATTCTTTCCTCAATTAGACCAATAAACTGTTACTTAAGTGTCTTTCTCTTTACAGTTTTTCTAACTCCTCACTCTCAGCTCTTAAAGCCACATGCCCACATTCAGAAGCTTGGTGAGGCAGGGACGGAGATTTTGAATTCTCTCTCTGTCCTCTGTCCTCTTCCATCCTCCCCATTCGGGTCTCCTCCCCACTCTTTCTTCCCTCTCCTAAGTCCATCCCTGGCTGGGCCCGGCTGAGGGGCTCCACAGGCCCTGGTGGAAGAAGGCCAGTGCAAGACCCAGCTCCTCCACGGACCAGCAGGGTGGCCAGGGACCACTGACCGGCGGAGCATGAGTCCCCACCAGGAAAGAGGGAGAATGCACTCAGGCTGCCGTGAGAACCCAGGGAGACCTCAGGTAAGAAGCACCTAGAGTCCACTGCAAACCAAACTCATGTTACAAACACCCACATTGTTCTTGGGACCAGCACGATGCTCTGCCTCACCCACTCCCCCCATCACCCTCAGGGAGGCCTGTGCTGTAAGGGAAAGCCATCAGCACCTGGGGCTCAGATCAGCAGACCTGGGCTCTAATCCCTGCTACATGCCATCGTACCTGTCCTTACCTCTCTGAATCTTCATTTCCTGTCTGCAAACCGGGAGTCCTAGTCACCCTCCGTTTTGCTGTGACACTAAAGTGCACACGAACTGCTAGCTTGGGTCCCAGAACACCCAGGCCGTGAAATGGCCCCAGACTAAATCAGTGCACCCTGAAAAGCAGACACGTGTCGCACCTGAGTGCCCGGAGGAGGCAGGGTCAGCACCTGGATTTGTCTGCTGGAAGCATCCAGACCCTCAGCTGTTGACAAAGAAAGGCCAAGCAACCCATATTTGATGAGGAGACTCTAATTGCTAACTTTGATGCATCTTTCCAATATCCTAAAACCCCTAATGAAGATGTGCACAAGATCAACAGATGCAATTAGAAAGAGAGGCTTTGGTTTCATTCTATACAGAATCAGCTTTATTGTACTTATTTATAAAACCTTCGCATTTTCAAAGTCAAGGAACACAGAAAGGGAAACACGGCATGCCAGAGAACATCACACGCAATTATCTTTGCAGGAAAATGAGGACAAACGCATGAGATAAATCTCATTGCACACTGAGTAGTGAACCTCCACAAGAAACAGAAAAATATCCCAAGTTTGTGTTCACAACAAGTGCCCTTGTATGCTGCCTTCATAAACACTTTGTGTTTATGACACAGAATTTTATCAGGGTGCCAGCAGCAAGGCAGGGGCCCAGGCCCAGGCCCAGGGGAAGTCCTCGGGGAACCTGAGGCAGGGGCATGGTCTGTGAGACCAGGGCCATCAGCTGTGAAGATGCCTGGCTACAGGCATGCTGGTCCCTGTCACCCTCCCCAGCACTGTCAGGGCTGGCAAGGGCCTGGGGTAGGCAGAGCCTAAGAACGCCCATCCTGGCAGCCAGGGCCGGCGGGATCGGGCGGGGGCGGGCGGGGGCGGGCGGGGGCGGGCGGGCAGTGTAGAGAAGGTGGGCAGGGATGGACGGAGGGCAACCAGGGCTGGTGAGAATGGACAGGGGCAGGTGGAGGCGGGAGGGGCAGGTGGAGGCGGGAGGGGCAGGTGGAGGCGGGAGGGGCAGGTGGAGGCGGGAGGGGCAGGCGGGCCTTTCTTGAGCCGATCTTCTGGAGCTTAAAGAAAAAAAAACTGCATTCATCTGCTGAATATTTTTGTGCAATTCATACAATAAGAGCATTAAAAATAACCAGTGGGAATTATTTTGACTTTCAAGAAGCCCTCTTAAAAGGCGACTGAGATGAGCGCGTCCTCGTGGGAGGTTAACAGTAAGATCTTCCATGCATTAAACCCTGATTAAGCATTAGGAATGAATGGTAATTCTCAGTTCTCTATTGGAAACAGGTTAACTGTGCAGAGTTTGAAGAAATCAGAGGTGGTCAGGTGTTTCTTCCCTGCAATCATTAGCAACCGGCCACAGCCACCAGCAGCCTGCGACAGTTTGTCAGTGATGACAAAACAGAGTGGCAGCGGCTTCCCAAGGGACCTCAGGGCACTGCACAGCAGCAAGAGGACACCTGGCACCACCGCACCGTGTGTGCTGTGCGGGCACCGTGCGGGCTGTGAGGGCACCGTGCGGGCTGTGTGTGCTGTGCAGGCACCGTGCGGGCTGTGTGGGCACCATGTGTGCTGTGTGTGCTGTGTGGGCACTGTGCGGGCTGTGTGGGCACCGTGCTGTGTGTGCTGTGCGGGCACCGTGCGGGCTGTGAGGGCACCGTGTGTGCTGTGTGTGCTGTGTGGGCACCGTGCGGGCTGTGAGGGCACCGTGTGGGCTGTGCGGGCACCGTGTGTGCTGTGTGGGCTGTGCGGGCACCGTGTGTGCTGTGTGTGCTGTGCGGGCACCGTGTGTGCTGTGCAGGCTGTGAGGGTAAAGGATGAGGGCAATTTCATGTTAAGTGTATTTTACCACCACTTAACTGATTTTTGAAAAAAAAAAAAGATTTGGGGCCGGGCGCGGTGGCTCTCTTAGCACTTCGGGAGGCCGAGGTGGGGGGACTGCCTGAGCTCAGGAGTTCCAGACCAGCCTGGGCAACACAGTGAAACCCCGTCTCTAATAAAAATACAAAAATTAGCCGGGCGTGGTGGCGGGTGCCTGTAATCCCAGCTACTTGAGAGGCTGAGGCAGGAGAATCACTTGAACCCGGGAGGCAGAGGTTGCAGTGAGCCGAGATTGCGCCACTGCCCTCCTGCCTGGGCAACAGAACAAGACTCTGGCTCAAAAACAAAACAAAACAAAACAAAAAAGACTTGGTTTTATTGCTGGGTTTGGCGGTTTTTTTGAGACAGGGTCTCACTGTGTCTCCCAGGCTGGAGTGCAGTGGTGCAATCACAGCTCACTGCAGCCCCAACCTCCCAGACTCAAGCCATCCTCCCACCTCAGCCTCCTGAGGAGCTGGGACCACACCCAGCTAATTTTTGTTTGTTTTTTGTAGAGACGGGATCTCGTTATGTTGTCCAGACTGCTCTCAAACTCCTGGGCTCAAGTGATTCACTCACCTTGGCCTCCCAAAGTGCTGGGATTACAGTCATGAGCAATTACACCCAGCTTAAAAAGATCTGGAAGCAGCCACAGTCAAGCTGAGCCTCACTATCTCCCTTCACCTCGCCAGTTCCCCTGTCATCTCCTCAAAATCACCCTCACCTCCCCAGATCTTCCCAAACCTCCTAAGATCCCCCCTCACCTCCTCAGATCCCTCCTCACCTCCTCAGATCCACCCTCTCCTCCTCAAATTCACCCTCACCTCCCCAGATCCCCCCTCACCTCCTCAGATCCCCCCTCACCTCCTCAGATCCCCCCTCACCTCCTCAGATACCCCCTCACCCCCTCAGATCCACCCTCTCCTCCTCAAATTCACCCTCACCTCCCCAGATCCCCCCTCACCTCCTCAGATCCCCCCCATCTCCTCAGATCCACCCTCTCCTCCTCAAATTCACCCTCACCTCCCCAGATCTTCCCAAACCTCCTAAGATCCCCCCTCACCTCCTCAGATCCCCCTCACCTCCTCAGATTCCCCCTCACCTCCTAAGATTTCTCCTCACCTCCTCAGATCCCCCCTCAGCTCCCCTGATCTCTCCTCACGTCCTAAGATCCCTCCTAACCTCCTCAGATCTTTCCTGACCTCCTCAGATCTCTCCTCACCTCCCCACATCCCCCCTCAGCTCCCCAGATCTCCCCTCACTTCCTCAGATCCCTCCTCACCTCCTCAGGTCCCTCCTCACCTCCATGTCCCCCTCTTCCCCAACTAGGTGACCCACTGGGCCTGTCTTACCCAGGACTTTCCTGGCTTGAGGACGAACATTCCCATGTCTCAGGCACTTCCTCGGTCTCGGCACACTGGGACAGTGGGTCCCTCTATTCACTGGGTCTTTTTCCTCAGAACTGGTCATCACCCCATGGACTCCTCTCCATGTGTCCCCCAGGCCTGAGGCAGCAACCCGCTGCAGTCCGTATCACAGCCACTGCCCTTGGCTCACATTCGGCCTCCCTCTGGAGGCTCTGCCCTCCTCTCCCCCTGGTATTGGTGTTCCCAGATAAGAAAAGACAACCTGAGTCTCCCCAGCCATGGAGGCCCTGCCTCCTTCCCTCCGGGTACTCACCATGTGCCCCGTCCACTGACCAGAGCCATCTCATGAAGGACCTTGAGGCCTCCGCGGACATCCATGGGGCTGCTATGCAAACTCCCAGCTCAGCCCAGGGGCTCCCCAAGGTTCTGTCCTGGGCCAGGCCCCCCTGTTCTCTAAGCCCAGGCTAGGGGTGTAAGCCAAGCGGGACCTCTCCCCTCCTGCAGAACAGGCCTCCTCAGACAGTGGGTTCCAGCTGGAAAACTGGCTCAGGCCCAGAAACGTGGCCCACGACTGTGACCGTGTCCTGCTGGTGACCCCCAGCCTCCTCATTTCTCGTGGCCATAGAGACTGAGCAATGCCCAGCGGGCGGCCCGCTCTCTCCTGCGGCCACATGTCCCCCTTTCAAATCTCCCCACAGTGCCCCCCGGGTCAGGGCCTCGCTGCCACCCATTGCAAAACCGTGTCCTTTCTCTGTGTACCTATCACAGTGACATCCTGCCCCGCCCACCCCAAATGGTGAGCCCTGCTCTATGATGGCACTGCTTTGGCCTGCAGAAGAGGCCAGCGCTGGGCTCCCCAGGGGCGCTGGAGCCCTCACCAGCAGGCTCCCCGCAGAGCATACACGTGACCTCCTGTGGACATCCATGTCTCTGAGCCTCTGGCCCCCTCTTCTCTGGACCCTCTGGCGCTTCTTCCCTCAGCCAGGCCATCGCCCCTGAGCCTGCAGGAGCCTTCCGAGCACTGGGGCCTGCCAGGGCATGAACCTCATACCCCGAAGCTCCCATGGCAACAGATTCTCCTCTCCCACCTTCCTATATGCCACCCCCAAGTTCCAGTCCCATGTGGCCTCTCCCAGCTCCTGGCAGCACAAGCTGGCTGGTCCTGCAGTGCCCACAGGGTACCGGGCCCCTGGGGGCTCAGGAGGGGAGGGGAGGCCAAACTCTGAGGGAGGCTGCGCTGCCCTGCAGGCTGCGCGTCCACGTGTGGTTTTCAAGCAAGGGGAGTGCTAGCTTTAAATGGAGGGTGGGGACAGAGAATCAGAGGATTCAAAAGTTGTCCCCATGCCGTAGCTGGGGGTCCTCTTGTTTCCCCTGACCTCGCAACTGTGCGCCTGTCTGGGCTAAGAACTCGGGCTCACCCAGCGCTCTGCATAATCTGAGGCTTGGGCCAGGCCTCACCCTTGTTGCCCTCACTGCTTGGGGTCCCTCCGGTGCTCCAGGAGCCCCTGTGGCTCAGTGCTCATGCTCACCACCCTCCACCTTCACCGTCCTTCCCCCGAGTGTCACCGGCCCAGGAGCTGTCGCTCCACTTTCCTATTATTGCTGCATCCCGACACCAGTGAGAGCCTCCATTCTGCATTAAGGGCAACTGAAGGCAGAAATCTGCTGTCATGGGGTGAAGGGATCTACAGGGAGTGTAAGTACATGAGTTTGCATCTCAGCCAGCCATCCTGAGATACACAAATACCTTCAAATCCAAACTCTCTAGGTATAAAGCAAGTAAAATGTGATCTCAGCAGAGCGTTCCTGCTTTCCGCCTTCAGGGACTCCTTCTAAGTCCCTCTGGACATGGGTGGGATTTTTATAAAGCTCTAAAGTCTCCCTTCTAAGTGAAGTTGAGGCTAAAAACCAGTGCCTTTTACAAGCAAAGCTTTAAGACCTGAAACCACCATCTGCTTTTTTTTTTTTTTTTTTTTTTTCCTGAGACGGAGTCTCCCTCTGTCTCCCAGGCTAAAGTGCAATGGCACAATCTCGGCTCACTGCAATCTCTGCCTCCCGGGTTCAAGGGATTCTCCTGCCTCAGCCTCCTGAGGAGCTGGGATTATAGACACTTGCTACCACGCCCAGCTAATTTTTGTATTTTTAGTAGAAACAGGATTTCGCCACATTGGCCAGGCTGTTCTCAAACTCCTGACCTCAGGTGATCCACCCGCCTCGGCCTCCCAAAGTGCTGGGATTACAGGTGTGAGCCACCGCACCCAGCCCACCATCTGCTTTTGATACAGTCTTTCAGGAGAAGGAGGGCCTTCAGTGGTGAGAGGAAGGGGCCGGCCAGGGTCACCTGGAGACCGTGCAGTCACACTCATCCCAGAACCTGGTCCTGGGGCAGCAGTGCCTGGTTGCAGCCTGGGCTTCTAGGAACTCATGATTAAAAGCTAAAGGATGTTTTAGGAGTGATAAGATTTTTATATGTATGTTTAAGAAAAGAGCATCATGGAATGTGTCCCTCTAGTAAAAGGCTATTTCCATTAACTTGCCCCATGCTTCTCATGCCTACCCGACTCTGTAATGCACAGTGCACTTACAAGTAATGAAACCAAATTGCTTCCTCAACGTTCTGCTACTCAGACATTTCACTGAGACTTAGTGGGCTTTTTACTGGAATATCATCTCACTGAGCACCTCTTTAGCAAGCAAGGCGTTGCTACAATAAATCCCGGTGCGCTGTGAAACCTCTAGATGACATTTTCTTTCCGTATCTGTAGCTTAAGGATGAAACAGAATACATTTCTCAAAGAGATCCAAGAGCTCCTGAGGGAAAAAAAAATTCTGCTGGTCAAAAATTTGGTGTCTTTTTTACAACTTGTATTTTTAGCTGTATTTGAAATCAGTTACTCACATTTTCGCACAGGTAGCCAAACACGTTCTCAGCAAAATTCTTTTTTTTTTTTTTTTTTCCCAGACAGAGTCTTGCTCTGTCGCCCAGGCTGGAGTGCAGTAGCGTGATCTCGGCTCACTGCAACCTCCACCTCCTGGGTTCAAGCGATTCTCCTACCTCAGCCTCCCAAGTAGCTGGGATTACAGGCGCATGCCACCTCACCTGGCTAATTTTTGTACTTTAGTAGAGACAGTTTTTCACTATGTTGACGAGGCTGGTCTCGAACTCCTGACCTCAGGTGATCTGCCCACCTCAACCTTCCAAAGTGCTGGGATTACAGGTGTGAGCGACCACGCCCAACCTGCAACAAAATTCTTAATGAGCAACTTGTCACTATGTTGTTGACTTTTGTGCTTAGGGGGAAGGATATGCCACTACACTTGGATTTAAAGGACAGCCACAGAATCTGGCACCTTGGCCAGGTGATGCTCCCCCCCAGTTGATGCTCCTCCACCAGGTGATGCTTCCCCACCAGGTGATGCTCCCCCACAAGTGATGCTCCCCCCAGGTGATGCTCCTCCACCAGGTGATGCTCCCCCCCAGGCGATGCTCCCCCCCAGGTGATGCTCCCCCACAAGTGATGCTCCCCCCCAGGTGATGCTCCCCCCCAGGTGATGCTCCCCCCCCAGGTGATGCTCCCCCCCAGGCGATGCTCCCCCCAAGGTTATGCTACCCCCCAGGCGATGCTCCCCCACAAGTGATGCTCCCCCCAGGTGATGCTCCTCCACCAGGTGATGCTCCCCCCCAGGCGATGCTCCCCCCAAGGTTATGCTACCCCCCAGGTGATGCTCCCCCACAAGTGATGCTCCCCCCAAGTGATGCTCCCCCACCAGGTGATGCTCCCCCCCAGGCGATGCTCCCCCCAAGGTTATGCTACCCCCCAGGTGATGCTCCCCCACCACATGATGCTCCCCCACCAGGTGAGGCTCCCCTAGCAGGTGCTGCTCCCCCCAGGTGCTGCTCCCCACTAGGCCATGCTCCCTACCAGGTGATGCTCCCCCCAGGTGCTGCTCCCCACTAGGCCATGCTCCCTACCAGGTGATGCTCCCCCCAAGGTTATGCTCCCCCCCCAGGTGATGCTCCCCGCCAGGTGATGCTCCCCCCAAGGTTATGCTCCCCTCCCAAGTGATTCACCCCCCCAAGGTCATGCTCCCTCCCCAGGTGATGCTCCCCCCAAGGTCATGCTCCCCCGCCAGGTTATGCTCCCCCCCAGGTGATGTTCCTCCACCAGGTGATGCTCCTCCACTACATGATACTCCCCTGCCAGGTGCTGCTCCCCCCTCAGATGATGCTCCCTCACCAGCCAATGTTCCTCCACCGGGCGATGCTCCTCCACCAGGTGATGCCCCTACCAGGCCATGCTCCTCTGTGGCTTCTACTCTGCAGAATACCTACTCAATTGAGCTGGAAAATCATTCCCCGTTATGGTTGTCAGTGTTGACGCTGGTAGCAGCATCATCCCCCTTCAACAGAATAATTTTTACGTCAAGGGACTCAGCCACAAGCAGTAGAAGAAATCAGCTCCCAGTTTGTATCCTAATAAAGGAAAGATTCTCTCTGCTCACACTGCGATGAGGCCCTGCCTAGAGAAGAATGCTCCATCAAACCCCTGATTCCCGCTGACCCAGAGGATTTGGGGCAGACAGGGAATATGGGGTACAGGGAATACCCCCTCCACCTGGAGAGGGGCAGCCTGTCAGACCTGACTGGTGCTCAGCCCACACTGTACTGCTGCTACCAGGAGAGCAGGGATGCCCCGCAGGTCATGGGGTGGCAGGGGCCAGGCTGGATGCCCACCACGGGCCGTGGCAGGCGAGCTCAGGCCTTGGTGCCACACTGTGGCCTGCTGTGTCCATGGATGCCCACAGGATCCTGTAGTGGAGGACAGCCATTCCAGAGCAGAGGCTGCACAAACATGCTCCCTGCAACCTTCTGCAGCTGAGGTGCTGTGTGAGCATCCTTGGAGTCTCTCCTAGGCAGCCGGGACAGTCCACGCTCTGTTGGAGGCTGGAGACTCCAAGCTTAGAGCTCCTGCCCTGGCGCCCATCTGGGCTCAGATCCTGGCTCTCCACAAGATGTCCTGGGGGTCACCAGCAGGATACTGGAAATGAGCTTGCGTCTTCCCACATACATGCATGCACACATGCACAAACACATACACATGTATAAACACACTTGTGCACGTGTCCATGCGCATGCACACACATCCATGCACCCACGAGTTTACACACCCATGCACATGCATGGGCACCCACACACACACACACATGCACACCAGTGCCGGTCATCTCCCCGCAGCTTAACTGTGCTGGTAAGGTGAGTGGACACCAGTCTTCTCTCCCTGCAGCCTGACACTTCCACAATGCACCTTTGCAGCCCCCATGAAGAGGTGAAGCCTCTCCCAACCCCTGGACACTGGGCATGGCACTAGCTCCAGTCTGGGCTCCAGGGGCTCACACACATCTACTTGCCATCTTGGACTCTGTGAGCTCCCTGAGGACAAGCCCAGGCCAGCTGTGGGGAGGATGAGAGGCCCAGTGGAGCCCAGCTGAGCTGTCAATCCGGGGTTGTCCCAGAGCAGCCAGCCCCCAGCCAACCCCACGTGTGTGAGCGCCCCGCCAAGCAGAGTCCACAAGCCCCAGCTGGCAACAGACAGGAGCAGAGAACTGGGGTGGGGGTTCTGACTGTTGTTACTGTGGCAATGGGTGCGTGATACAGTGGGTGGGGACGGTGACTCTCCTATTGACATGAAAGCATAGTGAACGCCCAGCACACCCAGAAAGAAGCGAGTCTTACTAAATGGCCGGGCTGTGCAGGGTGCCTGCCCGCTCCCCTGCTCCAAAAAATAGAATCTGTGCTGCGAGAATCAGGTAAGCCCCACCTGTCCATATGCAGCCTTGTAATAGGAGCCTAACGAAGGCCACAGAGGGCTCCTGAGAAGGCCTGGCCTGATGGGCGATGGGAACCTGGCTCCCTGTCCTGTTCCCATCCTTCGGATCTGATGCAAACAGGACGCAGCTGCCTGTGGGGCTCCTGGCACTGGCCCGCGGCACCCTGGGCCAAAAATGGCTTCGAGGACCACCCCTCGGGTCCAGCCGGCCACCTGGCCTCTTCTGCCAGTCCCACCTATGTCAGTGTCGTGTCACTACGACTGCAGTCCTTGAAGCCTCTGTCCCCAGGCCAGCAGCCACCACCCACATAGCCTGCCTGCACCTGGGTTTCCGGCCGTGCACAGTTCCTCCTGCCGCAGCGGCCCAGGCCAATGTATTTCCAGCAGCATTTCCACTTCCATCACCCCTACCCTGCCCAGGAGCTGAGGGGCTCCCAGTCACTGTGGGGTCAAGGGCTAGCCCCATACTTACTATGGATGGACCTCCATCCACTGCAGGCCCCTGGTGCCAGCTGTGTGGGGTCCCCCGAGTGACCAAGTGACTCGGCATGGATGTTGGACATGCACAAGCAGACGGTGTCTGCAGCCTCCATGGACCCAGCACTGGGGAGCAAGGGGACACCGCAGGAGGGGATCCTGCACCCAGGAGGGAGTGGGGAGGGGGTGCTGAAGCCAAGGAGTGCCACAGAGGAGCCGGTGTGACTCAGGGACCCCAGCAGAGCCCCTCCACAGCCCCATCCCCAGCTCTCCCTGGCCTGGAGGGCACTGCGTTCCCAGCTCACCGCTCCTTCTCGCTCATCTCTGAACCGCCCCCAGGGAGCCAGGCTCCCAGCGCCACTGTCGCTAAGGGCCACGGCTGCCTTTCCATGCCGTGTGTATCTTCACTCCTGCCTGTGTCTAGCCAGCCCCTGAGGCCGAGGGATGTCCTTGTTTCTCCTTCTGTGCCCCCACAATGGCCAGGAGCCAGGGGCCGAGCCTGCCAGACACCTGAGAGATGACAGAGATGGACAAGGCCCAGATCACCCTCCTCACTTGAAATCTGCACCAGGGAAGGATTCAGAACTAAATATTCCATTGGCCTGGAGGTGCCGGCCGGGAGGTCTGGGAGAATTCAGAACCTCCTCCTCCCCACCACCCGTCCTCCTCCCTCTCCCTCCTTCTCTCCTCTCCCTTCCCCTCCCCTCCCCTCCCTCTCTCTCTCTCACTCTCGCTCTTTCTCGCTCTCTAGCAGCATGCCACGTCTGACTCAAAGCCCAGTGGTAACAGTCAACGAAGGCCAAGGCTCAGTGGAAACAAAATCTCTGGGTCAGCCAGTGATCACCCTGCCATTTCTGTCCCTGCTGGTGGCCAGGCCACAGGAGACCCACACACGGCTCGGCCCAAATCAACACCTGGCCACTTTCCAGGGGGTGCCTCGAGGACCCCTGGGGGCTCCTCCATCGTCTGCATGCCCAGTCACCAGCCTGGGACCTCCAGGGGCCTGCAGGGCAGCAGGCATTGGCAGGAGAGGAGGTGAGAGAAGCCACAGGTCCCCATCCTGTCCCCAAGCACAGCCCTGAGCACGCTCAGGAAAGACCAAGGTAGGGAGCAGGGATCTGAGTCATCGAGCACCGTTCCACATGCCAGGGATGCAGGAGGGAGGAAAGGGCAGCCAGACGTCCTAGTAGCATGAAGGGACAGAGAGATAGTGAGGCAGAGATATATATAGACAGAAACAGTGTGATACAGAGACAGAGACACTGAGGCAGAGATATAGACAGACAGAGAGACACAGAAAGAGACTGAGAGAGAGAAAGAGACAGAGACAGAGAGAGGGGCAGCGAGGCTCCTGAGAAACTCTTCCCTTAGTCAGAGGGAGAGCATAGGGGGAAGGCGGGCGGGGGAGGGGGAGGAGTGTGAGGGAGGCAGTGGAAGGGGTGGGCTAGGCAGCATCCAGGCAGGGGTGAGGAGGTCCTGAGACAGCCGGGCAGGGCAAGTGCACCTGCTGTCACTCAGGGGCCACTTCTGCCGCCATGGTGAGGAGTCCTGCGGACCCAGCCTGGGAAGGCCTGGGAAGGCCTGGGAGATGCCACTGCAGGCTACAGGAGGCGTGACCTGCGGTGTGGTTTAAAAAGACCCACCCGCCGACCCGGGAGAGCTGGGTGGGAGGGAAGGTGGCTGTGGGTGAAAGGGCAGGAGGGAGCCTTCGGTGATGGCTGTTCTGCATCTGGCTGTGGGTGCTTGTGGTGGAATTGTCTAGAATTCAACGTGCCCACACACACAGACCAGTGCACAAAAAACTGAAGCCAGAACAAGGCTCGTGGTGTATTGGTGGGATGTCCCGGCTGTGCTACTGCACTCCAATTTTGCAAGATTCTCCTGCTGTGGGGAACAGGGCAGGGTACACAGGGTCTCTCTGTACCATCCCTCGCCATTGCCTGTGAGCCCATAACTCTCTCAAAATGTATTTTAAGCATCCCATCACTGGCACATGGAGAAGAGGATGTAACAGTCTACGTGGATGCCTGGAGATGAGGCAGCTCTGCAGGAGACCAGGACCTGGGCGGGAAGGGCATGTGGAAAAGGGGTCAAGGGTAACACTGGGACCCATGGGGACTGTGGGCAGATGGGCAGAGAGAGTGGGGCTTTGGAGAAGCAGGGACAGGGTGGCTGCCAGGGGCTTTCACAGGCAAGAAGAGAGAGGGAAACAGGTTTCCACCCAGGGTGCCCAGTCCCAGGGCTGTGTCGCCCCAGACTCCAGCTGAATTCCCCCAAAATAGCAAGGTTTTGTGTGGAAATTAACCGAACTTATAACTTTGACAGGTCATTTGAGTGTGGGAACAAGGCTAGTTTGCCAAAATGATTCTTCCCTCTTTAATTAAAATCTTTTATGAACTGCCAAGCTAATACCTTCCCCTAAGACAGACAAGATAATGAGCCCACATCCATCAACCCAGGCCGGCAGCCATCCACAGAGACCGGGGTGGGCTCAGGAGAGGGGAGCCAGCCCCCACAGACACCCCGTGCTCTCGCTTCAGGGACAGCCCCAAACGCAGGCAGGAGTCCCTTCAGGACACACATCAGCCCTGTCAGAAAGTCCCTGCCAGAAACAGCGTGGCTCAGCAAGTGGCCTCCAGCCCAGCACTTTGCAGGTTGCAATGTCCCCCACCACTTCTACTGCCATGCACTCGGAGAGGCCACAGGGCCACCTGAAGGGCAGGGCCCGGTCCCAGTGGGTCCCAACTTGCTCTCTCGGTCACTGAGTAGGGCGGGTTTTAGAGGCCAACAGGAACCACCCCCTAGGCCCCAGGAGCCTCTGTTAGGACCATAGCCATTAGCACAGACAGGGCACCAGGCAGGGACAAAGGCCCAACACAGCCCAATCCAGACCCAGCCCTCCCTGACACAGGGGCAGGCTCTGGTAAGAGACTGTCTACCAGCCTGGTTCACCCCTCAGTGGCGGCCCTAACCCCATCTTTATTTCACTTCATTAGAAACATTTCAAACACAGACAAGCATAGGGACACACACAACAAGTGCCCAAGTGTACACCAGCAGCCTATAACCACACCCCTCCTAACCCCTTATATAATACCTATGAGTCTACACTGACAGAATGATCAAATAGATGAGTAAATGCAGAGAAGGCTGTGTGCAGTGGCTCATGTCTGTAATCCCAGCATTTTGTGAGGCCAAAGTTGGAGGATCAGGAGTTCAAGACCAGCCTGGGCAACATAGCAAAACCCCGTCTGTACAAAAAATACAAAGAAATTAGCCAGGTGTGATGATGGCTGTGGTCCCAGCTACTTGGGAGGCTGAGGTGGGAGGATCGCTTGAGCCCAGAAGGTCGAGGCTGTAATGAGCTGTGTTCGCACCACTGCACTCCAGCCTGGGTGACAGAGAGAGACCCTGTCTCCAAAAGAAAAAAAAATGGAGAAAAGAGATGAATATGCAGAAGTCTCCACGCAGAACCCAGCAATTTATGGGCTCCTCCCCCTCAGGGACACTCATTCAGCGTAGGCTGCACACAGGGACTTCCAACGACACCCTATAGAAGGAGGGAGAAAGCAGAACTGGGGTGGAGACGTGCGAGGTGACCAAGGTCAGCGCCGCAGCCAGAAGGCGTGTCAGCAGCGTGTAGCCTCGATGTGATGGGAGGGGGGCGGCGCCTTGCCTCTGCGGGCTTCCTCCCAAAACACCGCTGCCCCAACCTGACCATGAGAAAACCCCAGTCGAGAAAGAGCCTTCAAAATACTCTCACACCGTCACGATCACCAGAGACAAGGAGAGTCTGAGAAATGCTGCCGCCAAGGAGCGTGAGCAGACGGCGACCCGGTGGGATCCTGGGACAGAAAGGGGACCTCAGCTGTATGGACTCTAGCTAATAGTAACGTGTCACTATTTGTTCGTTCATTAGAACAAATGCACGTCGCCTGTGCAAGATGTTCACGGGGGGAGGCAGCAGGGGTTGTAATAAGAACTCCGGACTAGCTGCTCATTTTTTCTGTAAATGTAGAACTGTTCTAAAAATAAAGCCTATTGGTGTTTTAAAAACCCGAACCTCAACTGTCCCCAAGGTCCCTTGGCTCCCCTCTTCGAGGGGACGCAGAAGGTTCACTAGGGCTAAGGAACAAAAAATTCCTGGGGAGGGCCGACTCTGGGGAAGCGAGGCCAGGCCTGCGACGCCCTGCGGCTCGAGTGCTGGGGCCCAGGCCCGGTGGCTGCAGCGGCCAAGCCGGCCCAGGCTTGGGGAGGCGGGCAAGGCGCCCCAGTGAGCTGGGGCTGGGGCTATGCCAGCTCCGCTCCCTTCTCTGGCCCAGGTCGCAGCTCGGGCAGGACGGGACAAGTGTGTCCCCCGCACAACCGTGCACCCCGGGCCAGGATGCAGCGCCCACCCTGAGGCCGCTCGGACCCCAACCAGACAGACCCCCGGGTCCCCGGGGACGAGGGGGCAGGGCTCCAGGTGTCCAGGGATCCGCCCTGCTTCCCGGCAGCCGCCACTCCCAGCACGGCCGCCCCCAAGCCTCAGGCGCTGGTTTCCCAAAGGTCCCGGCCCCCTCGAGCTTGGAAAGGCTCGGCAGCCGCAGGCAGCGGGGCGGGGCTCTGAGCCGGACCCTGTGGGCCCTGCCCCGGCCACGCAGGCACCGCGGACTCCACTCCGCTCCCGCAGGTAGAGCACGGTGCGTGCAGGCAACGCCCGAGCCGGCCGCAGCACCAGGTGAGCCCCGCACACGTGTGCAGGCATGCGCCCCCGGCTTGGCGCGCCCCCGAGACGTTCCAGCCGCTTCGTCTGCGAAGGAGGCCCGGACAGGCCGGCCGCGCGCCCTGGACCCAGCACACGGCGGGGCGCGCGCTCCGGCACCCGCGGGCTTACTCTTGCGCTCTCCTCGGTCCTCGCACGCCCCCTGGCGCCAGGAGACCGCCCCTGCAGAAGGCGAGGTCGGGCTGAAGCGCGGTGCGCAGCGCCCTCGCGTGGACACGCGCCGCCACCGCCCGCCGCCGAGGTCTGCAGCCGACGTGGCCTACCTGGGACTTGCCGCGCGCTGACCTCGATGGTGCAGCAGCGACCAGGGTACGAGGGCACCATGGACCGTTTTGCATACGTGGAAACTGAGGCTTTCGAGGTCCTGGAGATGGTGCATTGACTCCGCATATGACAGTAGATTCAGTTCGCGCCCCGGCCTTGTCCCTCCAAATTCACACAAGGCCGCAGCGGCAGCAAAGCTCCCAGTTGGCGCGGGGCCCTGGACATCACCTGCCGTCGCTGGCCCCGGGGTGTCCCTGCAGCCCCAACGTCCAGGGCACTCTGGGACCCAGGACAGGGACCCGACCCAGCCAGGCAGGGCTCGTGACCAGCTCCTACCCTGGCGTCTGGTTCCAGGGCTGCTGGTTCCTGCACGCGCCCTCCCCAGTAGCACCACCTGGACCCTGGCACCAGGGGCTGCGTACCTCCCCGGATGCGTGGGGCAGACCCCTCCAAAAGGGATGTGCACAGGCCGCCCCCAGGAGTGCGTGCCCGGAGCCTGAGCAGCCCTTCCCGGCCTGGACCCCCGATCCCACCCCTGTGTGCCCCAGGGCCCCGGGGAAGGGACAGAAACAGGGTGGGAAGCAAGAGGGGCAAACGTGAGCGGGGCGATCTGTCCCCTGAAGCTGCCAAGACCCAGGACTTTCTAAATTCACAAGGCAGCCTTCCCGGTCACTGGTAGGTGTATTTGTCAAGGTAAGAGGACAGAACAGTTTAATGTTTGTTCGCTTGACTTAAAACTTCCAGTATTTGCGGCCGGACGCGGTGGCTCACGCCTGTAATCCCAGCACTTTGGGAGGCCGAGGCGGGCAGATCTCGAGGTCAGAAAATCGAGACCATCCTGGCTAACAGGGTGAAACCCGGTCTCTACTGAAAATACAAAAAATTAGCCGGGCGTGGTGGCGGGCGCCTGTAGTCTCAGCTACTCGGGAGGCTGAGGCAGGAGAATGGCGTGAACCCGGGAGGCGGAGCTTCCGGTAAGCCGAGATCGCGCCACTGCACTCCAGCCTGGGCGACAGAGCGAGACTCTGTCTCAAAAAAAACAAAACAAAACAAAACAAAAAACTTAGTGTTTGCACACGGCATGGGAGGATTTCTATCTGAACTGCTGCTCCCAGGGTGCCCACGGCGACCTCACCCTCTGGAGACCCAGGTAACGGATCCGCCGTAAGAACCCAGCGGGGTGGGTGCTCCCGCCCGCGTCAGACCTGCCTTCAGGGAGAATCCGTCCCCCACCCCAGGCCTAAGCACAGCGCTTGCTGTGATCCGGGAGAAGCAGGATCCGGAGCCTGGTAATGAACCCTGGCTGAGCCACTCGCCCCTTGGATAAGAGCTTTGGCAAATTCCTGAGCTTGTTTCCCCACCAACAAAAATAACCCCCAAAACGCCATCGTGCTGGGGGGCCCTCGGGTTCTAAATAGGCACCGCGCTTCGGGCAGGGCATGGCCTTCACGGTGGGCTGCTCCTGTGGTGCCAGCGTTCTCTCTCCTTCTGGCAAAGCCGGTCCTGGGCACCTCCTCACCCTCTCTGCCTACCATTAGGACCAATATGGGCCCATCCACAGCCCAGCACTCCACCCTGCACCCAGTGCTGTCCCTGGACACCCAGAGGAACATGTCTCCCTCCCAAGCCACAGGAGCCAATTCACTGACTCCTCACACCTCATAGGGGTTAAGAGGGCAAACTGCAGCCAGGAGGCCCAGAGTCAAATCCCAGGTCCAACAGGTACTATGACCAGGAGCAGTGTGCTTCACCCATGCCTCAGTTTCCCCATCTGTCAAATGGGGCTGAAGATGCCTACCTCATAGGGTTGTGGTGAGAATTAAATGACTTAATACATGTCAACTATTCATGACAGCACCTGTTTGCTGTGGTGGTTTCAGCATCAGGTGGAGAGTATGTCCCTGCAGGAATGCACCTAGAACAAGGGGTCACAGGTGACCGGGTGTGTGTTTCTCTAGCGAGCAGTTCGGAGCAAGTTCAAAGAAGATCATGGCTAAGGTGAGTGGCCCTTTAACAGAATCTCCGGGAAAGGAGAACCCTGGGGTCAGGGCCTGAGTTCCCCGACCTCCTTCAGCCACACTCCTTGAAGCAGGGCTGGCCTTCCAGGCCTGCCACCTGTGCGGTCCCATGGGGCCCTGCACTCAGAAGGACCACACTCAGTTTCACGTTCTGCTTTCGTCATCTCGAAATTCTTAATAATTTTATCTGAACTCGTGCTGTTAGTGCAGGGGCACCACAGAGCATGTGGGTGAGCAGAGAACTGGCTACTCCTTGCCACCCGGCTAACATGCAGGGTTCGCGATGCGCCAGAAGCAGCGTTCCAGTGGGCCTCAGCATCGGAGGTGACAAGACTCAAGGCGAGGGCAACATCAGCATGTAACCAGCTACGACAGGACAGCTGGAGCTGACAGCCCTGGCACCACGCTTTCCAATCACATGAGAACTTGCTTCCAGCCCAGAAAGAGAGCAATTGCATTCTAAGAAACACGGATGACGGAGGAAGCCATCATATCCTCTCTGCCTTGTCTCTTGCCTGTACTAGCCAACTACTCACACTGAAGATGACACAGAAGGCAGGCAATGAGAGGGCAACCCACAGCTCCTTCTCTCTCATGGTAACCTTAGCCTTAAGGCAGCATTCGCTGAGGGAATGTGCATGGATCAAGAGCATTTCCTTTTGTGCAGTGCCTCCAGCATCCTGGCAGAAGCTGAGATAGACATAGATGGGCCAGCTCAAGTATCCCACACACAAGTTAAATGCTCTTATATTTGCATTTGAAATTGCCACTACACAGTGCAAAGAAAAGCAGAAACATTCATGTTAATAACTTAATGTTCTAATTTTTCTTTAGAATATTAAGTAGCAAATAATACACACCCGGGGAAAAACCTTTATATCTTAGCACCTCCAACAGCACTTTTTGCCTGCTTTCTGAACAAGCTCTAAAATTTATAAACCTGGACCTGCACGCAGGCCCTGCCCAGCAATATAGGAGGCTCCTTCCCTGGCAGTGGCCCGGGAAACAGCACAGTGCCACAGCCCCGATGGGAACCCAGGGCTCCAGTGCTTAGCTGCAGGAGGAGGGCAAAAACCTGCCGTCACCCCACAGCATGCCCAGCGGGGTGTTATTTTCAACAGGAACATGCTTTCTTACACTTAAGTGTGTGAAACTACACACGCTTCCTGCACCTCAGTGCACAGGGTTCCGGGATGAAGACAAAATGCTGGCATGGAGGCTGCCCCAGAAAATCCAGCCCGCTAACCGTGGGCCACCACCTCCCATCTCAGCCTCTCCACTCAGGACCGTCCCTGCCAGATCCTATGCTGCTTCTCATCAGCAACTTCGGACAGCCAAGCGTGCTGCACATGGGACACGCTCCTACCCACCAGGAGCCTTTGATTCTGGGATAAGACTCCTGGCATGAGGAAGACCCGCAGATCCTCCCTACCTGCACCCACCAAGGGCAAATGCCCTGGAACCTTCCTCCAGACCTAAGGGCAAAATAGAGGGATATGCTGGGGCTCAGAAAATGATACCCCAAGGCCTGTGGTTTTGGCACACTGAGGAACTGCAGGACACCGGAAGGGCCTCAGAGGCAAGGGCTCTCTGACCCTCTGGCCCCTTCCCTTGCCCGCACCCCACCACCCCTCAAGGTAGGCCACGGAAAGTAGAATGCCTCTTCCCCAGTGCAGGTCATAGAAACCAGAACCCCTCTCCTGCGAGGCCAGCCATAAAACCTAGAAATACGGCCAGGCTCTGTGGCTCACGCCTGTAATCCCAGCACTTGGGAGGCTGAGGCAGGCGGATCACTTGAGGTCAGGAGTTTGAGACCCACCTGGCCAACATGCCGAAACCCCGTCTCTACTAAAAATACAAAAACTAGCCGGGCATGGTGGCACACGCCTGTAATCCCAGCTACTGTGGAGGCTGAGGCAGGAGAATCGCTTGAACCCAGGAGGCAGAGGTTGCAGTGAGCCGAGATCGCGCCACTGCACTCCAGCCTGGGGGACAAGAGCAAAACTCTGTCTCAAAAAAAAAAAAAAAAAAAACTAGAAATATGACTCTAACTTTCCCTGGCCTTTGTGTAGGAGTGTAACTGAGCAGCTTAACTTCAAAATGCATTTTTAGACTTTTTTTTCCTTTCTCTTTAGTCCTGAGATGCAACCTTAGAGCAAACTGCAGAAGCCTTTTCCCTTAATCTTAAAATAGACTCCATACCCCTCCCCTTTCTCACCGTATACTCTCTTCACATGTGTCTGTGAGCTAGTCTCTAATTACGTGCTTACTTCGAAGTTCTAGGGACTAATCTTGAGACAGACCAAGCGTGGAAACCCAGCTGCAAAATCCCAGAGCTTACCTCAAGGTGAGCAGTCAAATCTGGCCACTTGTTGAGATGACACCAGCCCGCACTCCAGGTGGACGGAGGCCCAGGACAGCCGCCGGAACAAGACACACATTGTACTCAGCACGATCCCTGCGCGCCTCCCAGCTCAAGCTCCTACTCCCCACTTCTTAAACCCTTGCCTTCTCTCCAGAATTCAAAGTAGTTACTTTGGGTGGGAATCCAGCCATATCCCCATGACTAGTTCTGGTTAATAGTCACTTTCTTTCTACCAGACCTTGCTCTTGTCAACTGGACTCTGTAACTGGCGAGCACCCGGATCTGAGGTCCACTACAGGAGCCGGCCACAAAGACATCCTCAACACTACTTTATCTGAAAATGGATCCCAGACCTTCATTCCAGAAGGGCCCTGCCCTGTACCTGGAAGGAAGAAAGCTACACACGGGGCAAGGCTTCCCCATCCAGTCTACGATTAGATCCTTCCCTTCTGTCCAATCACATTTCTGCACAGCCACCCACTCTTCGTTGAATCTGAGTGTGAACATGCAGTTTCTCTTGGGTTTTTATTTCTGAAGGCTCCTGTGTCACCTAAGTCTTTACATACATTTTATACTTTTCCTTGGTAATCTATTCTAGGTGTTGGCTGTGCCCCTTGTGATGGGTGAGGAAAGGCATCCTCCTTTCTGCCCCTACAGACAGGTGACAGGGCTCTCTGAGGGCATCCAAGCTCCTTCTGGCTTTTCTCCATTATATCGGGGCTCTTCCTTTTAAGCACAAAACATAATACAAGAGCATAAAAATCTATTTTAATTCTTTTAGAAATTACCACACATGCCTTCTTCCTAAATAGACAGCTCCCATATCCAGGTTACAAGCTTGGGCTCAACGACACGGCTAGGGGTTAAGGAACTCGCTCCTGGGGACAGCAGGCTGGGAGATGAGGGGCAGAGAAACCCTTACCTTACCACATGGCAGGCATCCCCCGGGCAACCCTGAACAAGGGCAGGCTCTCTCTCTAGGAGTTCATATGGAAATCTGTAACTTCCTCAAATAAAACTTGACTTTTTGAGAAAAGATGAACACTGTACCACTGACAACCATTTAGATGAATGACCGTGGGGAGAACAAGAAGGTCTTTTTCAGTCAGAATTTGCGGGTCCTGGCAATTAGGTTTTTTTGTTTTTTTTTTTTTTTCTGAGACAGGCTCTTATTTTGTCACCCAAGCTGGGGTGCAATGGCACGATCACTGCAGCCTTGACCTCCTGGGCTCAAGCAATCCTCCCATCTCAGCTCCCCAAGTAGCTGGGACTACAGGTGCACACCACCATGACCAGTTAATTTTTTATTTTTTGTAGATATGAGGTTTCGCCATGTTGCTCAGGCTGGTCTCAAGCTCCGGAGCTCAAGCAACCCGCCTGCCTCCGCCTCCCAAAGTGCTGGGATTACAAGCACGAGCCATTGTGCCCAGCCTGGCACTTAATTTGTGAAAGCCACACCATTTCTAACAGGAACATAAAAATACCAGGTCATTTCAGAAGCCCCAGACTTGGGCAACTCCACTCACTAACTTGCAGCGTGCTACCTCAAAGCCAGTGTGGCACGAGGCTTCAAGCACAGCACTGGGGCTGCGCTGACAGATCCTGGTTCAAATCCCAGCTCCCAGCCCTAGAACCTTACAGTGACCTAAGTGCACCAAGACTCCCTCAACGTGTTCTGCTGCAGCCAGTGAGTCAGTGCACGTGCCCGGCCCATGAGCTAACTGAACTCATGGCTTCTGAATCTGAATGTCTCTAAATATCAGACAAAGCTGTATGAAAAAAGCCCCCAAGACTCTGAAACCAGATGGGATGCCAGTTATAAAACTTGTCTTTAAAGTTACCCATCCTGGTGAATGAGGCATCAGGAAGCTACTGCAGCTTGTGTCTGATTCAGAAAGGTGGATACCTTTCCTCACCCATCACAAGGGGCACAGCCGACACTCCTATAACAAAAGAGATTAACAAGAGAAAAGCGTAAGATTTATTTAAGTCTTACGTGACACAGGAGCCTTCAGAAATGAAGACCCAAAGACTCAAGAGAAACTGTCCATATTTACGCTGATTCAACGATCAGTGGACGGCCGTGAGGAAATGTGACTAGACAAAAAGGGAAGGGTCTAGGTCCTCAAACTCAACATCTGAAATGTGTATAAAACAAGAATTCATCTGCAAATAATCAACTTACTTTTATTTAGAAAGGTTTGAATTTTGAAAAGTAGCAACTGTCAAATTTAAGAAAACTGATCTTAGGTCAGGCATGGTGGCTAGGGCCTGTAATCCCAACACTTTGGGAGGCTGAGGTGGGAGGATCACTTGAGCCCAGGAGATTGAGACCAGCCTGGGCAACATAGTGAGACTTCATCTCTACAAAAAAAAAAAATCAAAACACAGCCGGGCATGGTGGCACATGCCTGTCATCTCAGCTACTGAGGAGGCTGACGGGGGAGGATCTTGAGCCTGGGAGGTCAAGGATGCCGTGAGCCATGACTGCACCACTGCACTCCAGCCTGGGTGACAGAGGAGACCCTGTCTCAAAAAACAAAGGAAAAGAAAGCTGATTTTACTTTAAAAACTAAACCAGAAATCATGTTTCATATTGCAATCTTAAGCTTGTAACTTTTGACTGTCAAGATAGGTCTTATTTGTATAATTCTTTCCAATAAGGCAGATAATGATTACCAAGCGCTTAAAATGTATTACAGTTGTTTCAGAGATTAAACATTTTTAAGTTATTAAAATGAGGCTTTCTAATTATAAAAACATGCTATTTTTTAGTCTACTCCTCAGCAGACTTAAGACATTTTTGTAAAGAACGGAAATGGCAAATAACTTTTTTCCTTCCTTCTTAATGATCAATCCAGTGGGACCAAGGTGGACTTCCTGATGGTTCTGCAAGGCTCAGTGTTCAACAAAAAAAGGCAAAAACATGTAAGTCACACGTGGGCAAGGCAACTGAACCCACCAGGTCCTGTTATTTTATTAAGGAGCATTTACATTATGATAGCAAGTTTCAACACATTCATCAACAAGGCGGTCTTCAAATCAATCAGTCAACCCCCGGAGTTAGAAAGTAGAGTCATGAGGAAGAGCTGCTTGGCTGTAGGAAGTAGGGTTAATGCCCTCTAATCCCCGGAAAGGGGCAGACTGAAGCCAGAGCCAGAATCCTGGCAATTCACCAGTTTCTCATCACAGGTAAAAAGGCAACTGCATCCCACATAGCTCTGAGGGGGAGGCCTCCCGGGAGGGGCAAGCCTAAGGTTTGGGTGTCCCAGACCCTGGATGGAAGCCCCAGCTCCCAATCTGTAGCTGTGCCCTTGAGATAGCTGCTTTCTCCCCTCACCTGCAAAGGAGAATTCCACAAACTACCTAGCCTGTTTCACTGGTTTTTTTCTTTCCATTTTTGATCAAGAGTTTTTATTTTAAAAAAAAGTTCATTCCTGCAGGCTTATTTCCCCTAAACAGATAACAATTCCCTAAGAAGCCTTCCTACAAGGAAGGCACAAACACGCAAGTCAAGAGGAGTGAACAGCCCTGCCTGTATGAGGGCCTTTCTGGTTCCTATTCAACCAGCCTCTTCTAGAAAGGAAATTCTGACATTTGAGGTTTGGTTTCTAAGAGTTAACAGGCAAATAGATGGCAGCCCCCATCATCAAGAGCCTCCCCACAGCACCAGCTCTATCCTAAGCACCATGCAGCTTTAACCTGGCAGGATGCCACACAAAGCCCCACTACATACTCAAAAGAGCAGGCCAAGAAAGGGAGGGCAGGCAGAGCTGGCCACAGGCTCTGGCCAGGGTCCACGCTCCCAAAAACGCAGCAGTGCTTCTCGGAACAGAAATGTGTCCAGACATGAAAACCCTCCATACAAAGCCTGCCTGGAGGGTCCCTCCCACCACAAGCACCCAACGAGGCCTCACGTGTGGGACAACATCCAAATGACACATTGTCACCTTTCCTTGTGAACTGAACAGATTTCTCAAATTCAGAAAACAACTTTGTCTCTAGAATTTGGGGATCAGAGAGGATTTCAATTCTGATAAAACATTTCTACAAGAGCAGGCTCAATTATAAACCCATACGCAAACTCTCTTTTTGTTAGAAAATTCAATAGGGGAAGTTCAGCTGGGCTCAAGAATCTTACTTTACTTCCTAAAATACACTAATAAAATCAGATTAGGAATGGCCATCAATCCGTTTGCATGAACAAGATGTCTTGACCTTCCCCATGTCTGGCCAGAAACAACTAGAAAATAGAAATATGCTGCACTGTCACCCCAACTTACCTGGAGTCAGTGGAGCCAAAGACCATCAGACTTTAAGAGGATAAAATAATATAGGACACAGGGGCAACTCCCCAAAAACTCTCAACACTCATCCTGACTCAAACCAGGATGGCTCAACAAAGGATAACGTCACTGATATCTTATGTCCTGCAGGAGTCAACCAAAGGGAAAGGAGGTCTTCCTAAAATGCACTAACCACATGACATTATCAGAGCAACGGCCTCTGGCCAGAACAGTATTTCCCAAATTGGAGGCAGCCATTTATGTTAAAAGTTGTGCATTTTATTTATTTGTATGTGCATTAGAAAAAAACAGGCTTACTGAGTCTGTGATGCCAAAGATATTCTTGCTTAGGATAAAGTGAAAGTAAAAGTTGACTTAGAAAATATACTAGGACAGTTGGCACTTAGAGAAAAAGCAGTATGCAAATGAATTAAGTTTGAGATAAGTATACCAAAAAAGTATGGAGCCCTCCTCCATGACACACATCCCTGCGGCCAATGGCTTCATAAAATTTCAGTAAAAATTCTATTTCTATCTACATTTAAGAAGTTTTACTTATACAATGATTTTCATTTTAAATAGAAACAAGGAAGTTCTCATGGACCAATGCTATAAACAGCCTTATCTAATTACACAGAATGCCAAGAGACTCCACCATCATGGGTGTCCTAACACCTAGCAGGAAGCAAGGCCATGTCGAGCTTTATGACTTGTACAGACCACCCTCTGTAACACACAAATCAGCACTCTACTCTTTACACAATCAAAACAGAGAAAAACAGCCTGAGCTGAAGAGACAGCAGCAGTGTGGAGGTGGTGGGCTAATCTTACCTAGGAATAGATGCATTTCATCCTGTTTATTCTTGTCTGAATTACTGACTTCTGTTTCCCTTTCCTTATCGCCACCAGACAGTACCAGCATCTTAACTGCCCAAACAAACAGGGTGGGGTAATATATGAAGAGAATGTGCCACAAGTACAAAAAAAACTAAGAACCATGAGGTGAATTTAGCCATCCCATTTGAAGCCTGCACTGTGGAAGCCTAGTGGAGCAACTATTTTTCAAATATGTTAGATTCAGGATCAAAAATATTGTTAAAATTTTCATGGACTTCAAACTGTTCTCAATAGGAGGACCAAAGGAACCTGAACGACCAAATCAATGTTTATTATAAGTAAGTGGACCAAGTGTGGTGGTCCTACCTGTAAATTCCAGCACTTTGGGAGGCTGAGGCAGGAGACCTCATCTCTACAAGAAATAAAAAATTAGGTGGGCATGGTGGTGCACGCCTGTGGTCCCAGCTACTCAGAAGGCTGAGGCAGGAGGATCGCTTGGCCCCGAGAAGTCGAGGCTGCAATGAGCCATAATCGTGCCACTGCACTCCAGCCTGGGTGACAGAGCCAGACCCCGTCTGAAAAAAAAAAAAAAGTAGTGATGCTTACAACAAATGACAATACTTTTCCATTCTTTGTCATGACTACCCATTCTTCTAGACCTTATGAAAAAAGTGCTTGTTGTACCATATTCAATGAGAAATCATTTTCCTCTTAAATGTTTCTTGATAATTCACTACTGGTGCCTTGTGAAATGAGTCTCTAAACCTGCAGACATCCTACACTGCCTCTGCAATGTAACCAGTGCCGAGCTCAGCAATGACATCAGAAACTAATTTCCGTTGTTTTTCCTAAGCTGTAAAGAGATCTTTCACCAGCGAGGGGAGCCATTGTGTTGGCAAAGGAGTTGTCCTAAATACTGTTGTGTACTGCATTCCGCCACAGTTCTCCATTTTCTGAAGACTGCCTTTCTTAACTGCTAGAAGATACTCATGTACTAAGAAAAAGAGATTTAAGGTGGGTTAATTATAGTAGCTGTATGTTTAATACTGCTGTAAAGATACACTTTTTTCATACAATTATTGTTAATAATTTGAAGATGTTTATTGCATTCTATTTTTGGTGGGAAAAAAATGTAACATACATTTATTTAGCACGACATTGTGAAATACACAAAACATGTAACTGAGAAAGCAGGAATTTTCTATTCCTAGTCCATTTCTGAGGACTAAATCATGAACTGCTCCCAATGTAATTAAATATTTCTTACAATAGTTGGGCACCAAGTTTAAGATTTATTAATTTTCTCCTCTCAGTATAGGCAGCAATTCACCATTTTCTTTCAGTTCCTAAAAATAAAAAACAACAATAATAATATGTATATGCATATATAAAAAGATGGAAACATCTAAACAATCACAGCTTGTATGTATATCTGAGAACCAAAAGAAACACCTATTGGATTAAAACTCCAGTCTCTTAACACTCTCAAACTAAATGAGCCATAAACCCTGAATACACTATCAGGTTAAAAAATTTAACAAGGTATTCTTGGCCAGGTGTGGTGGCTCACAAATGTAATCCCAGCACTTTGGGAGGCCGAGGTGGGCAGATCACTTGAGGCCAGGAGTTCAAGACCAGCCTGACCAACATGGTGAAATCTGTCTCTTAAAAAATAAATAAATAAGGCTGGGTGCAGTGGCTCATGCCTGTAATCCCAGCACGTTGGGAGGCCGAGGAGGGCAGATCACCTGAGGTCAGGAGTTGCAGAACAGCCTGGCCAACATGGTGAAACCCCGTCTCTACTAAAAATACAAAAATCAGTTGGGCATGGTGGCGGGCACCTGTAATCCCAGCTACTCAGGAGGCTGAGACAGGGAGAATCTCCTGAACCCGGGAGGTGGAGATTGTAGTGAGCCAAGATCGTGCCATTGCACTCCAGCCTGGGCTAGAGCGAGACTCCATCTCATTCATTCATTCATAAATAAATAAATGAAGTTAAGGTATCCTAAAACCAACAGATTGTTTAGTATTAGGAAACGCAGCAACTGGAGCCAATGAAGCCCCTATTTAAACTGTAGCAATAAATAAGGAAAATAAATCAAGTGACTTTCAAGGTTGAAGAATGAAGTAATGTGGCTGGGCGCAGTGGCTCACACCTATAATCCCAGCACTTTAAGAGGCCAAGGGGGCAGATCACTTGAAGTCAGGAGTTCAAGCCCAGCCTGGCCAACATGACAAAACCCATCTCTATTAAAAAAAAAATTAGCCAGGTGGGCATGGTGGCATGTGCCTGTAATTCTAGCTACTTAGGAGGCTGAGGCATGAAAATTGCTTGAACCCAGAAGGTGGAGGGTGCAGTGACCCAAGAGCCAAGATTGCACCACTGCACTCCAGCCTGGGTGACAGAGTGAGACTCTGTCTCGAAAAAAAGGAAGAAAAAAAAAGCAGTGTGACGTTAAAAGTCTACTCAAATATGATGCTTGTTCCCCTCCCGTTCTTCCACTCACAGAGAGGAATCAGGCTTTGCTATTGAAACCCAACCTGGCAACACATCTCTGCCTCAGGAAAAGCTAGAGTACCAGTAAGAGGGAAAGGCAGAAACCATTAAAAAGACCTAACAATTCAGAAACAGACATGGCATCAAAAGAGCTACCACCAGGTTGACTGGAACTGCAGTACAGGCGCCATGCTCCTTGTGCCTGTTTTTCAGATTTAAAATCTGGATTATAGACACCAAGCTTGAAAGGACAGACATGATAAATAAGATTTTCTGGTTTAAAGAAACATTTAGTATGATATAACATTTCAGGTTATCACTGAACAGCATAAACATCAATCAATAAAACCATTAAAATCCGTATGACCTCCTCTGGATGAAATTCAAATAGGAATGATGCTGTCACACAAAACCCAGACGGCTTTCAGTCATGTCTAGGGATCTTCTTCTACCTACTCAACAAGCAGACACCCTGCCCCTCCAAGGGACCCAGCAGGACTTTTCTGAGCACACACTCAAGAAGGCACGGAGAGGACCACGCAGCTGAGTGGGCAAGGGCAGGTGGCCCTCAGGTGGAATCTGGACTCAATGGCTTACTAGTTATGGGATGGTGGACAATTCACCTGACCTCTCTATGTCTCTGTTTCCTCATCTACTGACTAAGAAGAATTCTGCTCTCTGAGGCTGCTTGGGAGATTACGTGAAGCAGCCTCTTAAAGCACCAAAGCAGTGTGCCTGGAACATTGGGAGCGCGCCAAATAAGGCAGTCCTCGCCACCCTCACTGCTGTTAATGCGAGCCGGCAGGTGGAAAGTCTAAACCTAACCAAATCTTCTATCTCTCTCAACAAACTGTCTTAAGTCCAAACATTCTGGAACAGCAGTAGTGAACCGTTTACTCTTCAGAGGCAATAACAACTCACAATTTTCTCAGGACACTAGATTAGCTGAGTAACTAAATCATCATTCAGTCCCTCATTCAACAAAACAAACGCTCATTGCTCCAAAGAGGCCAGCCAGATTAGACCATTTCAAACATCTTTTAATTGAACTGAACATGAAGAACTGCATTCTGCAAGAAACAGATCAAAATGGGATCGTAAGATCTATTCCATATATCTTCTCAAGGAAAAACGTTAACAATATCACACATTTCAAACGTATATGTTCTTAGCAGGTGAACATAAAAAATCATATAACACTCTGTTATATAACTAAAAAGAAGTTACCCACGCAGCTTAGCTTTAGAATTAAATGAGATTTATTGATTGTATCTTCCCAAGAGTTACCAATGGCTAAGGTACAGGCTATAAAACATTCAGACAAGAACAGGCTCAAGAGTATTTGGGGTTTGAGTATTCTTTGTGTCTTACAAAAATAAGACTATATATATATATATAGAGAGAGAGAGAGAGAGAAAGAGGGAGGGAGGGAGGGAGGGAAGGAGGGAGGGAGGGAAGAAACAAATGCAGATCTGTTTCTGCTGCTTCAGGGCTATTCAAGAGCAATAGTCTTAAAAATTTTTTCCTCCAGGAGTGAGACCATTCCCCAGGAAAAATGTCTCACTGGCTTGTTTAAGAAGTATGATATCAAACCTGGAACTCCACAGGAAACAAAACCTACACAGAGGCCACCAAAGGACAAAAAGAGCCTCTGCATCAATGGAACTCAAGCTTTGTTTTTATAAAACATATTGGTCCAAAGTGCTGATGTCATTTCAGTGGTAGGCTAGTGCTTCACTTTACAAAAGCACGTGTTAAAAACTTTTATTTTGGCCAGGCGCGGTGACTCATGCCTGTAATCCCAGCACTTTGGGAGGCCAAGGTGGGCGGATCACCTGGGGTCAGCAGTTCAAGACCAGCCTGGCCAACATGGTGAAACCCCATCTCTACTAAAAATACAAAAATTAGTGGGGCGTGGTGGCGGGTGCCTGTAATCCCAGCTACTCAGGAGGCTGAGGCAGGAGAATCACATGAACCTGGGAGGCAGAGGCTGCAGTGAGCCGAGATTGCACCATTGCACTCCAGTGGGGAACAAGAGCGAAACTCTCTCAAAAAAAAATGTAAAAAAAAAAAAAAAACTTTTATTTTACAACATAACTAGAAGTAGTACTACTTGCTATTTGTTTTCCACATAAAAAGTCGAAGATCTGACCTCAGAAAATTCTCTCATGGATTGAGGCAAGAGGAAGGCCTGAGGGCAGTCAGCAACCCACTTTTCGGGGCAGTTTTGTTCATGCCCCTGAGCAGACCCTGGCATTCCTGCCCAGCATTCCTGTCTAGCTCCTCTCTATACCCAACCAGCTACCACCCTCCTCGATGCCACCATGCCCACAGTGGGCCTGGGGTGCAGTGGGGTCTGTGTGTAGATATTAAAGCTACAGCTTCTGTTTATTGTTTTGGGCTAATCAAAGAGCTACAGAGCACACAGGTGTTAGTTGGTGGGCCTGCCCTGAATTCTAGACATTAAATACATGCAAAGTAACGTCCATTTAAAACTCAATCAAGAAGTAAAGTCACTTATCCATCCAACAACCATTTACTGAACTCCTAAAATACACAAAGCATCAGGAAGGACTCAAGATACATAAGAAATGGTGTCTTATCTAAAACACAATCTAACAGATAACAGATTTCCAAGCATCTCAAAACCAAAAAGGACCTACATTTTTTCTTTCGGGGGACCAGGGGCAGTGATCCTCAGCCTCTGTGGCAAGGATGGGCAGCACCGGGCCACAGGCCTCACACTGCTGTCACTCCATGCACCCAAGGGCAGATGAGTAAGGCAAGAAAAAACAATTTGTTGTCTGGGAGCTGAAGCAGGATCTAACAAGGACCCTGAGTGACAGGGAAGATCACCCCACAGAAAGGAGATGCAATGGTTAGCTCAGGTGTGAAAGTAAGAACAGGCTGCCACGTGGGGACAGTGAGAATGGCAGGGTAGTCATGCACACAGAAACGGTGATACTGGTCTAGAAATGTCTGAGAGTCAGGCTGGAAACAGGAGTCAAAAACAACTCTCAAGTTTCCATTCAATATGAAATCATTTTTAAACATACCAAAATCTTTTCCGTTCTTTAGAACAGCAGAAGAACTGGCCTTACCTTCACAATATCCAATCCTCCCACCAGCTCCCCTTTCACATACAGCTGAGGGTATGTTGGCCAATTTGAGTAAGCTTTTAATCCTTGCCGAACCTAAAGAAACAACAGGAATCCTGAAACCATCCTATCAGGCCCTTAAGATTAAAGCTAAGACAAGGGTGAAACATCAAACACAGAACTTACTTCTTCATCCTCCAATATATCGAATGTTTCATATTCAACACTGCAAAAAAGAGAAGACATTTTAACTGGAAATACAGTTAAATCAAAGTGTAAAACCTCTATGCATTTGATGTTTTTAAAATAATCAAGAAAACCGTTTCACTGCTAACAAAATGTACTACAGACCAATGGAAATGATTTTACTTCTTAATCTGTCTGGTACTACACAGAATTAGTCATTCCAACATATGACTTTATCTGGATTTTTCTCCGGACAATATTGGGTTAGACCAGGGGTGGGCAAACTTCTTCTTAAAGAGTCAGACACTAAACACTTCAGGCTTTACAGGCCAGACAGTCTCTGCTGCAACTGCTCAGTTCTGCTCTCTGCTGCAACTGTCAGCATAAAAGCAGCCACAGACAATGTATAAATGAAGGGATGTGGCTATGTGCCAATATAACTTTATTTACAAAAATGGGCAGCCAGCTGCAACTTGCCAACCCCTGGATCAGACCCACACCCCCATCTGCACGAGCCTTCATTAACTGAACACTCTTACCCACTTCTAATGTCTAACCCACCCCAGGCTGCTGCTTCTTAACCTCCTGGAAGCTGCCCGTGCAGCAGGATGTAGTAGTGCTCGTGGACGGAGGCTGGAGGGCTCAGCAGCCGGATAACAACCACGCTGCCAGCTCCCTCCACCTTAGCAAGAGACATGCTTTCCACACTTAAACTTATTTCAGAGAGGGTGCTGTTTTTAATGTACAAAAGGCCAATGAAAGCTTTGTGGCTTTATACCATACAATGAACATTACTTGTACAAAAAATGAAAAATCACTGCATGAATATCCAACTGTATCCACTCAGAGCGATTTCACCGTTAGGTGGTCAGGTATTAGCAAGCATGTATGCCTAAATCCTTGCAGGGTGCCTGAGGGTACAGGTGCAATTCCCAAAGGTGGCCAAAGAAAATGCTACATGTAAAAAAAACTGGACTTTCCATAAAACTGAAACCATCATAGGGAAATCTTGTTTATTTAGTAAACAAGTTCCCAAGGAAACTGTCTATGGTACAGGGAACAGTCAAAAAAACTAAATGACGGGATAAATCAGAAGCAATTACCAAAAAAGGAATGTTTGAAAGAAGAACAAAAAAAGACCCCAATGTAAACCTAATGCTTTTTAAAAACCCCAATGTAAGTCTTTGTTCAAGTTGAACTAAAGGTGGCAGATCTCTTAATACTGTGATAAAAACAATGAGTTATACAACTATTCATAAAGGATCCAGGAAGCACTGGGCCCAAGTGTATGTATGTGGAGTCCTAACAGCCAGTATACTTCCTAAAAGTTATTCATAAAGGGTACCTTTCAAACCTCAATATACACTTGGTTCTCAACCACTCATGCATGTGTATTTTGGCTACTAAAGGAAAAGATAAGAAATGAGAAAAAGTAAAAAGGAGTTTTCTCCACATACATTTGGCGCCCAGCAAGAGCATGGTCTGCTCGTGTTAAGCGAAGCTGAGGTCCTGGATGGCCTCACTCATCCTAGGGCCAATCACGCTTAGCAAGTCCAGAGCTGGGAGGTCATGCTCTCCCAAAGCATCCTCCTGCTCTCTGCGACAACAGGGTGCTTTCAATACAATGGAGATTAGACAGATATGGGACAGAAAGCCAAGTTACCAAGATGTTCCACCAAAGACACGAGCTGAGTCAGGCCCAGTGTGTCGGCTCAGAAGACACCTGAGGAACCTGGTACTGCTAGAGAGGGATGGACTGTGTGTGTCTCACTGTGGACCCGCAGCAGAGGGTCGACAAAGAAAGGGGAAAATCAAAAATGACCAAAAACAAGCCAGCCCCCACTGTATGGCCCAGGGCAGGGGTGAAGAAAGGAACAGGCTTGAAGTTACAATTACAATAAACTGACTATACTTGCTTCTATAAAATGTCATAGTAATCTAAAGACGACAACCACATCTTTTTTTTGAGACAGAGTCTCACTGTCACCCAGGTTGGAGTGCAGTGGCGTGGTTTCAGCTCACTGAAACCTCCACCTCCTGGGCTCAAGTGATTCTCCAGGCCTCAGCCTCCTGAGTGGCTGGGATTATAGGCGTGCGCCACCGCACCCGGCTAATTTTTGTATTTTTAGTAGAGGCGGGGTTTCACCATGTTCGCCAAGCTGGTCTCGAACTCCTGACCTCAAGTGATCCACTCACCTCAGCCTCCCAAAGTGCTGGGATTACAGGTGTGAGCCACTGTGCCTGGCCCTATATTCTTTTTATGTCCCTGAAATTGTATTCAACCTGTACTATTTAACTATTTTCAATAGATCTTTGAAGTATATCAAAGATTACTTGAAAGTAATTTATTTGAAGCTACAGTTAGAATACATGATTTTTAAAAGATACAATCATGAAATGAGAAATAAACAAAAATATCTGACAAACCCTATAGAACATGTGCTGTATATCTCCAAATAAGTGCTTTTGTTTTTAACCACAAAAATCAATGGCAATGTTCTTACCTGACAGCTTCACCACTGAGCACATCAAAACTAGGAGCACTGCAATTTAACTTGTGCTACCTCTCAGATCCAGGTAATGGACCTTAATATGTGCCCCTCAGCTTTCTGTACTGTTTAGCAACTAGGATATTTGAGAAAAATTAAAAACTACCTATAATATATTCCCCTGAAATATCTTTATGCATGGTGAGGACTCAGTTATACATTTTCCTCTGGGAAAGTAGACAAATAGTTATTCCAAAGGTGGCCTAAAGACCTCCTTTATGTTACTAATAGGTTGACACTGGCCAGAAAATACTATTTTGATCTAAGTTAAGGCATTCACAAAACAATACAGCAAAAAATAAAGAAAGATACAGATATGTATGGATATAGACATTACAACTGAAAAGTATCAGTGGCAGAACTGAAAAGTTGAAATATTTTTTTCTTTTTTTTGAGACAGGGTCTTGCTCTGTCACCCAGGCTGAGTGCAGTGGTGCAATCACGGCTCACTACAGCCTCACCTTCCAAGACTCCAGTGATCCTCCCACCTCAGTCTCTCAAGTAGCTAGGACCATAGATGTATGTGACCATGCCTGGCTAATTTTTTTATTTTTTGTGGCGATGGGGTCTCACTATGTTGTCCAGGCTGGTCTCGAACACCTGGGCTCAAGCAATATTCCTGTCTTAGCCTCCCAAAGTGCTAGGATTATAGACGTGAGCCACTACGCCTGGCCAGGTTGGAATTTTTTTAATACACCATTTGAAAACAACATTTACATACCCAGTACTATTTAGTATTTCCAGAATTTGTTTGCTGAATCCACATTTTGCTTCCTAAATGAAAAAAAATTTGCAAAGATTACAATTTTTGTATGACCCAAGCAGCATGGTTGTACCTAATACTCTTGTCAACCAGCACAGCACTTGTCCAGCATAGCTGCCACTACTTTCACTCAGCTCCCAGAGCTTCTGCTCATCCCCTCTTCAAGTACGAACCCATCTACACATCAACCCAGGCACACGTGACCCACAGACTTCCTTTTCCTTTGGTTTGTAACCACTTGAGATGACATGTGTTCCAACAGTTTATATTCTCTGTGGTCAAAAAGTTCCTCTAAGTGAAACCGAGATTTTCTACAGAGATTTGAGTTCATTGTTTAATTCACTCATGCAAAATGATCTTAACTCACTTAGCCTTTTTGCAATGATTATGACAATTATTTTCCCATTTCCAACTGGATTCTGACTCCCATTTTTCTTTTTATTTTATTTATTTATTTATTTATTTATTTATTTTTTGAGACAGAGTCTCACTCTGTCCCCAGGCTGGAGTGTGATCTCGGCTCACTGCAATGTCCACCTCCCAGGTTCAAGCGATTCTCCTGCCTCAGCCTCCCGAGTAGCTGGGACTATAGGCATGCGCCACCACGCCCAGCAAACTTTTTGTATTTTTAGTAAAGATGGGGTTTCACCATGTTAGCCAGGATGGTCTCGATCTCTTGACCTCGGACCTGCCTTGGCCTCCCAAAGTGCTGGGATTACAGGCATGAGCTACCGCATCCAGCCTCATTTATTTTTACATTACAGAATACTAACACTTTTTTGAGTTTATGAAAATCTTAAGCTTTTTTCATGCCACAGGACTCCAAATTCCAGCAATCTTGTGGAAAAGATATGGTACCATGTCAACATTTTAATAGCCCCAATAACATTGTTTCCAAAATGTATTAATACTTTCTAGGTTTCCAGAAAAAAATAGTTTTGAGAATAAATATCCACTTAAACCATTACCGAGAATAAGAAAAAATGTCACTTTATCATTACTAGGAATTATTAACTTCCTCTATTGTTTCAATACACTGAACCAAAATCAAAGAATTTAGGCCCTAACCTAATGTTTCCAACATGCTGAAATTTATATTAACATTTTCTTTGTTACTGTTACTTTCATTATTACCTAATTATATTAACCAGTTATGTTAACTAATTAGCTTCATTATACTAGTTATGTTAACTTATACACTAGTTATGGCAACCAGAGTCTGCCCTGTGAAGTATTGTGTCCCTTTCCCAATGAGCAAAGTGGTTCTCCATGTCACTTGCCCGGTGCATCTTGCTAACAAGTGAGGCAGTTTCTTTATTCCAACAGCCTCACCTTTCAAAACTTTGGTTTCTTTATCTCTAAAACAGGCCAAAGTCTGTCCAACCCTGCCTACTTCAACAACTGATTGAGAATTAAGTAGAGGTTCAATTGCTATGAAAATTACAAAATATGATATAAATGTGTATGGCTGGTTTCTGGAAATTACCACTCTGATCTCAATCTGAAAGAAAATTAGTTCTGCTCAAACTATCGGTGGAAGTAATCTATCAAACTTGATATTCAAAATGACGCATAATCAATATGTACTTACATCAAAAAGCTGTAAGAACCATCCCATTAAAAATGAGAATTGCTGACCATTTCACTCATTCATCAAACACACAGAGCACACCTGCTACAGCCAGGGTTTGCTCCTCCACTGTCACAAAAGGACGATCTAGGGGTGCAAACCCAAGCACGACCAGGTTCCCTGCATTCAGGAAGTCCACTGACTCAGCTGCACACTTCAGCAGTCCACAAACTCAAACAAAGGATAATGACATAACAACTCATACAACCAGTAAAGTGTTAACAGTGTTGACCACATTAGCTGACAAAGTTTGGCAGCAGAAAGAAATGCACCCCACTGAGATGTTGATGATAAAGTCAAGCAAAATGTAGATTACTTTGTTTGATCTCCGTAAGCACCAATTAAGGCGTGGATAACTTCCTGATATCGCTACAGCTTCATTAGCTAAAGCTAGGAAAAAGATTTAACTGTCCCCTTGTTGCAGATGTTAACATCAAAAGAAATTACAAATAAAACCATTTTTGAGTTCTTTACCTGTTTGTTTCCTTTCATAAAGAGCATCACAGAAGCTTTATTTGTCAGCACTTTGAGCCTAAAGAGAGAAAATTGATATAAAACGGCTCAGCTCAATTATGCAACACCACTTTTCCTCCGCTTCGTGAGTAACATGCATATTTGAGGGATGGCAGGATGACAGTTCACAGCTTTGAGTGGTATTAAACAAGCAAATGCGTTGACATTTTCCTTGATTTCATTCTCTCCCTAAGCCACTGTAAAACACAATATGGCTTTTAAGGCAACGAATGTTCCTTCAAGTTGCAATTTAAGCCCATCAACTCACAGTAATAAAAAAATAATAATAATAACCAATTCAGTAAGGAATTGTTCAATAAGGGGCCTATATATTAAGCCCATCCAAAACTTCCAGAACTAGATCTTGTGTGCACCATCTTCCATCATGATGCTGCATACCACTGTACACGTGTAAAGCTCACAAGGTCGGACTGCAGGGTGACAGCGTTAAACCTCAGAACATCAACTAATGCCAGATACTAAAATCAAATTCTCTCATCTTAACATGTTTTATATTTTATATAGTCTTTCAAACATCATAATCTAACATGCTGTCAGGAATTTTAATTATCTGTATACAGCCACAAGTTTAGTCACAAATCTCAAGAAAAGTCAGTGCTGGGACAACGGGTCACTAAAGAACCTAAGCCCCATGGGGTCACGCCACCATGTTCTCCCAATTCACAGCTCAAAAATCTCCTTAGAGGTTGGGCGCGGTGGCTCACGCCTGTAATCCCAGCACTTTGGGAGGCTGAGGCAGGTGGATCACGAGGTCAGGAGATCAAGACCATCCTGGCAAAACACGGTGAAACCCCGTCTCCACTAAAAAGTACAAAAGAATTAGCCGGACGTGGTGGCGGACGCCTGTGGTCACGGCTACCCGGGAGGCTGAGGCAGGAGAATGGTGTGAACCCGGGAGGCGGAGCTTGCAGTGAGCCAAGATAGCACCACTGCACTCCAGCCTGGGCTACAGAGCCAGAGTCCGTCTCAAAAAAAAATAATAATAAATATCCTTATAAACTCATCCCAAATGAAATGCATCAATCACGCACAAAGCTGTATCACTTACATTGCCAACCGAGTGGGATTAGCTCAAGTTCAGAAAAATATGAACAGATATAGGAATACAATGCTGACCCTGACAACCCAACTAACTAACCCAGTCACCTGGATACAGGGAACCACAGCTCACAAAGTACTGCCAAAATACATGTCACAAGTCCATGAACTCCACTTCCTACACTCTGCTCACTCGGAGCCCTTTAAATTATTACTCCAAATATGCTGAATTTTCCTTCCGACATAATTCTAGCCCGTTACCCTTTGGTGTCTGCAAGCACAGATTTAGAAGCAGCACATTAGGAAACGGAGGTCTGATGGAGACAAGGCCATTAACAGCGGCAAGTGCACTCAGCAGAGAAGGAAAATCAACTGAAGAGCAAATACAAGCATATAAAAAACACAGCTGTCTTTGGAGACCACACAGCCTCCATGGGCCAAGGGCATCACCAGGCTACAGGCAAGAACCACACATGAAGACGCCCAGAGTCAAAAAAGGGATGAGGAGTATCATTTTCTCATGAAGAACACAGGAAATGGTACCAACCACAGGACAGAATGCGGCACTCAAAGATCAGCCTGACATACGTGGATTGGACGCTGTTTATAGAAATTATTAATTAACGACAGACAAATGAGGTATTTATTATTATTAAACACTTTTAGAAATTCTCAAGATGTTACATGGCAAAAAAAAATTACCAAAGGAAGGTTTATCTTACAATCTCCAGCCCCAACTATGAATGGCTGATTGCTGATATAATAAATTCCTTTTTAAAGTTCTATATTAATTTTACTGCAATAAAAATCCCATTAAGTTGCCTTACACACCAAAGTCCAACATTTCTGTAAGAGAACGTCTCTAAAAGCCAAGTGAGATCCTTGATAAAACAAATACATGTTTCACACCTCCAAAATCTGTTCATGTAAGTTCTCGTGGTCTAGAAAGGCCATGAGAAGTGCTCAAAGCTTGTTGCGAGGTGATGAGTTTTTCACACTCACCACTTGTCACTCAGTGCTCTGGCGTTGGGGCAGCACCCGCAGCAGTCACCAAGGCTGCACCCAGTAAAACACGAGTGTGCTGAGGTTACGCCAAGGAGCAGTGACAAAACAACTGGACCCTGGCTCTGAAATGCAGAGAGGTAAGCAAAACTTGGTTGTTCCACAGAAACAATGACATTTCTATAAAAGCAAAGCAGATCCTCCACATGATCACTAAGTTGGTGCTAAAATTTCTCCAATACAAATTAGATTTGCCAAAGTTTGAATGGCTAATGTGACTAAACAATTATGACGTCTGGCATACCAAATCCTTGATTTCTACACAGAAAGAGCAATGCAAAACCTGAGGACTTTAAAATATTTTTAATATATTAAATGATAGGCTATTTGAAACCTTCTAAAACACTTACCTTTCCTCTAATTTGGGAGCTTTGGGACAAATTGTATCTAGTTCTTCAGATGCTTCTAGCTCCTAAAATAAGCACACATACCAGTTTTATGAAAAAAATTATTATAACATAAATCTCCTTGATCATACCATAACACAGATTATTGATCAATCAACTAATCAGAAATACTGTGTATTCATTGCAGGTTCTTATTAGTAAATATAGATTCATAAGAAATTTGTATCTTAGATTTATCACAACATTTTAAAAAGTATGCTCTAAATGGAATTTCTTTACAAAGCACAGACTTCTCAATTCTAACCTTAATTATATCAAGTCCTCCTATGAGCTCTCCAGAAACATAGAGCTGAGGATAGGTAGGCCAACTGGAATAGGCTTTGAGTCCCTGTCGAACCTCTTCATCTGAGAAGATATCAAAACTGCTAAACTGAATATTATGTTTGTGAAGAATTTCCACCATCTGCTTGCTGAAACCTGTACACAAAAAAAGAAATAAAGCACTTAACTTCTCTCTCCCAAAACACATACACATGATAATACATTAGTTCAGCGTACATATCATCTAAAAGACATAGACGCCTGCCTTATTTTGCTGGTGATTTAATTAGCATGGCTGAATAATATACAAAGAGAAAATAAATTCCTGGATCCCCTTATTTGACCTTGAACCATATCACACACTCAGATATGACTTAACTTTTTGACACAACTGTGACTACTGAAAAAAAAAAAAAAAGTGGTGTGTGTATTTATTAAAGTTATTCTTCAATATCATGGACATTTTTTGTCACAGGAGAAATAGCACTAGCCAAAAAGCAGAGACCTGGGGGTGATGGTGCACACCTGTAATCCCAGAGACTGGGGAAACTGAGGCAACAGGCTCACTTGAGCCCAGAAGTCTGAGGCTGGAGCGACCTATGAGATTGTCACTGCACTCCAGCCTCCAGTTTGAGTGATAAAGCAAGACCTTGTCTTTAAACAAAACCAGAAATCTGAATCTGACACCTGCTCCCTCCACCCACCAAGGTGACACATGATGAGGCCATGGGTGGCCTCCGCTCAGCACTTTCCTACTAATCAGGAGACTGACCTGATGCTCTGACAGTCCCTCCCAGCCTTTCTGTTATGAATCTATGAGAATCAATTCTGGGCAGATGAAAAAATTCTACAATTGTTATTTTTAACTACTACTTGACTATACTTAAAACCCAATGCTGTTGCATTTCTACTGCCATTTTACTACTTCCTGAGTTCCCACTTCAGTAGTTCTCAATCTTCACTATCTCTAAGTAGGATAAATTAGAAATCAAGAAGGCATGTGTTCTCCTGTAGTCTAAAATACACACAGTACATTGAATTTTAAAGCTATCTTCTCTGTTGTTATATATGAACCATCAATAGATTGACGGTATTCTTTCTCATCTCATGTCATAACTTGACAGTTTCTTTTTTAAAACTATTTACATTCCCTAAAGTATGTAATGTAATTTTTTTACTACACTATAGCGACAATTTTATGTTCCATGATTTTATTATACTTTTGTGACACATTTTTATTCTGTACTTTTTTGACATCATCTTATTATGACATTATAACTGAAGAATAAGAGTGTGAATATCAGTCTTTTATAAACCTATTAGCCTAGTCTGAAAAAAAAAGTATTTTTCTTTCCATAAGCTAATTCTTCTCCATTGTTCCCAATACTATGTAGGGCCCTACTCTTTCACGCCTCATTCTTCTTCTCAAACACAGTTGTAATTCACTGGAAAAGAACCTATTCTTCAGATTCAAAATTTCTATAAGACTTAGCAGTGTCAGCAATTGTTTTTAAATAAAATCAAACCATAAAATTCAATATAAGATTAATTGCAAGAATGGGCTTTACTGATGTCACCCAAAATCATATTTACTATTAAAACATGGATCTACAAGTGAGCTCTAAACATTTTCCAAATCTGCAGTTTATTGAGATGAAGCACTAGTATTTATTTGTATAGCATATAAGTTGCTTTTCCTACATCTGAAGTGTTAAGTTCATGTACAGCCTGAAGTAAAACACTGATTCTGAAATTTTTTTATTCATCTGGGAGTTCATTAGTAAACAGCTAACGGCTGATTGCTGATGGTTATTCTGTTGCCAATATATTAACTCATTTTTACTGTAACTGGCTGAGAAGAAGCTTTATTTTAGCTTTAGGCAATTACATGCAGACTAGAAAGATTGATTGGTAGTGTTTCATTTTTAAGAGTTAAAGTGGCAGACTAGAAATGTTACGCTTAAGGATAAGATGGCAAGAAGGCTTTATTCTAGTAACAAAATATTTACACACCTTTTTTTAAGAAAAATGCATGCATGCAATAAAAATATTTAAATGTAGAAAAGTAATGTTTAACTGCCACAGAATCCCCATTTCCACCCCCAGTCATTTCTACTCATGACATGAATAGGTGCCTAACACCGCATCTCATCACTACCTAACAATAAACCCTAAAAAACATCTCTGAAACCTGATTCTGTGGCTGATTCAAAAGTAAGAGCCCGGCTGGATGACTCTCACTGCAGAAGGAATATCTGACTATGCCTCAAATACCTTTTGCTTTGCTAAAAGCTTTGTTAACTGAAATAGTTATAAGAATTCCCAAATAATTAACCTGCTCAAGGATTTAAGATTCTGTTTAAGATGACATATACCTCAGTGCTTCTGGAAACTCTTCCTAAAACAAGCATTTTCCCATCTTCATGAGGAGCACAGAGTAAGGACAATCCAATTCTTTTCAACTGAGACCCTATCTACACGTCAGGCTCATAACACACCATACAATTCTGCAGGTAGAGCCCACATGAAGGATAAGAAGATGGAGACATGACCTGTGCAGGGGTTAGGCTGAGTCCAGTGGGGCTCCAGGAGAGACCCTAAAAATGGCTTTCAAGGTTTTCTAGATATAAAATTTAAATGTTATTCATTCATGTTTTTCTGATTAGCAGAAAGCAAGGTGGGGACAAACTAATCAAAAAACAAACATCAAAATACTCCGCAGTGGGAGTTCAGTGGTGTTAGCAGAGATAGCACTTTCAAAGCTAATTTGGTGCAAAATAAGGAAAGAGCAGCCACGTGCGTGTTCACAAGATGAGATGGCCAGTGCTTTTATAAAGGGAGCTTTGCCTACGCCCTTCTCTAAAATGCCAGAAGAAGAGCAAAAACAATGCTCCACTAACCAGGCTCAGAAAGGAACAGCAGAGGGTCGAGGTGACTTATGTTCCCATAAGAAAACAGTTTAAAAATATTTTCCAATTAATCCTAAGTATTTTATTAAAGAACAGCAACATTCTTAAATGATCTATTTACTATATGTGACAGAAAGACATGAAACAGAAAATATCAGGAAACAGAAAAACCCACTGAAAATGTAGTTATAAAAATTATATAGAAGTACTTTAAAAGAAGAAACTGTAACCATTCAACCATATGTATCTCAAAATATTTATTGTCTTTTATTAATTAAATAACTATAATACTACGTTTTCAGATGGCTCTGAAATGTGTTTTGTTTTGTTTTGAGACAGAGTTTCACTCTGTCACCCATACTGGAGTGCAGTGGCTCGATCTCGGCTCACTGCAACCTCTGCCTCCCAGGTTCAAGCAATTCTCCTGCCTCAGCCTCCCAAGTGGCTGGAATTACAGGACTCCACCATGCCCAGCTAATTTTTGTATTTTTAGTAGAGACGGGGTTTCGCCATGTTGGCCAGGCTGGTCTCGAACTCCTGATCTCAAGCGATCCGCCCACCTCAGCCTCCCAATGTGCTGGGATTACAGGCATGAGCCACCACGCCCAGCCCTGAAATATTTCAAAGCTTCTTTTTTATTCTGTTATTTGTACAGTCTTCCAAATCTCACTCCATTATAATAAACATAATTTAAATAAGTTTAATATAAATATAAAAATGCTAGCAGTATATTTTAAATTCAGTTTAATAAAGTAAAAGGTAAGCAGAAAAATTAAAATGTCTAAGTTTCTCTCTAATTTACTTGAATAATCATACAATATCTACACTGAAAAGGCCCTCCAAGATTGGCTCCAACAGCCAATCTTGTTCCCAACAGCACTAGAAGGAATTAAAGGCACAAGGAGGGTACCTGACTTGTCCCCAAAGTTGCTAAGGCCGCAGGGGTGGGCCTGAGGCTCGCCTGGCATGACACCCAGTGCAGCACACTTCCCAGGACATCCTTCTCCTCTGAGCACTCCTTCCCCAAGCTTCAGTGTTGCCACCTGCCTTTTCATTAGGTTTATCATTCAGAAAAGACTGAGACTGCTGCTGTTCAACCCCAAAGGAGAGAATACTGTAGAGATTTCACTGTAGGTGTGCTTCACCCACATTTCACAGCCAGTTCTACTGTACCTGAGATCTGAATGAAGGTGCTGAATACAATCCATTCAACTGAAGTGGTAAGTTCCCATTTAGTGGCCACCGCACAAAGTACAAGAAATAATTTTCATGTTTCATGGAAGAAGGTGAATGTGAACCATTTGCAACCCCCGTTAAAAACAAAATAACAAACGCAACAGAGACTATCTGTTGCTACCTTTAGTTTAGTACAGACTAAGTTAGCTTTGCAATACACAAATAGCAGGCATTATCTGACACATAAATACTGGCAGGGAAATTTTTTAGGCAGAACTAAGAGATACTTTTAAGACAGAATTCATGGTGGCTCACGCCTATAATCCCAGCAGCACTTTGGGAGGCCAAGGCAGGCGGATCACCTGAGGTCAGGAGTTTGACACCAGCCTGACCAACATGGACAAACCCTATCTCTACTAAAAATACAAAAAAATTAGCCGGGCATGGTGGTGGACACCTGTAATCCCAGCTACTCGGGAGGCTGAGACAGGAGAATCGCTTGACCCCTAGTAGACAGAGGTTCCGTCGCACTGAGATCGTGCCATTGCACTCCAACCTGGGCAACAAGAGCGAAATTCCATCTCGAAAAAATAAGAATTCATCATGAAACTTTATTTTTAAAACTAGACATTATCATAAGCTAATATGTAATTTAATAACCCTACAGGGAAGAATTTAGAATCAAATTCACACTAGAAGCTTGGCTATCTTTATAAAGTCACTCTGGACATGCTGTAATCATATCAAGAGCATACTCAATGTTACTGCCCCTATCTTAATAAAGTCCCTCCTGTGTAGTTGATACAAATACTCTTAGAGTCTCAACAGCATCATCAAATGGCATTAAATGCTCAATTATGCAGCATACTAATGTTGTACTAGGCACAGTAAAAAGAAAATAACATAAACCCACTACCAGAGGGGTCAAATAACTCTAAAACTTACTTAAGGACAAAATTATAAGCATCCATGTGTACAGAAAATAAGAGTGACTACAAGCCAAGAATTCGGAATCTTTCCATTACCAGCAGCTATAAACTGGAAATGACAGCAATGCAGGAAGAGAATCATTAGACAGTGATGACACAGGGGAGGCAAAAGCACACAGGCTGGACACAAAAACACTGAAAAATTCCGCAAATTTTTTAATTGCTGAATCTGAACTAGGTGAAAAACAGGAGGCTGCCAAGAAAGAAAAAATAACTGTTAACAGCAAAAGTAGATAAACAGGCAAAAGAGACAGCAATATGGTAGTTGGAACCTAATCCTAACTCTGCTTACCAGGTGACCTTGGGCAAGTCACCTCTATCTTTGAGTCTGAGGACTTCAGTATAAAACAAAAATCTGAATTAGATGAGTTCTGAGACCCCTTTTGGTTCCAACATGCTGAGTCCATAATGCAAACTAATTCTTATATAGTGTCATTGGGAATTATAACCTTTTTGATTTTCTAAAAGTATGTGAACACAAGTATAAGATGTATGGTATAGCATCCTTGGAAACAGGATGCCCATCTCAACCATACCCCATTCTGGGAAAGCACCCATTTTGTTTATATTATGTTAAAGGCAGCTTCTTACCACAGCGTGGTTCTTGAGGAGTTCCTTTCATAAACAGCATGCAGGGGGCAGCATGAGTCAATTTCTTCAAGCGAAGGTTGAGATCTTCTTTAAGATGTTCATTAGCGCTGGGTAGGAAGGAGCCACTAGATGCATGTCGCTGAACTTTTTTGGTCAACTCTGGGGCATGTGCACCATCTAATCGGTCGATTTTCTGAGAATTCTAAAGTTTAAAAAGTTATTTAGAATACATGCAGCATTCCATAATAATGACATTGTTATAGCAGATTTTTAAAGGGGACAACAGTATTACCGGAGATGTAAAAAAAGAAACCCTCATTGCCAATTGCCTGCACTGCATCTCAATTTTAGAAATACATAATTTTTTTCTTTTCTCAGAAACACACTGAGAAAACACTGCAACATCTCAAAGTCAAATCAGGTCAGTCTAACATAATACAAAAAAGACTGCCCCCACATTGGCTGGAATGAATCTATTACTAAGTATAAATGAGGTATTTGGGGAACTACGATGACACCCATGGGTGCCTGGAAGCACAGGTGTGCACCTGCTTCCTAAAAGTCATTCATCAAACCAGAACCAGCCAGAGATTCCATTATGTCCAGGCACATGCTCTAAACAACCAATTTAACCAACTCAGGGAACACTGGGGTTCCACAGCCACATATCTGAATTTTGATCAAGAAGCTCTGATTCTGGCTGCTGGCCCTACACAGTCCATGCTACTTTTCTAAGATGCTGGCAAGCAGCTGGCATGGTCTTCTTTCTCAGCATCGGTGCAAAAATGAGACTATCAGAAGAAAGGTGGAGGGCCAGAAACAGCCAAACACCTAATATTCGGGGATTAGAGAGAGGGTAAAGAAACAAAATAGGTAGCCCCATGGCACCCTACAAATGGATAATCTCTTGTACCACCTTTATCCTTACCTTGAAAAACAGAAAAGTGGGAACAGAGCTAATTTCATATTTTTCAGATACTTCAGGAACACCTTCAGCTTCCAACTTTAAAATAAAAGAATTCAAGCTTGATTATTACAAGGTCCTTTTTCACTACTTTAATATGTAAATCAGTTTCACATGCATTATCCCTTCAAGTAGCTGGCATTTTTTAAAGAGCATGGTACAAAAGTTTATGACACATTTACATTTAAATGAGACTCACTGGGCTGGCATGTCATCCACTGAGTTTGCAGTGTCAAAACAGGTTCAGAGGTTTTTATTTTGTTGCACATTTCAAAAGATGCCTGGAGGCTGTGAATAAAATTTTTGGTGCACTAGTGACCTAGTAAATTTTCAATCATATGCAGCTACTACTATATTGAAATCCATAAATCACTGACCCCAGTTATGTCATGATTACAGTGCTTATTTTCTGCCCACAGCAATTCTTGCTGTTTGCTCTATTGACTAATTTCAAGAGGCAGTACATCATGACTGACAGTTGCAGCCTTCTGCAAATTATGAAGCAAAAAGGACTATTTCTTCAATAAACTATTGATGTCTGATAAATTTTGCTTTTAACTCCTGCAAGGCTGCTGGACACTAGGCAGATATCTTGCTAGGTTACTTGCTTCCGGTCTATTTACAATGTAAATACCTTTTAAATAAGATGACTGCATTGTGTTTGATAATTTCCTTAAGGCCCCTGAACAAGACAGGATGTGATATCTGATGCATGAATTTAAAACACATTTAGTAACACAATTTCTAAATAATTAGGGCACAATTACTGTAAGCTATTTACGTAGGTCTTTATAAATGATACACTTGGAGAAATACCAAGCTATATCCTTCCCTCATAGGACTGTCAATTTAATATAAACTTTTGAAACCAATAAAAATCTGTATTCACATTATACCTGTAGGAAATAAAATTTATTGATAAATTATATTGTTAAAAAGTTTTTAAAATATATACACTGTATTTTTCCAAGAGTAAAAGATTTCCACTGGGCTTGAAATACTATTTTTATTTAGAGCCTTACCCAATCAGGTTATATCTACCCAAATAAAGCTTGCAGAGAAAGTGGGAAGCAGAGTACTATGTATTTGGCTTTTATCTTCTATCTCCTACATTCTTGGGTGCTCTTTTACTACCTTAATTCTTATTTTTTTAGAAAACACTTTTGCAACAATATTTTTAATTATTTCCATTTTTAAAATGTACTTATATGAAAATTCTATAAAATCAACAATAGTCTAATAATCTGAAAAAAGAACAAAAAGATAAGGCATTCGAGACAGCTATTTAGAACAGACTCTCAAAAGTTTTAAAGACGTTTGTGTTATTTTCTTTCACATACACAACAGCACACTCAGATCAAAGATGACCAGAAAAGTTAATGACTAGGGCATGCCTACACTACCATCCTCCAGCTCATTATTTTCTGTCTTTCAACTAACATCTATGGAGTGCCCACTACGCACTGGGCATTCAGCAAGGATCACAAAAGGGCCCTTCCTTCAGTACTACTGAATTCTAACCAACAAGTAATACAAATCCAAAAAAAAGGCAATACTAAGTAGAAATAAGGTAATGTGATCTTAAACCAGAACAAAACAGGTAGCACCCTGACTCATAAAAACAAATTCCTATCTTCTTTTAAAATCTGATTTCTTAGCCAGGCATGATGGCGGGTGCCTGTAATCCCGGCTACTCGGGATGCTGAGGCGGGAGAATCGCTTGAACCCGGGAGGCAGAGGTTGCAGTGAGCCAAGATCGCACTATTGCACTCCAGCCTGGGCGACTAAGCAAAACTCCGTCTCAAAAAAAAAAAAAAATCTGATTTCTTCTTACATTCTTATATTCCTGCTGATTTCCAGTGGAGTAACAATTCTTCTGGGAAGCAAATGACCTCTTACAATTCCTGCTGAAGGCTGAGAACTACCACAACTGCCTCCACTCAATCAGCTCCCAGAGGAAGGGATCCTCATAACAAGAGACAATGGTAACAGACAAATCTTAAGAAGAAGGGAACAGGAACATCATTTAAGGCAAAAGAGTTCTCCAGAACATCAAGGGCATCTGAAGTCCTAAAACCCTTGCAGCACTAAAATTCGTTAGAAATATTTTTGTTGGATTTAATGTAACAGTTTTAACAATGAAAATAGAAAATAAATATATAAATATTTTTAAAGGATCTGCATTCAGAAGAGCTCAAAGATTATCAGAAATAGCTATCATTCATGGGCGACCTACCCTGTGCCATAAACCATGAGAAGGCCTTAACATAAAACAGCCTAGCCTACAGACAATTTTGAAAGGTGCGAAATTTTAGCATGTTATCATTTCAACTTAGTAAGTAGTTAAAGAGGAGGTGCAATGGTTGGTTTAAGGTTTCAACTTGACTGGGTTAAGAGATACCCAGACAGCTGTTAAAACATTACTCCTGGGCATGGCTGTGAGGGTGTTTTGGGAAGAGACTGGCATTTGAATCAGTAGACTGAGTAAGGAAGATCCATTCTCACCCAATATGGGCGGGGGGGGGGGGGGGGGGGGGGGGCGGCGGCCACCATCCAATAGGTTGAAGGCCTGAAAAGAACTAGGAAAAAAAAATGCAGAGGAAAAGCAAAAAAGCAAATCCTGTCTTTCTCCCTCTTTCTCTCTCTCCCTCCCTCTCCTCCGCACACCCCCATCCCCCACCCCTCCTGCCCCATCCCTCCCTCCTGGAGCCGAGATATCCATCTTCTCCTGTCTTTGGACATCACAGCTCTAGATTCTCCAGCCGTTAGACTGCAGGACTTGCACCAGCGGCCCCCAGGTTCTCAGGCCTTCAGACTTGGACTGAGCTATGCCACCAGCTTCCCTAGTTCTCCAGCATGTGGAGGGCAGATGGTGAGACTTCTCAGCCTCCTAAATCCCCTCTCATCTATCTGTACCTATCCTATTAGTTAGTTCTGTTTCTCTAGAGAACCCTAACTAACACAGGAGATAACTTGGGTAACTTGCCCAAAGATACATGGCTAATAAATGGCAGAGCTGAGAAACAATCAAAGTTTGTTTGACTATAAAACCTGTGCTTTTTTCACTATACTATGGTTAATTTTTTCTACTACTACAATCAAAAATAAAGATTACATGTCAAAGTAGGATTTATACAAGACTTCAGGACCAACCAAACATGAACATTTCCAAAACAGAATCCAGGCAAAATGCCTCAAGTGGGAACCACTTGCTTCCTATACCAAGAATCCAAACCTTGGGACCAGTCCCACCTGCTATGTGTCTATGGAGAAGGAAAGAAAGCGCAAGGGAGGCATCAGGTAAATCCAGAGATGGGGAATCCTCTCTCTATTCTACTTTTATTGAGCAGGGGTCATCGGATGCCACTGTGACAGTAACGGCGAATAGCTACAATTTATTCTGGGCCAGATACTATTCTAAGTGTGCTTCACGTATAGACTCACTTAATCCTCACACGTATAGACTCACTTAATCCTCACACGTATAGACTCACTTAATCCTTACAACAACAGGCACCGTCTTTAACATCCATTTTACAGAAGAAACTGGAACTTAAAGAGGTTCCATAACTTGGCCTAGATCACTGCCATGATTTGAATGTATATGTCCCTCCTAAATTCATATGCTGGAAATTAACATCAAAGGTGATAGCAATTAAGAGGGGCCTTTGGGAGGTGATTAGGCCAAGACGGCTATGCCCTCATGGATGGGAACAGTGCCATTATAAAAGGGTTTGAGGCTGGCTAGTCTGTTTTTGCCCTTCTTCTCCTGCTGCCAAGTGAGGACACGGCAACAAGGTGCCATCTTGGGAACAGAGAGCAAGCCCTTGCCAGACACTGAATCTGCTGGTGCTTTGATCTTGGATTTCCCAGCCTCTAGAACTGTGAGCAATAAATCTGTTGCTTAAAAATTACTCAGTCTAAGGTATTCTGTTATAGTAGCACAAATGGACTAGGACAATTACAAACCTGTTGAGTGATGTAGGCAGACAGTGTGTCTCTGGAGCCAAGCGCCTCCCTACACCATGTTCCACTTCATGGCTGCTGCCCTGTCCTCATTCCACTGACCCTTCAGTATCCTTCAGTAACAGTGACCACAACCACCTTCCTGCAACACCTTCCACTTGGCTCTCCATGTTTCCTCTGCCCTCCCTAAATGCTCAAACTCAGTGTCCGTTTCTGTCATCTCTGGCAGCCCCTGAACACCGGCATGTGCCAGCCTTGGTTCTGAGTCCTCTTCTATGCCTATCCACACTCATTCTCCTGGAGTGGGCTCATCCGATCCTATGGCTCTAAATGACGCTGCTATTACAACTCCCAACTTCTTCCCAGCCCAGGCCTCTCCCCTCACCTCCAGACTATACACTCAACACCTGCACTCAGAGCTCTATCAAACACCTCTCACTAAACCTGCTCCTCCCACAAGGCATCTCTATCTCACAAAATCCATCCAGTTCCTAAAATCAAAAAGGAGACAACCTTGATTAATCCATTTCTCTCACTCTCACACCTACTCCATCAACAGGTGTTCTGGGCTCCCTTCCAAAATATAATCCCACTCAGACCATGACATCATTTCATCTCTCACCTGGCCTAGGAGCCTCCTAACTGGGGTACCTGCTTCTATTCTGCACCCTTCCCGCTTCAAACCATTCTCCAGCCAGAGTAACTGACTTATGACAGGAATGGAACTGTGTCATTGCTATTGCACTTGGAATAAGACCTGAATGTTATCGTTCCCCACAAGGTCACTGACCCCTGCCTGCCACTCCAACCTCACATCACACTCTCACCACCCTCCAGCCCCACTAGCCTTTTGCTTTGACACTCTGCACTTTGGTTAAAAGCTCTTCCTAGCTCTCCCAATGGCTGGCTCCTTTCCATTTTTCAAATGGCCCTGCTGGCACAGTAGCTCACACCTGTAATCCCAGCACTTTGGGAGGCCAAGGTGGGAAGAATGCTTGAGCTCGGAAGTTTGGGGCTGCAGTGAGCTATGATCACACCACTGCACCCTGGCCTGGGTGACAGAGCGAGACCTTATCTCTTAAAAAAAAAAGAAAGATCTCTCTTCCTTAGATACACCCTTCCAGCCCAATCTAAATAAAGTATCCCACCTATCCCAGTTCCCATTTTCATAGCCTATTTCTTTCTTTTGCAGAACTTATTACTACCTAAAATTACCTTGATAACATATATGTCTACTATTTGTTGTCTGTGACCCTTAATGTTCTGTATCCTCAGTGCCTAGACTACTGTGCGGCATTTAGTGTTTGATAAATTTTGACCGAATATTAAACAAAGGTGGTCACTATACCTAAGCCAAGAATGGGGATGGCCACTTACCAATGATGGCACTGAGCTGCAAGACTAAGGAGAGAACACTTAAACCTGCTATTCAGGAACATTTGGCTAAACCTCCAAAAGAGGCTTCCTTCTACTCTGTGATGTGTGATATTAAAAAAAAAAAAATAGTATTTCAAAATCAGAATCTTTGTCAAACAGCCAAATATAAATTTCAAAACAGAAATTTAAATTAACAGTTTTGATAGTTTAGGCTGAGATCGCTTCCAAGATGGCCAAATAGGAACAGCTCTAGTCTGCAGCTCCCAGCGAGATCAATGCAGAAGATGAGTGACTTCTCCATTTCCAACTGAGATACCGGGTTCATCTTATTGGGACTGGTTGGACAGTGGGTGCAGCCCATGGAGGGCGAGCCAAAGTAGGGCAGGGCGTCACCTCACCCAGGAAGCGCAAGGGGTTGGAGGATTTCCCTTTCCTAGCCAAGGGAAGCCATGAGTGATTGTACCTGAAGGAATGGTACACTTCTGCCCAAATACTACGCTTTACCCACAGTCTTTGCAACTGGCAGACCAGGAGATTCCCTCCCGTGCCTGGCTCGGTGAGTCCCACACCCATGGAGCCTTGCTCGCTGCCAGCGCAGCAGTCTGAGATCGACCTAGGACACTGAAGCTTGGCTAGGGGAGGGGCGTCCGCCATTGCTGAGGCTTGAGTAGGCCATTGCTGAGGCTTGAGTAGGCAGTTCTATGCTCACAGTGTAAACAAAGTGGCAGGGAAGCTCAAACTGGGTGAAGCCCACCACAGCTCAGCAAGGCCTGCTGCCTCTCTAGATTCCACCTCTGGGGGCAGGGCATATCTGAACAAAAGGCTTCTACAGACTTAAACGTCCCTGCCTGACAGCTCTGAAGAGAGCAGGTGGTTCTCCCAGCATGGCATTCAAGATCCGATAACAGACAAACTGCCTCCTCAAGTGGGTCCCTGACCCCCGTATAGCCTCACTGGGAGACACCTCCCAGTAGGGGCCGACAGACACCTCATGCAGACAGGTGCCCCGCTGGAACGAAGCTTCCAGAGGAAGGATCAGGCAGCAATATTTGCTGTTCTGCAGCCTCTGCTGGTGATACCCAGACAAACAGGGTCTGGAGTGGACCTCCAGCAAACTCCAACAGACCTGCAGCTGAGGGGCCCGTTAGAAAGAAAACTAACAAACAGAAAGGAATAGCATCAACATCAACAAAAAGGATATCCACACAGAAACCCCATCCAAATGTCACCAACATCAAAGACCAAAGGTAGATAAAACCACAAAGATGGGGAGAAACCAGAGCAGAAAGGCTGAAAATTCCAAAAACCAGAACGTCTCTTCTCCTCCAAAGGAACGCAACTCCTTGCCAGCAAGGGAATAAAACTGGACAGAGAATGAGTTCAACAAGTTGACAGAAGCAGGATTCAGAAGATCGGTAATAACAAACTTCTCCTAGCTAAAGGAGCATGTTCTAACTCATTGCAAGGAAGCTAAAAACCTTGAAAAAAGTTAGACAAGTGGCTAACTAATCAATGTAGAGAAGAGCTTAAATGACCTGATGGAGCTGAAAACCACAGTATGAGAACTGCGTGAAGCATACACAAGCTTCAATAGCCGATTCGATCAAGCGGAAAAAAGGATATCAGTGATGGAAGATCAAATTAATGAAATAAAGTGAGAAGACAAGATTAGAGCAAAAAAGAGTGAAAAGAAACGAACAAAGCCTCCAAGAAATATGAGACTATGTGAAAAGACCAAATCTACGTTTGATTGGTGTACCTGAAAGTGACAGGGAGAATGGAACCAAGTTAGGAAACACTCTTCAGGATATTATCCAGGAGAACTTACCCAACCTAGCAGGGCAGGCCAACATTCAAATTCAGGAAATACACAGACCACCACAAATATACTCCTCAAGAAGAGCGACCCCAAGACATATAACTGTCAGATTCACCAAGGTTGAAATTAAGGAAAAAATGTTAAGGGCAGCCAGAGAGAAAGGTTGGGTTACCCACAAAGGGAAGGCTATCAGACTAACAGCAGATCTCTCGGCAGAAACCCTACAAGCCAGAAGAGAGTGGGGGCCAATATTCAACATTCTTAAAGAATTTTCAACCCAGAATTTCATATCCAGCCAAACTAAGCTTCATAAGTGAAGGAGAAATAAAATCATTTAAAGACAAGAAAATGCTGAGAGATTCTGTCACCACCAGGCCTGCCTTACAAGAGCTCCTGAAGGAAGCACTAAACATGGAAAGGAACAACCAGTACCAGCCACTGCAAAAACAGGCCAAATGGTGAAACACCATCGACACTATGAAGAAACTGCATTAACGAACGGGCAAAATTACCAGTTAGCATCATAATGACAGAATCAAATTCACATGTAACAGACTGGGTGTAGTGGTTCATGCCTGTAATTCCAGCACTTCGGGAGGTTGAGGCAGGTGGATCATTTGAGGTCAGGAGTTTGAGACCAGCCTGGCCAACACGGTGAAACCCTGTCTCTACTAAAAATACAAAAATTAGCTGGGTATGGTGGCAGGTGCCTGTAATCCCAGCTACTCAGGAGGCTGAGGCAGGAGAATCGCTTGAACCTGGAAGGCGGAAGTTGCAGTGAACCGATCGCATCACTGCACTCCAGCCTGGGCAATAGAGTGAGACTCCGTCTCAAAAAAAAAAAAAATTCACACACAACAAAATTAACCTTAAATGTAAGTGGGCTAAATGCCCCAATTAAAAGACTAAAAGACACAGCCTGGCAAATTGGACAGAGTCAAGACCCATCGGTGTGCTGTATTCAGGAGACCCATCTCATGTGCAAAGACAAACATAGGCTCAAAATAAAGGGATGGAGGAAGATCTACCAAGCAAATGGAAAGCAAAAAAAGCAGGGGTTGCAATCCTGGTCTCTGATAAAACAGACTTTAAACCAACAATAATAGACTGGATAAAGAAAATGTGGCACATATACATCACGGAATATAATGCAGCCATAAAAAAAGGATGAGTTCATGTCCTTTACAGGGACATGGATGAAGCTGGAAACCAGCATTTTCAGCAAACAATCACAAGGACAGAAAACCAAACACCACATGTTCTCACTCATAAGTGGGAGCTGAACAATGAGAACACATGGACACAGGGAGGGGAACATCACACACCGGGGCCTGTTGGAGGGTGGGGGGCTGAGGGAGGGATAGCGTTAGGAGAAATACCTAATGTAAATGATGAGTTGATGGGTACAGCAAACCAACATGGCACATGTATACCTATGTAACGAACCTGCACATTGTGCACATGTACCCTAGAATTTAAAGTATAATAATAATTTTAAAAAAAAGTTTTGATAACTTCTTTAAATACTTTCACCAAACTTAGCCCAGAAACAGCTAATAAAACCATGTTAATTTTGGGTTTTTTTAATTACCAAGATAGCACAGATAAAAACCTACAGTCTTTTTAAGATTTAACAATTCTACCAGAGCCGGGCACGATGGCTCATGCCTGTAATCCCAGCACTTTGGGAGGCCGAGGCAGGCGGATCACGAGGTCATGAGTTCGAAACCAGCCTGGCCAACACGGTGAAACCCCGTCTCTACTAAAAATACAAAAATTAGCCAGGAGTGGTGGCACACACCTGTAATCCCAGCTACTCAGGAGGCTGAGGCAGGAGAATTCCTTGAACCCAGGAGGCAGAGGTTGCAGTGAGCTGAGTTCACGCCATTGCACTCCAGCCTGGGCGACACAGTGAGACTCTGTCTCAAAAAAAAAAAAAAAACAATTCTACCAGAATTATCTGAGACGCATTTTTAGAGTTCCTTCCTGTAGAATGAAATCCAACATATGCTCTCTTAAGATGCCAAATAAATTGGCCAACATTCTCTGCCACTGAAAAATTTTAATTCCACTAGTTAGCATGCACCTGGTTATACAGCTAGTTGGTACCCTTCGGAAGATTGCCCAACACTATCTGTTTACATACAGTAATTATACACTCAGAAATTAAACATAAACTACATTTACATTTATAATGATTGTACAGATCTTTAGAAATTCAACAGTGCAATCTGTATCTTTAAGATAGTCGCACTTTCAAAATAAGAATAAAGATTCTTGTTTTTCAAGAAGCAAAAATACATTTAAATACGTAACTCCTCCATACCCTTGATCGTATATTTTAAATTACAATGAAAATAAAATGCAAGTACAGCAGCTACTATATAAACAAAATTAATGTCAAATGAAATACAATAGTATAAAATCTCACCAACCAGCTAGCTGGTAAGTCTGACTTTGAGAATGTTTGCACTGAAGTACATGATATGGTAAAATGAGTATACTATGGCCTAGCAGGATGGGAGCAGTAAGCTGGAAGTGGGATCAGGGAGGCTTGCATGGAAAGCAAGAGCCATTCGAACAAAGGAAAGTCATTTTTTTCTTTTTCTTTCTTTCTTTTTTTTTTTTTTTTGAGATGGAGTCTTGCTCTGTTATCCAGGCTGGAATGCAGTGGTGTGGTCTCAACTCACTGCAACCTCCGCCTCCTGGGTTCAAGCAATTCTCCTGCCTCAGCCTCCCGACTAGCTGGGAATAGAGGCATGTCCCACCACAGCTGGCTGATTTTTTTTGTATTTTTAGTAGAGATGGGGTTTCACCGTGTTAGCCAGGATGGTCTCAATCTCCTGACCTCGTGATCCACCCGCCTCGGCCTCCCAAAGTGCTGGGATTACAAGCGTGAGCCACCATGCCCGGCCCTATTTTTTTTTTTTTTTTTTTACTAATGAAAACCTGATGAGGTAAAGGTCCCCATGTCAAGTATCTCACCATCTAGTCAAGGAGGCAATGAAAAAAGGAATTAAATGACAATATAGACAAAAATATAGGGCATTTCCTGATCCAAGCAACCAATGGCACAGAGACCAAAAAAAAAAAAGCTACAGGAAAAAATAGCTACGATTTCATACAAAATAGTTGATTTGGATCTCAAATACAACCAGCAGCAGGCACCCAACAAAGCCTTGTGCTATTCTTCCTCTCTCCCACCCCCCTCTGCCAGATACCATATTTTGGAAGATTATATCAAACAATTAATTAAATGACAAAGGTGTACTCCTATTTTGGGTAAAGATACAAACAAGAATCAGTATGAGAGAAGATACTGACTATGTAATTTGAAAATAAAAGGCACTAAAACATTTTAACTATTTCATTTTATTCTGAATAAACACAAGGTTTCTCTAAGACTTTTCCTGTTTTGTTTTTTTTTTTTGAGACGGAGTCTTGCTCTGTCACGCAGGCCGGAGTGCAGTAGCGCGATCTCGGGTCACTGCAACCTCCACCTCCTGGGTTGAAATGATTCTCCTGCCTCGGCCTCCCGAGTAGCTGGGATTACAGGCATGCGCCATCATGCCTGGCTAAATTCTGTATTTTTAGTGGAGACAGGGTTTCACCATGTTACTCAAGCTGGTCTTGAACTCCTTTTAGTGATAGAAATACCACATCATCTCCTCTGGGCCCTAGGAGGTGTGACAAACTCAGGACGGAGCCCAGAAGAGCCCACTAGACATGGCAGTGACTCAGGTAAATGGAACACCACCCATTATAAACACAGCACCCAAAAGGAGTACAGATGCACTTTTTAATTTTTTTTTAAGAGACAAGGTCTCACTCTGTCACCCAAGCTGGAGTATAGTGGCACAATCATAGCTCACTGCAGCCTCTAACTCCTGGACTTAAGCAATCCTCCCACCACAGCCTCCCAAGTAGCTGGGGCAACAGGTGTACACAGCTAGTTTTTTAAATTTTTATTCTGTAGAGATGAAGTCTCCCTATGTTGCCCAGGCTGGTCTCGAACTCCTGTCCTTGAACAATCCTCCCACTCACACCTCCCAAAGTGCTGGGATTACAGGTGTGAGCCACTGTGCCCCACCCCAAATACACTTTACGACCATATCATCAATACAGAGAATGAGGGATTCAGATGCAATAAATATGAAAACCTTGTCTTTCAGCATTCAATTCCAAAGAGCACAAACTAACTACTCTGACCAAAAATGGGTGACTAACTCTTCTAACTCTATTTTTACCAGCTCCTACAAAATAAGAAATTGTTGATAGTCACAAAAGTTTACAATCTGTTTAAAAATATCTAGTGTATGATCACTTATTTAATGATTTTATAAATCCCAGTCACAAAAATGAACTGATCCCTTTACTTCACAAGCCAAAAATGCCAAACCATTTCATCATTAAAAAAAAAAAAAAAAAAAAAAAAAAAGACTGAAGGGCAAAGTGGCTCACATCTATAATCTGAGCACTTTGGGAGGCCAAGGTAGGCAGACTGCTTGAGCCCATGAGTTCAAGACCAGCCTGAGCAACATGGTGAAACCGTATCGCTACAAAAAATACAAAAATTAGCTGGGCAGGGGTGTACACCTATAGTCCCAGCTATTCGGGAGGCTAAGGTGGAGAAATTGCTTGAGCCTGGGAGGTAGAGGCTGCAGTGAGCCAAGATCACTGCACTACAGCCTGGGCAATAAGAGTGAGACCTTGTCTCCAAAAAAAAGACTAAGAAATCAAATAGACACAAGATGAAGCAGAAGAACATTAGTTCATACTCTAGAACTTTCCAAAAACTCTCATTAACAAAAAGAAAGCTGTTTTAAAATGAACTACATTCCTCCTTTTTTTTGAGACATGGTATCACTCTACGTCCAGTGGTGTGACCGCCTTGAGACCTCCTGGGCTCAAGGAATCCTCTGCTTTATCCTCCCAAGTAACTGGGACTACAGGTGCACACCAACATGCACAGCTAACTTTTTTAGTTTTTCTTTTGTAGAGATGGTTTTGCTATGTGCATCAGGCTGGTTTTGAATTCCTGGCCTCAAGCAATCCTCCCACCTCAGCCTCAAGAGGTGTTGGGATTACAGGTGTGAGCCGAGGCGCCCAGCCTGCACGCCTCTCTTACTGGGAAAGAACGATGATCTCTCATTCTACTTCTCTTTTGCTTACTATTGTCCGGCAAGTGCCTTTTAATTAGCTGCCTTACAAATGCCATGGAAAGTACCTTTGCCCTTAATGATGGCTAATCAAAGAAAAACTATGTTATAGAGTGAATTTCTGGAAAGTGATGACTCCTGGAAGAATGACCAATCTTACGCTGTCATCATCCTCATGAGTGGCAGGTGCAGTCAGGCTCAGGTATCCCCCACAACCCAAAATCGCTGAGGGCTCCTCCAACCTTTGGCTCACAGAGATACTTAAGCACTTGAACAACTTAAAATCTCACTGCCAAGTCTGGTACCAATGTGAGAAGTAATTCTATAGTCACTTTAAATAAATCATTCAGATAGCAGCTAAGAACAATGTGTTACCTAAACCAGTAACATGATACACATAAAAGCAGACTTAGAACAATTACCATCATCTTGATTAATCTTATGATTGAAATGTTTAATCATTCATTTCACTTGTAATCATTATCTTTTATCACTGACCAAACATGCAGTTTTAATGCCCCCTTCTATTATTTATATTGGACATTTTAGGGTTACACTCTACAGTTACATTATACATTTCATTGGAATTTTAAATAAGTCCTTAAATTTTAAAAAGCTAATCACTATATTCACATCTGCCCTATTTGCATAAAGAAACACTAGAAGGATTCATACAAAATTAATACAAGCAGTTACTTATGTGGTGGGACACAAGGGTGACAACAGAGGAACGGGGTGGGCCTTCTCAACGGACATCTTTCTACACTGTTTGGAATTTTGAGCCAACTGAGTATAATGCCTATTCAAAGCAAACTTATTTATACAGAAGCCTCCTGAAAATTTTATCACCTACTATACGAATGAATTACCCTGTCAAAATTCTGTGTTTTCAGTTTACATAGAAAGAGGCATACAGACCAATACAGTTGATGTTATTTTTAATCCCATATATGAGTATATTGGGTAACATGTACTCTGAACTCACAGATTCTTGTTTTAAAAAATAAGACTTTGGTTTTTCATTTGTTTTTTAAATCTTAAGGATTCAGGCTTGGGAATACAAGGTGCACCTCCCCTCCTGATAATTCATTTCTAAGACTCTCAACACATATTTTGGCCCTGCTGCCTAAACCAGTACTAAGTCCTGAATAATATCTTTAACGTGCTAAACCAATTGAGTTAATCCACAGTCAAAACTACAGCTTTCCTAGCACTCATCCACTCAAGAGAGACAGCAGGAATGTAGGAGTACACATAACCAGAGTGAAAAACAAAAGAGGCAAGGAAGAGACTGACTGGCTTCCATCTTCCTCTACATTCTGAACAGGTTAGAAAGACTTTCACCTTCTCCCGGAGGTCTGCCTTCATCTAAACCAAGATAGCAACTTCCTGTTCCCTGGTCCCTAGCAGCATTTACATACCCCTTCCTGAATTATTTTCTACAGCACACCTAGCTTTTCAATGACATAATTTGTGTTACTATTTTAAATGCCTTAAAACCACAGTTACCCACAGGGAACTAATTTGTCTGCCTGTGCTCTCCAAAACTCCAGCCCACAGCCACCTTGACATTTGGTAGTCATGCCTCACACCCGAGGATGATCAAGGAAAAGTGTACATTTGGCCAGGCGTGGTGGCTCACGCCTAATCACAGTACTTTGGGAGGCCAAGGTGAGCAGATCACGAGGTCAAGAGACCAAGACTATCCTGGCTAAGATGGTGAAACCCCATCTCTACTAAAAATACAAAAAATTAGCTGGGTGTGGTGGCATGTGCCTGTAGTCCCAGCTACTCGGGAGGCTTAGGCAGGAAAATCGCTTAAACCGGGGAGGCAGAGGTTGCAGTGAGCTGGAGCTGCACTCCAGCCTGGGCGACAGAACAAGACTCTGTCTCAAAAAAAAAAAAAATGCAAAATTATTTTAAGATTTTTAAGAATGATGTGCAAAAATAACAGATCCCACACCAATTATACATATTTGGAATTCCATACCACTCCATCTTTATATTAGTTAATAAAATCTAATTTTTTATTTTATTTATTTATTTATTTAGAGACAGCGTCTCGCTCTGTCACCCAGGCTGGAGTGCAGTGGCACAATCTCGGCTCACTGCAATCTCTGCCTCCCGGGTTCAAAAGATTCTCCTGCCTCAGCCTCCCACATAGCTGGGATTATAGGCACCCGCCACCACGCCCAGCTAATTTTTGTATTTTAGTAGAGACAGGGTTTCACTATGTTGGCTGGGCTGGTCTCAAACTACTGAACTCAGGTGATCTGCCCGCCTCAGCCTCCCAAAGTGCTGGGATTACAGGTGTGAGCTACCGCACCCAGCCCTAATCTAACCCATAAATCAGAATTAAATTCACAAAAGACATGACATTGAAATATAAATACCTTCACAAATGAAACTTGAGGGAGTTCTTTAGCTAACTCTGCCATAACTTCGTTCATCTGTGCACACTGTGGAGCCCATGGTGCCCAGAAATGGACCACAAGGAGGGACCTGTAAATCAATTAAATGCATTTATTTAAAATTATACCAATTTTGGAAATACACAAATACTGATATAAATTACCAAAAAGAAAAAAAAGAAAGCTTTAAAAGAACCGTCTGAAGTTTTTCATATTGCTAGAATTTTGTTGTATACAACACTGGAACATAAAAGCACTCTGCAAGGTCTTGAGACTCTTTCAGATAAATTTTCAATTCAATGATATTTCAAGTGAAGCCCATTTGAAGTAGATCTGAATATTCATCCACCTCAATTAAAAGTCATGTAAATCACTGTTGGTGGGAGTGTAAATTAGTTCAACCATTGTGGAAGACAGTGTGGCAATTCCTCAAGGATCTAGAACCAGAAATACCATTTGACCCAGCAATCCCATTACTGGGTATATACCCAAAAGATTATAAATCATTCTACTATAAAGACACATGCACACATTATGTTATTGCAGCACTATTTACAATATCAAAGACTTGGAACCAACCCAAATGCCTGTCAATGACAGACTGGATAAAGGAAATGTGGCACATATATACCATGGAATACTATGCAGTCATAAAAAGGAATGAGTTCATGTCCTTTGCAGGGACATGGATGAAGCTGGAAGCCACCATTCTCAGTAAACTAACACAGGAACAGAAAAACAAACATTGCATGTTCTCATTCATAAGTGGGAGGTGAACAATGAAACCACACGGACACAGGGAGGGGAACATCACATACCAGGGCCTGTCAGGGGGTGGGGGGCAAGGGGAGAGAAAGCATTAGGACAAATACCTAATGCATGCAGGGCTTAAAACCTAGATGATGGGTTGATAGGTGCAGCAAACCACCATGGCACATGCATACCTATGTAAGAAACCTGCACATTCTGCATATGTATCCCAGAACTTAAAGTAAACGAAAAAAAAAAAAAAAAAGCCAGGCAAATCAACCATATTTTCAGACCCCTGGGCAAAGTGGAAACTGAATTTCTGTATTAATGGCACAATGTTTGTGAAAAATGGTTGTAGACACATTACTAATAATATCATTATTTACTTTTTAAATGTGGTATAGTGATGGAGAGACATAACCGTGACCATAGAAACAGCAGTAAGTGTTGAAAATGAAGGCATGCCAGTGCAAAACGAGGAAAAGAATAGAACTGCTTTTCACAAAGACTTTTTTTTATACTTTTTAATATTATGCTACAAAAGATTTTTCTAGACCCAGAGCAGTGGCTCACACCTGTAATCCCAGCACTTTGGGAGGCCGAGGCAGGCAGATCACTTGAGGTCGGCAGTTCGAGACCAGCCTGGCTAATGTGGTGAAACCCCAACTCTACTAAAAGCACAAAAAATTAGCCGGGTGTGTTGGTGCATGCCTGTAATCCCAGCTACTCAGGAGGCTGAGGCAGAAGAATTGTTTGAACCCAGAAGGCAGAGGTTACAGTGAGCTGAGATCACACCACTGCACTGCAGCCTGGATGGCAGAGCAAGACTCTGCCTCAAAAAAAAAAAAAAGATTTTTCTAGGCCAGGCAAGGTGGCTCATGCCTGTACTCAGCATTCTGGCAGACTAAGGTGGAAGGATTACTTGAGCCCAGGGGGTCGAGGCTGTAGTGAGCCATGATCATACCACTACACTCCAGTGTGGGCAACAGAGCAAGACCCATTTAAAAAAAAAAAATTCTAAACATTTATAGTATGAACACACAGAATATATTAATAACTCAGTATCTATTTTAGTTAGTTTTCACACAAAATTATCTTGGCAAAGATATCTATGGTCATATCCAACTAAAAAATCCTTCAGTTTTATGGAATTCTGTTCAAATATAATACCACCTCCCAAAAAAATCTGAAAAATCACGAACAGAAATATGTTCCATGGCAAAAAGAACCAAGGACAACTAACCTATGGGTAAGGAAAGGAATAACAAACTGTAAAAACTGATCAAATAATACCAGCGAGAAGAGAATAAGCCTACAATAAAGTGTCAGGAAAGCAGAAGCAAAGAGCAGCATGAGGATTTCGAAGGTAGAAGGGGCAGGATTTGGTGACAGATAAGGCAGTCTACAGCTGGCTCCAAGTTCTGGCTTAGAGACTGATGGCTAGTGGTGGCACTATGCCTCAAATCATAGTGCAGAAGCTGCCAACCTGAGGAAAGGAAGTTTAATGGGTTGTTAGTATGATGTCTAGAGCTCAGGGAAGAAGTCTGCACCTGATATACAGATTTGGGAATCAAGAAAGGAACAGTGCCAGCACCACACCGCAAAGGGTTACAGAGGGACACAGAGGAGACCCGAGGTCAGCGCCTCAGGGGGCTTATCAACATTAAGTTAGGACAGATGGAGGAGAAGGAACTTATGTAGTAAAGCAGAGAAGGGGTCCTAGGCGGTACTGGAAGATTAAGGGGTCCTAGGCGGTACTGGAAGATTGAAGGGTCACATAGAAGTCAAGAGAAGAGTGTCAAGAGGGAGTGACAATCATCCAATGCAACAGGAAAGGGCAACTAACAGAGAGAGTACCTTCAATGGAATAGCAGAAGCACAGGTCAGACTGCAGTCCACTGAGGACTGAAGTGAAGATGAGGAAGCAGAGATGTACTCTAAGAGATCTGTACAGGCAGAGAAAAAGACAAAATCAAGGGATGGGCCTTTTTAATACAAGAAAATCCTTATATGTTTATTTTACTAGGGGATAGTGCAAATGGAGAGGGAAGGGCCGTAGACACAAGACAGCTGAGGATGCAAGGACTCAGAAGAGGCAGGAGAGGGGAAATCCAGAGCAGAGAAGAGCTTACCTTGAAGAAGAAGAAGGCAGTCTCCTCTGAGTCAGGAGCCAAGGAATTAAGAATGGGTAAGGCTACAAATAAATGGTAAGTGTTGGGAGAGGTGAGAGTGGAAGGAGGGCTTGGGGAGATGCTACCTGAAATCCTGTTTTCTCTCAGGTGGGAAGCAAGGTCATTTATCAAAGCATAGGAAAACAGAGGGCAAGACCACTGGTAGGACTGATGAAGGGAGAGTGTCCACAGGCACACAAGGAAAGCAGGAAGCTCCAAATGAAGACCCACCTAAGGCAGGGAAGGACACATTGTAGGAGCCCCTAGTCACCGGATGTTAATTTGCATCCAGCACAACTCAGCAGCTTCAATGGTTGAGTAGGTGGGGCCTCAGGTCCACGGCAGAGACTGTGCTGTTTCAATCAAGCACTGTTTCATCTTCCTCCTGTGCATTCAGCTAGATTACATTTTTCAGTCTTCCTTGCAGTTGTCTGGGGCCCTGGAACTGAATTCTGGCCCTAAAACTAGAACACAGGCCTGACCCCTCAAAACCCTCCCTCAGGAGCCTCTGCCCACCATAGCCTCCAGCAATGAAGAGGATCCAGGGAAGCTTTTTTGTCCATTGCCTAAGGATGGCAAGAACAAAACAGAGGTTCACAGAGGCCTCATGCAAGAATGCTCACAGCAGCCCTATACATAATAAATCAAAACTGGAAATTAGCCAAATGTCCGCCAACAGGAGAAAGTGATAGACATTCATACAACAGAATGTAACTTACCAGTAAAAAGGAACCAACCACAGACATGAGCAATGACACAAATGAAGCTTGAAAATATGTGAGCAAAAGATAACACAGACAAAGAACTGTATGATTCTACTCACACAAAGTCCAAGAGCAGGGAAAACTCATCTACAGTGACAGTAAGAAATCAGTAGCTGGGCTAAAGGGGATGGAAAACTTCCTGGGTTCTATATTCTTCCTGTGAATGGTGGTTATCGGTGTGTATACAATTGTGAAAATTCACCACATCTGACGATTAAGATCTGTGCATTGTTACTGTATGTAATACTTCAATTTCTTTTTAAAGCTGGGATACCATTTTCCACCAAATTGACCAAAAAAAAAATTTTTTTTTTCTTTTTTTGAGACAGGGTCTTACTCTAATGCCCAGTCTGGAGTGCAAGGCAAGTGCAGCCTCGACTTCCTGGGCTCAGGTGATCCTCCCACCTCAGCCTCCCAGACTACAGGCATATTTTGTTCTTTGTAAAGTTGGGCTTTGGCCAATGACCAGGCTGGTCTCAAACTCCTGGGCTCAAGCAATCAATCTGCCTGCATTCGCCTCTCAAAGTGCTGGGATTACAGTCATGAGCCACCGTGCCCAGCCAACAAAAGGACTGTTTAAATCATAATATTCAATGATAAAAAGGATGACGAGAAGTACTTTCATGTCCTGCTGGTAAAAATTAAATTGGGACCTTTCAGAAATTTCTTACACATAAGTATCAATCCTAAGGAAGTAATTAAGAGACAAAGATTTTCTGTACATGGATATTTTCCCACTACTTTACGTAGCAAATCAGAAAAATTTCTGATGCTCAATAATAGTTTTTAAATGGTCATAAGAAAACATAAAGCCATTACAAATCAAATTTTCAAAGAACTTTCAACGCCACAGGAAAATACTAATATAACTACATTTTTCAAAAATTAAAGTAGGTTACCAAACTTTATAATAGTATGAGCCCAAATAAGTAAAAAAGAAAAGAAGAAAGTATGCCATAGAAACTGAATTCATTTCAGTTTCATTATTACTAACATGGTTTTGAAGAGTAATTTAACTTCCACATCTGTAAAACAGCAATAACCAACACTCTGGGATGTTGAGAAGATGAAACAAAAATATAAAACATTTGAAAACATTAAAACATGATATTGTTAGTTGAAATTATCCACAATATTCTCCTATTTAATGCTTACCTTCCATTTCTCAATTAAGCACATAATGTCCAATATTATAAGGACATACTATATCTGAAACAAATATAAACGTTATCCCCTTTTGGATTACATGTTACAGTATTCTTTCCATCTTAATGGATAGCCCCATATGCCTGGAGCATTGTTGGAGAAAAACCATCAGACAAAAACCACATTCAAATCCTGACTAATGTAACTTTAGACAATGTAATAAACTTCAGCTCTTCATCAGCAAATAGTTGTTTTTCAATTATTATAGTATTCTGCTACTACATTCATCTGCAGATACCAGCTACTGCTTATTAAACATATCATATACTAAACCTGCTTACTCTGCAAATGGATATTAATAACCCCATTGTACAAACCAGCTGAGATTTCAGCAACTTATGTAAATATCTGATTCAACTACTTAAAAGAAAAAAATTTCAATTCATGTCAAATTTTAAAATTGGAGAAGCGATGATTTGGAAAGTAGATTTAAAATTATTACATCAACACAAGTACTAAAATTCGGGCACTTTTTGTTTTTTGAGACAGGGTCTCACTCTGTCACCCAGGCTGGAGTACAGTGGCAGGATCATAGCTCACCGCAGCTTGGAACTCCTGGGCTCAAACAATCCTCCCACCTCAGCCTCCTGAGTAGCTGGGGACTACAGGCATGCATCACCATGCCTGGCTACTTTTTTTATTTTTTGTAGAGATGGGTTCTATGTTGTTCAAGCTACTCTCAAACTCCTGGCCTCAAGCCATCCTCCCAAAGTGCTGGGTTTGCTGGTGTAAGCCACCATGATATTCTTTTTTTGGTTTTTTTTTTTTTGAGATGGAGTCTTCGTCTGTCGTCCAGGCTGGAGTGCAGTGCCACGATCTTGGCTCACTGCAAGCTCCGCCTCCCAGGTTCATGCCATTCGCCTGCCTCAGCTTCCCGAGTAACTGGGACTACAGGCACCTGCCACCATGCCTGGCTAATTTTTTGTATTTTCTTTAGTAAAGACGGGGTTTCACCGTGTTAGCCAGGATGGTCTCGATCTCCTGACCTCGTGATCCACCCACCTCGGCCTCCCAAAGTGCTGGGATTACAGGCGTGAGCCACCGCGCCCGGCCTAATATTCTTAAATGTCTCCATCTTCACCAAAAAAGCTGCAGAAATGTGCTCCTTCCCCAGATGCCACACATCATTTATCACGTGTCCGTTTGAACTAGTCACTAAGGAAAGTGCACATTGTTTCCTGGGCCATTTCAAGTACAGGCCAGCGGCAAGGATACAACATCCAAATGGTACTTACATTTAAACTTTTATCCATTTTGGCCGGGCGCAGTGGCTCATGCCTGTAATCCCAGCACGCTGGGAAGCGGGCCCATCACCTAAGGTCAGGAGTTCAAGACCAGCCTGGCCAACATGGTGAAACCCATCTCTACTAAAAATGCAAAAATTAGCCAGGCGTGGTGGCGGGCACCTGTAATCCCAGCTACTCAGAAGGCTGAGGCAGGAGAATCATTTGAACCCGTGAGGCAGAGGTTGCAGTGAGCCAAGATTGTGTCACTGCACTCTACTCCAGCCTGGGCAACAGAGAGAGACTCTGTCTCCCCCCCAAAAAAAAAAAAAAAAAAAAACACTTTTATTCATTTTGATAGTTTAAGGACTTTTTAAAACATGAAGCATTTAAAACAAACATGTAAAACAGACAAAACAGCCTTTCAGGTGATGGTAAATTCAAAACGTTTACTTAGGGCAGGTCCACACAAGACCTGCTCATTTCAAGAGGCCACTTCTGGTGACTCCTGTGATTGTGCTGATCTGTACTGGATGAGTCAGAGCCCAGCTTCCATCAGTGAGTAAATGTCACATGTCCCTCCCCAACCCCTGCTTTTTTCCGTAACAATTTCCCAGGTAAACCTGAAATGCCTAAAGAGCTGTTTAAATAACACTTTAATTTCATCACCCCCATAAAGCATTTCTAACCATTAGTCAGTAACTCGCACCCCTCCCCATTTCCAAAGGCAACACCCCATCTCACCTGCACTCTCCATTGCAAAATCAGAGTACTACTTGCCTCTAATTCAAATTCAGTCGGCAAAATTTCACTCAATTTAGATCAACAGGGCAGGTCACGGGGGCTCAAGCCTGTAATCCCGATACTTTACAAGGCCGAGGCAGGCGAATCACTTGAGCTCAGGAGTTCCAGAGACCAGCCTGGGCAACATGAGGAAACCCTGCCTCTACGAAAAATACACAAATTAGCCCAGCGTGGTGGACCGCACGTGTAGTCCCAGATACTCAGGAGGCTGAGGTGGGAGGATCGCTTGAACCCAGGAGGTAGAGGCTGCAGTGAGCCGAGATCACGCCACTGCACTCAGCCTGGGCAACAGAGCAACAGCCTGTCTCGAAAACAAACAAAACAAAATTTAGATCAATAAGCATTTCTGGCCGGACGTGGTAGCTCACACCTGTAATCCCAACCCTTTGGGAGGCTGAGGAGGGCAGATCGCTCGAGTCCAGAAGGTCGAGACGAGGCTGGGCAACATGGCGAGACCTCGTCTCTATAAAAAAAAATAAAAATTAGACGGGCGTGGTGGTGAGCACCTGTGGTCCCAGCTACTCGGGAGGATGAGGTGGGTCGATCACTTGAGCCTGGGAGGCGGAGGCTGCAGGGAGCCGTGATCGCTCCACTACACTGCAGCCTGGGTGACAGAGCCAGACCCTGTCTCAAAAACAAAACAAAACAAAGCTTTTTGCCTGTGAATTCCATGAACCATTCTACTTCCTACTGAAATACTAAGTGCCAACATCTACTGAGTGCTTCCTGCATACTAGGCATTGTATTATTTGTATTTTACATACGTCATCTCATTTAACCCTCACAACAACCCTGAGGTACTAACAGGTGCTAATCTATGTCACCGTCGGGAAACTGAGGCTTGGGCATGAAACGTGCCCAGGGGTTACATGGCTACTGAGTGGCTGCGGTGGGACTGGATCCCAGGCAATCCGACATAAGAGTTCCCATAACAACCGCTAATAATACAACTAAGAGAACAACTCAGTCCTTGGAGTAGTCTACAATGTGAGGTGGTATTATCACGGAGAGTCCACGTGCAGACCTTTCCCTGCAGGCACGCACGCTAGTAAGCATTTACTCGTAAGCATGCTTGCAGTTCAGAGCTTCTAGTCCACCCAGAAAACGCTTTCTATGCATTCCTCTGGATCTCCTTTTGTAGTCTTCCCAGGGATTGAAGACCTGGACACCGGCGCCAAATCTGAACAGACTCTCACTACACCAGTTCATGGAACAGGAAATCTCTGTCTCCGGCAACAGGTTAAGTCTGAAGACTGAGGCTACCTGCTGTCCAACAAACTTTAAAGGCTGACTTCAAAAGGCAGCCAGGCCTAGCTAATGCAACGGGGCCTTCCCTCGCCGCTCTTCCTGCGACAGGGGCGTTCCTGAAGGGAGGCTGAAGAGCAATGGGCCGACGCCGAGCCTGCCGCTCCCTCCCGGCGGGCACAGGAAAGGTGGAGCCCGCAGCCGTGGGTCCCGCTCCGTGGCGCGGAGGGCCGGGGTCTCGGCGCCGCCCCGTCCCCCGCCCCGCCACTGCGGCACGGCTGAGTCACCACCGCCTCCGTCCCGCGGCGGGGCCGCCCAGGCCAGAGGCCGGGAAGGTCGCGTCCCCCGGGCTTGGACAGCCGTCGGGGTCGGAGCCAGGGCTGGGGCCGGGGCTTCCAGGCGAGCCTCGCGCCCTGCTCGCTGTTCCGGGGCGGGGAACCTGCGGCTCGGGCCACTCACGCGGAGGCTCGGGGGAGTCTACGGGTGGCGCCGGGCCCGGTCCCCCGAGGCCGAAGGGAGCCGGGCACCAAGAAGCCAGGCTGGGCCACCCGCCGCCCCACACCGGCCCGGTCTCGCGGCCGCTCCCGCTCCGGCTCCTCACTCCTACCGCTCGCCGCCCCGCTTACTTGGCTTTGAGGCGCAGCAGCTCCTCAAACTGCCCGGCTGAGCCGACCTCCTCCACGGCCGCTACAGCTGCCTCAGCCGCCCCCGCCGCCATGCTGCCGCCGCCAGACAGAAGCAATCCAGTGCCGGCGGCCGGATGTGGGCGGGGCCACGGGGAGCTGAGCGGCTGCGCGAGGGAAAGCCCCGCCCCTGCCTGCGCTGAGGCTGCCGAGCCTGAGAAATCCCAAAAGGGGCCTCGGCGGCGGGCTCTGGATCCCGCTGGGGGGCTCTGACCCTGCCAAGTCTGGGCACTCCGCTGCGGGCCTCCTGGCTCCCGGGGTTCATGGCTGTTATGGTTCCTGGCTGTCGGGGCTCCTGGCTTTCGGGGCTCCCTGGCTGAAGGGGCTCCTGGCTGTAGGGGCTCCTGGCTATGGAGGTTCCCGGTTATAAGGGCTTCTGGATGTAGTGGATTCTGGCCGTCGAGGTCCCTGGCTGTCGGGGCTCCTGGCCGTAATGGCCCCTGGCTGTCGGGACCCCTGGGTGTCGGGGTTCCTGGCTGTCGGGACCCCTGGGTGTCGGGGTTCCTGACTGTAGGGGCTCCTGGGTGTTAGGGTTCCTGGCTATAGCAGGGGCTCCTGGGTGTCGGGGTTCCTTGCTGTCAGGGCTCCTGGTGGTAGAGGCTTCTTGCTGTTGGCTTCCTGGCTGTCGGGGTGACTGGGTGTCAGGGCTCCTGGTGTTAGGGTTCCTGGCTTCCTGGCTGTAGTAGGGGCTCCTGGGTGTCGGGGTTCCTTGCTGTCAGGGCTCCTGGTGGTAGAGGCTTCTGGCTGTTGGGGTTCCTGGGTGCCAGGGCTCCTGGGTGTCAGGGTTCCTGGCTGTCAGGACACCTGACTCCTGAGGCTCCTGGCTTTTGGGGCTCCAGACCTTCCTTGCACTTCCTGTGTCTCCTGGGTCTGTAATAGAAGGGGCCGGTGGAGGGGTGGGGGTGAGACATGTGAGTGAAAGTGAAGTCAGATGTGTACATTTAGGAAGCTGAAATTATCAAAAATGAAATTGCATAAAGGTGAGGAAGAACTGGGAGGTCTGGGAACAGAAGTGGTAGATCTTGAACTTCAACACAGACAGGGTGCTTCCAATTCAGTCCTGGGACCTGAACCCGGAGCCCACAGCATGTCCCTCCTCCCCTGGCCCTCCGCGCGTGCCGCCACTCATTGCAGCCCCACAGAGCCATCACCCATTGTAACCTCAGAACAGAAGGGGCTGGGTGGGTCCACAGATCCCTGCACTCCTCCCGTCTTGCCTCCTTGGATGATCCCTGGCTTGTCTTTCTCCCTTGGGAATCCCCCTGATGTTGGCTCTCCATGTGGTGTACTCTGTACCCCACACCCCATGCTTCCCACACACCTTCTGGCCTGAGTAATCTCCATGCCCCCAGTGACATCAACCTCCAGGGAAACCTCAATAGCAAGCCCAGAACCCTCCCCTGCATCCCAGAGCCTAGCATCCACTAACTTTGAGGAGGGGCCATCTTTTATTGGATATCCCCAAACCACACTGGGCCTTCCCTCCAAAGTGCCTCTCCTCTTGGTTCCCATCTCAGGGAACACCATCGCTCCCACCCAGACACTTGGGGCTCCTTCTGACTGGTCCCCCTGCTGTCCCTGGGCTTTGAGGCCAAGCCCCCACAGAGCCTTCCCTACTAGCCAGGTGTTCCCAGGCCTCCTTTGCTTGCTTCTACCGTGGCCTGTCTCATGTTGTAGAACTGTGCTTGTCCTCCATTGGCCTGTGTTCTTAAAGGGCAGGAGCTGATCTGTGTCTCAGTGCCTGGATCAGAGTCAGACACATAGGAGGTACTCAGTCCATGCTAACAGCTGCCAGAGGACTGGGCTCACTGGATTGCAAAGACTTCGTACGAGAAAAGTAGCATATCATTCATACTTTTTATATTGATTACATGTTGAAATGAGGATATTTGGATATATTCGGTTTTCTGAAATATATTATTTAAATTGGTCTCTTTTACCTTTGGCTCCTGAGAAATGTCTAATTTCATAGGCAACTTTCATTCGTGGCCCTTGAATTTTCTTGGGCAGCACTACTGTGGTGTTTAAAAGCCTTTTGGAGCCTGTCACATGTATACCTCACCTGGAGAAATACATGGTATTGAACACGGTAAATTGTGTTATTTAAAATGCAACAGGAGAGTGATGAGGAACCATTTTGTATCTTGCCTGTGGTGGTGAGAACACAAACTAAACATGATAAAATTGTATAGAACTTGGCTGGGTGCTCTGACTCACACCTGTAATCCCAACAATTTGGAAACCCCAGACAGGAGGATCACTTGAGCCGAGGAGTTGGAGACCAGCCGGGCAACATAGGAAGACCCGGTCTCTACAAAAATATATATATATATATGAGTCAGGCATGGTGGCTCACACTTGTGGGCCCAGGTAGGTGAGAGGCTGAGGTGAGAAGATCACTTGAGCCTGGGAGTTGGAGGCTGCAGTGAGCCATGATCCTGCCACTGCTACTGCCCACTAACCTGGGCGACAGAGCAAGACCCTGTCTCAAAAACAAAAACAACGCACACACACACACACACGCATGCACGCGCGCACGAGTACAAGTAAAACTGGGAAAATCTGAAAAAGATCAGTCGATTGTTTATAAATATCAACATCCTGGTTGCAGTATTACAGTTTTGCAAGGTGTTGTCATCGGAAGAAAGTGTACACAGGATCTGTATTATTTCTCACAACTGCATGTGAATCTACAGTTGTTTTAAACTAAAAAGTTTAGTTAAAAACCATGTAAATAAGACTTTAAAGTTTACTATGAAAAGAATGCAATAGGAGGGAAAAAAGACACCATGTCAAAAAAAAAGAAAAAGATACCATGTCATAAAACAAGATACACATTCTGGTTATCACTTTTTTTCTTTTCTTTTCTTTGAGATGGAGTTTTGCTCCTGTTGGCCAGGCTGGAGTGCAATGGCGTGATGTCGGCTCACCGCAACCTCCACCTCCCGGGTTCAAGCGATTCTCCTGCCTCAGCCTCCCAAGTAGCTGGGATTACAGGTGTGTGCCACCACGCCCGCCTAATTTTGTATTTTTAGTAGAGACGGAGTTTCTCCATGTTGGTCAGGCTGGTCTCGAACTCCTGACCTCAGGTGATCCGCCCGCCTCGGCTTCCCAAAGTGCTGGGATTGCAGGTGTGAGCCACTGTGCCCGGCCTGTGATTATCATTTTTAAGTAGAATTGAATGTAAATAAAACATATAACTATATCAGTGAATGGCTCATAGAAAAGGGTCTCCAGAAGGATGCTCCCCAAATTATTATCAGAGCTTGCCTCCAGAGGGCAGAAACAGAGGAGAGCTAAAGGGAGGCCCTTCACTTTGACTTACACACTTCTTTGTGTCATTTGCTTGTTTTCTAATAGCATAGACTGCTTTTGACATTTAAAAAATAATGAAATTGTATTGCACAGGGGAAATGTGCTATAGTGAATCCTTTTCAAAAAAAAAAGCAGTAATCACCCCTCAAATGTGGCTGTTTTATAAATGCTGATTTTTCTTTTATTTTTTATTTTTTGAGACGGAGTCTTGCCCTGTCACCCAGACTGGAGTGCAGTAGCGCGATCTGAGCTCACTGCAAGCTCCGCCTCCCGGGTTCATGCCATTCTCCTACCTCAGCCTCCCGAGTAGCTAGGAATAGAGGCGCCTGCCACCACGCCCGGCTAATTTTTTGTATTTTTAGTAGAGATGGGGTTTCACCGTGTTAGCCAGGATGGTCTCGATCTCCCGACCTCGTGATCCGCCCACCTCGGCCTCCCAAAGTGCTGGGATTACAGGCGTGAGCCACCGCCCCCGGCCCGCTGATTTTTCTTTTAAATGGAATTTGCTGAAAGTGGCACAAACCAGTTGCAGAGCAGACTCTAAAAAAAATGCTATGAAAACTCCTGGATAACACTTCCATTTCTGCCCTTTTTGTAGTTTATTATTGTAGGGGCCACAGGAAAGCTTCTCCTTAGCCCTCTGATGGTTTGCTGAAAATCACTGACAAAAGGCAGATTAATAGGAGAAAAGATAAACAAATTTATTTGATCACAGTTTCACGTGACACGTGAAGACTCAAAGATACAGGGAAAACTGTCCATTTGTATGCTTAGGTTCAACGAAGTATGGACAGTTATGTAGAAATACGATTGGACAAAATGGGTATGCTCTTATGCTAGCAGAACTCACTGGGGGCTTTGCAGATGCTGACGCCCCCCAGAACCCCCTGCTACCAGCCATGGTCAATCCCACCATGTTCTTCAACATGGCCGTCAATGGCAAGCCCTGGGGCCATCAAACAGCCCTTCGAGCTGTTTGCAGACAAGATTCCAAAGACAGCAGAACACTTGCATGCTCTGAGCACTGGAGGGAAAGGATTTTGTCATGAGGGTTCCTGCTTTCACAGAATTATTCCAGGGCTTATGTGTTAGGGTGGTGGCTTCACACGCCGTAATGGCGCTGGTGGCAAGTCCATCTACAGGGAGAAATTTGATGATGAAAACTGTAGCCTGAAGCATACAGGTCCCGGCATGTTGTCCAAGGCAAATGCTGGACCAACACGTACGGTTCCCAGTTTGGCATCTGCACTGCCAAGACTCAGTGGTTGCATGGCGAGCATGTGGTCTTTGGCAAGATGAAAGAAGGCATGAGGGTCCAGAAATGGCAAGACCAGCAAGAAGGTCACCATTGCTGACTGTGGACAACTCTAATAAATGTGACTTTGTGTTTTGTCTTTGAAAAGAACTGACTGGGAGAACCCAGCAAGGCTGGTCTGGTGTTCAGATTCTTCCTGGCCTCTGTGCAGCCTCCTTCCTTCTGGGTAAAGGAGCAAGACCCTCTGTGGAATGAGGTCTTATGAACTACACTCAAGCAAGGTAGGTGAGAACATTTCTTTTTGGCCAGTTTTTTTGTTTGCTTATTTTTGAGATGGGGTCTCGCTCTGCCACCCAGGCTGGGGTGCAGTGGCATGATCTCGGCTCACTGCAACCTCCACCTCCCGGGTTCAAGTAATTCTCCTGCCTCAGCTTCCCGAGTAGCTATGATTACAGGCATGCGCCACCACACCAGGCTAATTTTTTGTATTTTCAGTAGAGATGGGGTTTTACCACATTGGCCAGGCTGGTCTTGAGCTCCTGACCTCAAGTGATCCACCTGCCTTGGTCTCCCAAAGTGTTGGGATAACAGGCATAGCCACTATGTCTGGCCCATGGCCAGTTTTTACAGAGAAAAGGTGGGGTGTTGGGTTCTTTGTTTTTACACGGGAAAGGTGGGGTCAGCTTATTTAGCTGACCTTGCTATAGGATATGGTGTATTAGGTAGCACGGAGAATTTTGGATTTTCGGGTGTTGGGGGGCAGGGAGTTAGAGTAATTATTTGGGGGAAAGGGGTACTGGTTTCTATGATGTGCCTAAGGGAAGAGGGATTCTAGTTTCTCTGGCTAGCCTCAGAGGAGAATGAGGGGCAGGGACAGGAGGGCAAGAGAAGATCAGAGAAAAACTTTTGCTTCTGAGGTTGTAGCTGAGGCCTCATTCTAGGCTTCTGTTTCCTGAGCCCATGTTGTCACTGTTGATATCAAGAGGCCTAGGGGCAGCAGATGACCTCCTCCCAGCTCTAGGAGCTCTGATATTCTGACATGGACAGCAGACTACTAGGCTCTGCCCTGAGCTGAGCCAGGTTTTGGGGAGCTATGGGATACACAGGTGCCCACTGGTAGATGGCACTTTTCAGCTATTAAAAGCCCCCAAAGGTAAACATCTGTATTGATCATTCAGCACCCCATTAAGCTGATGATGTGGGACCCACACTGCCCATGACCCACTGTATAGCTAAGGAAACTGCCCAACCCACAGCAGAGGAGGGACATCGCCAGGACTCACTGCCCCGAACAGTGCCCTGGAAAGTCCATCCTCTCTCCCTATGACCATGTTAGGGCCCACAGGGAAAAACTGGCCATGACCCTATTAAATTGGCTTGGGCTGGCACAGAATGCGCTGGACCTGGCCTAGAATGCGCTGGACCTGGCCTTTCCCTTAAGCCCCATTAAGCTGAAAAGCAAGGACTGTGGCTGATTGTGGCCATGTGCCCACGGGTTCCTCCTGGCCGCTAATATTCTACTGACCCTGTATATAAGCATCATTTAGCCATGGTTTTTTTTTTTTTTTTTTTTTTTTTGAGACGGAATCTCGTTCTGACGCCCAGGCTGGAGTGGAGTGGCATGATCTCGGCTCACTGCAACCTCCGCCTCCCGGGTTCAAGCAATTCTTCTCCCTCAGCCTCCCAAGCAGCTGGGACTACAGGCGTGTGCCACCACACCTGCATTTAGCCATTTAGCCAAGTTCTATTCCGTCTTGGTGGTGGTGGTGGGGTTCCCATAGCCTGAAGAATAAGGGCCTGGGGCTCTGGGCCTGGGGACTGAAGCTTAGGCCTTGGAGACCTGAAGCTCCAGTGGAAGATGCTTTCCTGGACTTTCCTGGCAGCAAAAAAAACTTCACCTCTTGCCTATGAATTGCCTGTATTTTAAAGGGTGTGTGTGTGTGTGTGTGTGTGTGAGAGAGAGAGAGAGAGAGAGAGAGAAATTGAGGTGTAATTATTTTGCTGGGTGATGACAACAAACATTTACTGCTCCTAAACAGGCAAGGAAATGATTTAGCCATGAACTTTTCATGATGCCTCATTCCCTCCTGTGGTCCCGTGGTCCTCAGGCTGCGCAGTGGGAGAAGGGGGGGTGGGGGGCCACAAATAACCCACGTGGAAAGGAATGTGGGGTCAGCCTCAGGAAAACTGGGAGGGGAGGTCCCACCTGGTGGGGGTCTTTGTAAACCCTACCAAGGGAAGCCCAGAAACACAAAGAGGTGCAGGGAGAGAAAGAAGGAGGAGGTGTTTTAAAGAGTAAAGCCTGGCATTAGAAAGTGTTATTCGAGTAAAATGGCCAACGTTTCCTTTCTTTTAAGAGCGACTCTTAAATTCCAATTACTCCGCCCCCAAAGACCAGTTGAGAATAACCCCAACTGGAGGGAATTAATTTCCTTAGGAATTTCACTCTTACAAGATTAATGGAGCCCCCCTGCAGAGAAACGGTAAAACTGTAAGTACAGTAGATTTGCACCTGAAGGATACATATTTTAATTTCTGTTCTCAAGCTGCGATAACATCTTCTCCAGCTACTATAAAAAGCATAAATGAGCACCCGCACGTCTGCTGAGAACTTGCAACCCCAGGCTCCCCGGGAGCAGCCCCGCGCCGACCCTCCACGTTGCTCGCCTGGGTGCGGCGTGGGCGCGGGGATGGGAAGGCGCGGGGATGGGAAGGCCCAGGGCAAACAGCCTCCCCGCGAGCCGGGTCGACCCAGCCCAGAGCAGAACCCCTGGACCAGATTATCTTAAGTCGACCCCTACCCCGCCCCCAGCCCTGTCACCCACCGTGGCACCGCCCTCCCGCGGGGACAATTGGCCTGGACCAAGAATGGGGAGCCTGAACAGTGGCCGGTCTCCCACCCGCTCCTCCGGAGCCTGCAGGGGGGTTCAGCCTCTGTCCAGCAGACTTCCTGGCCCCAAGAACGGGCCTTGGGAAGGGGCTCCCCTGACTCCAAGTTGACAGCAGCCCGTCCCTTCTCCTTAGCCCAAGCCACTCTGGCAATGGGGACCTGCCTCCCTCACGCTAACCAAGGACCGGTCTGGGATGGGGAGTTGGAGATGGGCTGTGAGGACTCTTCTCTCAGCCCTTAAGAGTCCAGAACTTATCTGGGAACACATCAGCCAATTTTCTGTTCCCTTTCTTGCCAGGAACTGCTTTTATTGGAAGAAGTCTATGTATATGCATGCCATAAAGGTTGTTTATGCTGTCATAGCTAGATTTTTATTGGTTGTATTTTTGCTGCACTTGCTTGAAAAATAATTATTTTCAAAGAAAAGAAGAATTACATATCCAGTAAACTAAATAAGACTCACTGTTTATTAGAGACCTCTGACAGCTCCTCAAACACGAAAAAAGATTTCCAAGTAGTGGATGGACAATTTATGTGTAAGTTTATTTGTAAAACAGATTTCAAAACATACTTCATCTTGACTCTGCCAATAAAAATACATTCCATTTCTTTTCAGAAGTATGTCTTATCTGATGGCTTCACAGTAATCTGGTTTCCCCTAAGAAGCTAAGACTATCTGGGTAAGTGTGTACCCAGTAGCCTAACCTAGCTTTGGGTTGAGTTGTGGGGCTGCTATACAGAGGGGAAAAGTGATTACGTCCCACAAGAAGTTCTCTAGAAGAAATGTATTTATAAGAAATGTAGTTCATAAATCCCAACCCAGCTATTGCAATCTCTAAAAACTAGTTAAAACAATTTTCAAACATGTTTGTAATTGTTTGTTTACAATTTATCGGGGGGGAAGAAAAACTCACCCTGGAATGCCTGCCCATTTTCCATTCCCTACATAGATTCTAATCTCCCACCTAGGATGAGCCAGGGACTTGGGCGCGAATTGTAGTGCCAGATTCCAGGCTGTAGGTGGCATAAGTGCCTCTTCAGGCTGGAGAAACAGCAGCCTTTGTTGAGTGGCTTTATTCAACCTGAGAAACCACAGCTGAGAATTCACACAAACCGATGCTGTATTTGTGGAGGCTCCACCGACTCACCCAAAACACGTGCTTTTCCCCTGACCTGCAAACTTTTAACACCTTCTTCTCTTCCCGTTTCACTAGGCTATTTGAGATCCTGCAAGATTTATCAAGACTGTACTAGCCATATGAAAGCATGTTAACACAGGGAGGGAGAGAGGAAAAGCCCTCCACATGTTATGACTGGCATACATGCTTCCAAAGCATCGTTACTAACCGAAGGCCCAGTTCCTGAGGCGATCACCCCAGACACACTGAATGCAATTTGTTGGTCACTGAGTGGGTATACCTAATCACCACAGATGTTTACATGCAGCTGCATTTTCTCTCCGTTTGAGTCACAATGTTTTATATGTAAATAGTATTGTGTGCATGTGTGTGCATATGTGTATTTATCCTCCAAGTCCAGATGGAGTTAATTTTCTGCTGTTATTTGTAGTTCATGTTTCATATCTAAGAAACTAAGGACCCAGATGAGCTTTCCTTGGTGTCACAAACTTTTTTTTTTTTTTTTTAATAGAGATGAGGTCTCACTATATTGCCCAGGCTGGTCTCCAACTCCTGAGCTCAAGTGATCTTCCTGCCTTAGCCTCTCCAAGTGCTGGGATTACAGATGTGAGCCACTGCACCTGGCCAACAAACTTCTGATTCTTATAGAATCAGATGTAATTCCTTAGAGACCTGAGAAGTTCTATACTCAGGTTCTTTCGTGCCGTCTGACTCCAAGAGCTCTTGCCTGAAGGAGGTCCCTTCCAGGACACTGAGTCCCAACCCACACCACCTCCTTGGAGGGCGTGTGCCCTCTCTTCCGCTGACCTTGACATTCTTGCACAGGCTGCTTGTGCACAGAGGCATCACCTCCCAGAGGGGACCTCTGGAGTGGCCCCAGGTACCAGGTACAGTCAGCCGCTTCTACCTGTGGAAGGCGATCAGGGTAGAAAGCTCTGGGAAGCACTAAAAATACACACAACCCTTACAAACACAACTCGGTGATACATGCTAATAGTTCTGGACTCCAAACTGGGGCCAAAGCACAGACTCCACAGCTAGTTCTAGCATGTAGCAGATGTCACCCAACCTGGAAAGCTACTTGGTTGAAACTTAGTTAAATCCGTGGCCACAGCAGTTTTATACTTGACCTGAGTCCTCCAATGTCTGCCACACCTGCAGTGGCTTCCTTCCCATTCTCTCTCTCCTCTAAAATACAAGAGGCATTTCCCCCCAGTGCAGGAAGATGGAACAGACTATTTTGGTTAATCATCTACATTTGTGTTCTTGAGTTTCTTCTGGAGTTGTCCAGCCTGGGGCTGCATGCACATTGGCCCACCACAAATGCCTCCCTCTGCGGAGAGTGAGGTGGGCCGGTCGGGGCAGAACGCCTGCTTCTCAATGCACCCCTTGCTCACTCAGCTCTGGGAGCCCCCCTGCCAGCGTGCCCGAGAGCTACTCTAAATGAAGTTCGAGCTCCATTTCAGGAAGGTGGTGAGACAATAAAATAACCCAGGATGACGTGAACAGTTTTGCATTTGCTTCAAACTCTGAAAGGATTCATGGTTCCCACGGCCTCCAGACTGGATGGACCACTTTGGGTTTCAATGGCAGGATGATTTTTCTGTAAAACAATGGCTGGCTTTAAATTTCTTCTTCTAGAACAAACCAAAAAAGAAAAGAAAAAACAAACCACTAATTCTTAAGGATGCATAGGCCCCAGTTGCCTGATGGTATGTAGAAAGAAAGAAAGAAATACAGCGGTAATGTTCTGGTGAGGGAGCTAGTTTCCTAGGAGTCAAGTAGAAGTTTGCTGTTGACTCCATGATTAGCCTACGTCTGAGGTTGTATCTATTACTTGCCCATCATATGAAATATGCTTTAATCAAAAGAAACATCTTATTGAAACACTCCATGCCAACATTACCTTCAGACTTTGCCACCATAACATATACGTTCTTTTTCCAGTTTGCCGCTGGTTGAAATGACTAAGTGGAAACGGGAGATGCAGGAAGAAAGTCACCCTCCTATGATGAGAGACGGATGTGTGGGGCCCTAATGAGGAACCCTTTACTCCATGAAACCGAGGGAAAGAGCTGCGCTGAGCCACGTCTGGCTGACTCTGCACAGACAAAACGGGGCAGCTCTGCTGGCCACCAAGCCCATCAGCAGCCAGGTGGTCAGCGAGGAGCAGCTGCCCTGAGGGCTGATGGTAGGAGGCAGAGAGCCCAGGGCCGAAAGAACAGCGGGCTCAGTGCCCTGCTCCCTCCTTCTCAGCCCCGCCACGGGGAAGCACAGTTTGGCCCCATTTTCAAAACCACTGTGTTTTATTTCTATTGTCCCAAACCCTCTGGCCTTCTTCCTAGAGAACACCAAGAGGAATGCTCTCACCAGTTTGGTTGAAACCTTATTTTTTAGTTTGTGCACATTCAATGTCACTGTGCTAAGAGTGACCGGATGCATTAGTCAGTTTTCATGCTGCTAATAAAGACATACTGGCCCAGCGCAGTGACTCACGCCTGTAATCCCAGCACTTTGGGAGGCTGAGGCGAGTGGATCACCTAAGGTTGGGAGTTTGAGACCAGCCTGGCCAACAGGGAGAAACCCCATCTTTACTAAAAATAAAAAATTAACCAGGCATGGTGGCGCATGCGTGTAATCCCAGCTACTCAGGAGGCTGAGGCAGGAGAATCACTTGAACCTGGGAGGCAGAAGTTGCGGTGAGCTGAGATTGTGCCATTGCACTCCAGCCTGGGCAGTAAGAGCGAAACTCTGTCTCAAAAAAAAAAAAAAAAAAAAAAAAAATACCCAAGATGGGTAATTTATAAAGGAAAGAGGTTTAATGGACTCACAGTTGCATATGGCTGGGAAGGCCTCACAATTATGGCAGAAGTCAAAGGAGGAGCAAAGTCATGTCTCACATGGAGGCAGGCAAGGAGCTTATGCAGGGAACTCCCCTTTATAAAACCATCAGATCTCATGAGACTTCTCATTATCAGGAGAACAGCACAAGAAAAACCCACCCCCATGACTTGATTACCTCCCACAACACGTGGGAATCATGGGAGCTACAATTCAAGAAGAGATTTGGGTGGAGACACAGCCAAACCACGTCACCAGACTGCCTCTTCAGGGAGTGAATCACAAATGTATTCCTGACCACCCTGTTTTCTCCCCTCTTGAATCAGGTAAGTCCTTGCCCAGGACGGAGATTGGTCCTAACTGTATTTGCCCTAAAGAAATATGACCTTTTATGATGGGGTATATTTATTAAATAACAGTATTCTGATATTTAATGACTACATGACCACTAACACAGCTGGATGAAGTTGAATTCCAAAGGAATCCCAAGGCCTAATCCTATCCTTAAATAAAATATTATTTTCTTTGAAAAAGGGTCTTGCTTTTTCACCCAGGCTGGAGTGCAATGGCGTGACCATGGCTCACTGCATCCTAGACCACCCAGGCTCAAGGGATCCTCTGCCTCAGCCTCCTGAATAGCTGGGACCACAGTCATGTGCCACCACACCAGGCTACTTTTATTTTTATTTTTTATAGAGATGGGGGTCGCCTATATTTCCAAGGCTGGTCTCCAACGCCTGGGCTCAAAAGATCCTCTGCCTTGGCCTCTCAAAGTGCTGGGATTACAGGTGAGCACCACCATGCCTGGCCTAAAATGTTCTTTTTTTAAGAGATAGCTGTAACAATCTTTAACTATTTAGCAATCCTTTTTTGGGGGAAAGGTTGTCTCTTGTTTGTCAGCAAATGTAGTATGTGAGTTTACATGTCTTTGCTTTCATTGTATAATTTCAAATAGTCAGAAAATATTGCATTCACTGGCAATCAATTTATTTTGATTGATAAAAAGGGGTTAATAAAAACCCCCTTAGAAATAAAAAGAAGGTGAATAGTAATATATCAGTCATGGTGCCTTCTTTCTGCTATGCATAAAGAAAACAAGCTTTTTTACTTCTCCCCAATAAGTCTTCTCCCCTTATTTTCTACACCTATGGAGTCATTTATAATCTTTATTATTTCCAACCACACACTAACATGGCATCAGTCATATTTCCACATGCTGGGGGTTTTTTTTTTTTCCTTACTATGTTGTGAGAACTGAAAGGCAAAAATGTCCTATAATTTATATGAAAATACATGTCCAAAATGGATTATCAGACATAACTGATGTGACTTCATACACTTGAAAATAAAAAAACTTAGGATGAAATATAAAACATCATGGTAAAATTTCAATCTATTGTTGAAATAAAACATGACTTAGAAAGGACACTGGTGTGTGGCATTTAACAAACATTGTCAAGCTCTTAGAAGCAGGGGTAGGTTAAGATGGGAGATAGTACTTTCCATTCAAACATAAAACTATTGACTTTGGAAGGTACATTTGTGGTTTATTAATATTTTTATTTATCAACAGCACCTTTGAAGAAAATGCAAAATGACTATAAAATTCTTACCTTCTGTATATAGCGAGTGTTTAGAGTACCATTGTGAGACAGACTTGGGCATATACGTTATACAGTGTCATATAGATCTCTAATTTGCACTGGTCATAAAGTCTTTTCTTTTTTTTTTTTTTTTGAGACAGGGTCTTACTCTGTTGCCCAGGCTGGAGTGTAGTGGTGAGATCTTGGCTCACTGCAACCTCTGCCTCCCAGGTTCAAGTGATGCTCATGCCTCAGTCTCCTGAGCAGCTGGGATTACAGGTGCCCGCCATGACACCTGGCTATTTTTTTTATTTTTAGTAGAGACGGGGTTTCACCATGTTGGTCAGGCTGGTCTCGAATTCCTGACCTCAAGTGATCCACCCACTTCAGCTTCCCAAAGTGCTGGGATTACAGGCGTGAGCCATCGCACCTGGCCTAAAGTCTTTTGATATTAAATAATTATCTTTGTTTATCATCCTTAAAAAGCACATTTACAATGTCAGAAAATAATTCAGGGCACTGGCTTAGATTACAAAAGTCTGCATGTAGAGACATTATTTTGAAAGTTGAGGCCAGGTGCGGTGGCTCACGCCTGTAATCCCAGCACTTTGGGAGGTCAAGGCGGGTGGACCACCTAAGGTGGGGACAAGTTCGAGACCAGCCTGACCAACATGGAGAAACCCCGTCTCTACTAAAAATACAAAATTAGCTGGGCATGGTGGCGCATGCCTGTAATCCTAGCTACTCGGGAGGCTGAGGCAGGAGAATTGCTTGAACCCGGGAGGCGGAGGTTGCGGTGAGCCGAGATCGCACCATTGCACTCCAGCCTGGGCAACAAGAGCAAAACTCCGTCAAAAAAAAAAGAAAGTTGAAAAATAGTGGATTGTTACTTTCTTTTTTGTTTTAATGAAGTATTCCTGGATTATTATAAGGATTGCATTTAGAAAAGTCTTTCTCTTTTTTTAATCTCATTTTTATGAGCAGGTAGAAAAGTCTTAAACTGAGTCTTATAAAAGAAAATACAGCCTAAGCTAAAATGATATTGGAACAAAACCATGACCCTCACCAAAACAAATGTGTGGCTTCCCTTATAGGGAGAAGGGCATCCTTCAGGTTCTAATCCTCTTGGGCTAGAACAACTGCCCTGTCCACAGGGAGAGGAGAGGGCTAAAGACCGAGGCTAGACAGGAGAGACAAGAGACAGCAAAGTGGGAGACCCTCCATAGACAGACCTATGCAGCTACTCTTTAGTGATGCGATTTGAACATACAAGTGTCAGATGTTATGAGAAAATCACGAAGCAGCGCCTGCGTGGCTTGTGCATTCTCACCGACTTGTCTCACTTAACATCGAGCTGTGTCTGCTTCACTGGAGCCTCTCCTGCAGAGAGGGCAGGAGGGCAGGAGAGCAGGGGGACCCCTCCTAGAGGCCCCCAAGGGCTGGGCCTAAGCAGACACCCCACAGCTAACTGCTGAACTCACCCATCCCCTGGCCTCGAGCAGGCACCCACTCTGGGCCCTGCCTGTGCCGGGCGCCGGGACACACAGATAAGCACACACAGGGCACCCGAGCTCCCTCAGCAAGTCCAGGTGAGCAAACGCAGATGGCCAGCAGAAAGGGGAGCTCCTTTGGAGGACCAAGTGCCAGGAGAGGTCAGAGGAGCAAGCCTGAGCCACGATGGGAAGTCCCCATGCAACACTGGCTGCACCTCGCAGGAGGAGAGAGGTGGAGAGGGCATGGCATGAAGCCAAGCCTGGAATACACGGCCCCGGGGCAGTACAGGCCCCGGCAACTGGCTGGTAAGCGGGACCAGCAAGGAGTCTGGTGGGGAAGCAGACAAACCCCTTAATCACACATGGCCCTGCACAAGCCACTTCAGATGCAGAATAAAGAGTACACAAGCGTGTGCAACAGAGGCTCATGTCAGAAAGCCATGCCCTGGGCCTTGCACGTCACTCCCCAGCAGGGTGCCCAGAAAATGCCACTGGGAAATGGAGGCCTTTGGGGTACCTGACAAGCTAGAGCTGTGGGTTGCTGTTTTCGTTTGTTTGTTTTTGTCTAACTCACCTTGTTTTCAGGAAGACTTGCAGCTTAATAAGGAGGCTTTACATGGGAACCCAAAGGCTACTGGGTGCAGAAGGGTGGGAAACCAGATGGACTTGGTTGAATTCAGGTCTGCCACTTGGTGGCCTTGCGGCCGTGGACACCATGGGTAACTTCTCTGAGCCTCAGTTTTTTTGTCTGAAAATGAGGATAGTCCTGCGGTATTACTGTAATAATTAAATGAAATCAAAGGTGCCAGGCTAACTAGCGAACTCTCTGTTGGCACACTTCTTTCCTGAGTGCCTGCAGTGTGCCTGGCTCTGGACAGCAGGGAACAAAGCACTCTGGGGGGTTGCGGAGAGAGTACAGAACATCAGCTTGTGAACCCCGAATATCTGAGACAGGTCTCAGTTAATTTAGAAAGTTTATTTTTGCCAAGGTTGAGGATGCACGCCCGTGACACAGCCTCAGGAGGTCCTGATGACACATGCCCAAGGTGGTCAGAGCACAGTTTGGTTTTATATATTTTAGGGAGATACATCAATCAACATATGTAAGATGTACATTGGTTCAGTCCGGAAAGGCGGGACAACTCGAAGCGGGAGGTGGCTTCCAGGTCATAGGTAGATAAAAGGCAAATGGTTGCATTCTTTTGAGTTTGTGATGAGCCTCTCCAAAGGAGGCAATCAGATATGCATTTATTTCATTGAGCAGAGGGGTGACTTTGAATAGAAGGGGAGGCAGGTTGGCACTAAGCAGTTCCCAGCTTGACTTTTCCCTTTAGTGATTTTGGGTCCCTCAGATTTATTCTTCTCTCACAAACCAGAAGACAAACTGCCACAGAGTGATGAGCACCCTGGAGAACTGGAATTGGGCCACACAGGCCAGCACCAGGTGGCTGCTTTAGCCCGGGTGGTCCACACGGCTTTGCCGGGAAGGGGACATTTCAGTCAAAATCTAGAAAACAAGGAGCAAACCAGGTGTAGTTGAGGGGTTGAGGGGTGATACGGTTTGGATGTTTGTCCCCTCCAAATCTCACGTTGAACTGTGACCACCAGTGCTGGAGGTGGGCCTAGTGGGAGGAGTTTGGGTCATGGGGGTGGATCCCTCATTATTGTCTCCATGCCGTCTTCCAGGTAGTGAGTGAGTTCTGGCTCTAAGAGTTCATGCAAGAGCTGATTGTTTAAAGAGGCTGGCACCTCCTCCTCCCTCTCTTGCCACGTGAGACCCCGCTGCCCCTTGGCCTTCTGCCATGATTGAAAGCTTCCTGAGGCCCCACTGGAAGCAGATGCTGACACCGTTGCTTCGTGTACAGTCTGTAGAACTATGAGACAAATAAACTGCTTTGTAAATACCCAGCCTCAGTATTCCTTTATAGCAGTGCAAAACAGACTAATCAAAGGGGGAAGCATTTCCAGGTAAAGAAGATAACCAATTATTGTTATTGTAATATCTAAAGAAACCGTAAATTTCAAAGGTAAAATCTAACCTTATTCTAGTGCCCAAGGAAGTGCTGGGAATGTTTAAATAAGAGGGCAGCAGGGAATGGAAGGAGCGCCTCGGAAATGCCTACTCCATGCCAGGCTCCCTACTACAGGCTTTACGTGTTATCTTGTACATCTCAGTAAGATGAGCAGACATGGTGCTTTTTAAAAGACGTCATGGGAGTTTGAAAGGGGGAAGATTGGGTAAATGGAAAAACAGAAGTCATGGCTTTGCAAAAGTTGAATCAAACTGCTCCTTGGCCCGGCCCCATCACACACACAGATCCCCCTTGGCATGGCCAAAATGAGTGTGTTCATTGGCAAATCAGCAGCCACTCTTGGAAGCTCTGACTTCTCTGGAAGGCAGATGACAGAAGCAGTCTATTTTATTCCTATTTTATAGATGAGGGAACTGAGGCTCAGAAACAAACACTCATCATTTGAATACAGGAGCCATTACCGAATCAAACCTCTCTGGAAACCGCCTGAACTCTATGTGATCCAGGAAGGGGAAAGACTGTGTGCTCAGTTAGAGAAAGACTAGAGATGGTCACACCAGCTACCATTAGTTGAGACCTTACCAGACACAGTGCTCACCACTCCACAGTCACAGACAAACATCTCACTTAAAACTCCAAAGTGGCCGGGTGCGGTGGCTCATGCCTGTAGTCCCAGCACGTTGGGAGGCTGAGGTGGGCGGATTAAGAGGTCAAGAATTTGAGACCAGCCTGGCCAACATGGCGAAACCCCGTCTCTACTAAGAATACAAAAATTAGGGCTGGGCGCGGTGGCTCACGCCTGTAATCCCAGCACTTTGGGAGGCCGAGGCGGGTGGATCATGAGGTCAGGAGATTGAGACCATCCTGGCTAACAAGGTGAAACCCCGTCTCTACTAAAAATACAAAAAATTAGCCGGGCGCGGTGGCGGGCGCCTGTAGTCTCAGCTACTCGGGAGGCTGAGGCAGGAGAATGGCGTGAACCCGGGAAGCGGAGCTTGCAGTGAGCCGAGATTGGCGCCACTGCAGTCCGCAGTCCGGCCTGGGCGATAGAGCGAGACTCCGTCTCAAAAAAAAAAAAAAAAAAAAAAATTAGCCGGGCATGGTGGCAAGTGCCTGTAATCCCAGCTACTCAGGAGGCTGAGGCAGGAGAATTGCTTGAACCCGGGAGGCGGAGGTTGCAGTGAGCCGAGATCACACCACTGCACTCCAGCCTGGGCGACAGAGCAAGACTCCGTCTTGGGGGAAAAACAAACAAACAAACAAACAAACCCAAAAGTATTCCACTGAGGTAGATACTATTAGCATCCCAATTCTTAATTTTATTTCTCTAGTTTTTAGACAAGGTCTCCCTATGTTCTCCAGGCTAGAATGCAGTAGCCATTCACAGGTTACACCATAGCATACTATAGCCTCAAACTCCTGGGCTCAAGCAACCCTCCTGCCTCAGCCTCCCGAGTAGCTGGGACTACAGGTATGTGCCACCATGCCAGGTTTTATTATTCCAATTGTTGCGGGAAATCAGGGACCCCGAACAGAGGGACCGGCTGGAGCTGAGGCAGAAGAACATAAAATTGTGAGGATTTCATGGACATTTATCAGTTCCCAAAATTAATACTTTTATAATTTCTTACGCCTGCCTTTACTGCAATCTCTGAACATAAATTGTGAAGATTTCATGGACATTTATCACTTCCCTAATAATACTCTTATAATTTCTTATGCCTGTCTTTAATCTCTTGATCCTGTTATCTTCGTAAGCTGAGAATGCACGTCACCTCAGGACCACTATTGTACAAATTGATTGAAGAACGTGTGTTTGAACAATATGAAATCTGATTGTAAAATATATGTGTTTGAACAATATGAAATCAGTGCACCCTGAAAAAGAACAGAATAACAGCAATTTTTCAGGGAACAAGAGAAGATAACCATAAGGTCTGACTGCCTGTGGGGTCGGGCAGAATAGAGCCATATTTTTCTTCTTGCAGAAAGCCTATAGACAGATGTGCAAGTAGAAGAAATATCACTGAATTCTTTTCCCAGGAAGGAACAACCCTGGGGAAGGAATGCATTCCTGGGGGGAGGTCTATAGATGGCCGCTCTGGGAGTGTTTGTCTTATGCAGTTGAGATAAGGACTGAAATACGCCCTGGTCTCCTGCAGTGCCCTCAGGCTTACTAGGATTGGGAAATTCCAGCCTGGTAAATCGTAGTCAGACCAGTTGTCTGCTCTCGAGCCCTGTTTCCTGTTAAGATGTTTATCAAGACAATGCGTGCACAGCGGGACATAGACCCTCATCAGTAATTCTAATTTTGCCTTGCCTTGTGATCTTTATTGCCCTTTGAAGCATGTGATCCTTGTGACCTACTCTCTGTTCGTACACCCCCTCCCCTTTTAAAATCCCTAATAAAAACTTGCTGGTTTTGCAGCTCGGGTCATCATCACAGTCCTACCAATATGTGATGACACCCCCGGAGGCCCAGCTGAAAATTTCTCTTTGTACTCTTTATTTCTCAGACCGGCCGAAACTTAGGGAAAATAGAAAGAACCTATATTGAAATATTGGGGGCTGGTTCCCCCGATACCAATTTTATACACCAAAAAGGGGAAGGGGACTTAGAGGTTCAAGCAGCTTTGTCCAGGTGCTGGAAACTGGCAGGGTGGGATTGAACTCGAATCACCTTCCACCTGAGAGATACTTCCCTTGAAGGTGGTGTGCAAGATGACAGTTAGTGGTGCATAAACAGGTATTTATTTATTTATTTATTTATTTATTTATTTATTTATGGCAGGGTCTTGTGTTGCCCCAGCTGGAGTGCAGTGGCGTGATCATGACTCACTGCAGCCTTGACCTCCTGGGCTCAAGCGATCCTCCCACCTCAGGCTCCTGAGTAGCTGGGACTACAGGTGCATGCCACCACACCAGGCTAATTTATATATATATATTTTTTGTAGAAACCAGGCTCTCCCTATGTTGCCCAGGCTGGCCTAGAACTCCAGAGCTCAAGTGATCTCCCCACCTATGCCTCTCAAACTGCTGGGGTTACAAATGTGTGTCACCATGCCGAGCCATGAGAAACAATTTTTATTTTATTTTTAGAGATGGGGTTTTGCTTTGTTGCCCATGCTGGTCTTGAACTCCTGGGCTCAAGCGATCTGCCCTCCTTAGCCTCCCAAAGTGCTGGGATTACAGGTGTGAGCCACTGCACCTGGCTGAGAAACTTTTATTTTAATAACGTATTTTTTATTGTGGTAAAATATACATAAGATGAAGTTTGCCACCTTAACTATATTTAGGTGTATGCTTTAGTAGTGTTAAGTACATTCACAATGTTGTGCAAACATCACCATCATTCAGCTCCAGAATGTTTTCATCTTCCCAAGCGAAAGCTCTGTACTCACTTAACAGTACCTTCCCATTCCTCCTCCTCCTCCCAAGGCCCTGACAATCACCATTCAACTTTCTGTCTCCACACCTTTCACTATTCTAGGCAGCTCATATAAGTGGAATCATAGTTTGGACTCTTTGTGATTAGCTTATTTCACTTAGCATTACATCTTCAAGGTTCATCCGTGTTGTAAAATATGCCAAAATTCCCTTCCTTTTTAAGGCTGTGTATTATTCTACCATATATATATATATATATATATACAGTAGAATATTATATATATACACATACAGACCACATTTTATTTATCCACTGATGGACATTTGGGTTGCTTCCAACTTTTGGCTATTGGGAATAATGCTGCTATGAACACGGGTGTACAAATGTCTGTTCTGAGTCCCTGCCTTCAGTTATTTTGTGTATATTCCCAGAAGTGGAATTTTGGATTACACGGTAATTTTATTTTTAATTTTTTGAAAAAACACCACACTGTTTTCAACAGTGGCTACAGCATTTTACATTCCCACCAGCCATGCACAAGGGTTTCAATTTCTCCACACCCTAGCCAAAACTTGTCATTTTCTTTTTCTCTTTTTTTTTTTGAGAGGGGGTCTTCATCTGTTGCCCACGTTGGAGGAGTGCAGTGGCACAATTTCAGCTCACTTGCAGCCTCGACCTTCCAGGCAATCTGCCCACCTCTCAGCCTCCTGAGTAGGTGGGACTACAGGCGGGAGCCACCATACCTGGTTAATTTTTGTATTTCTGTTTTTTTGTAGAGATGAGGTCTTGCCATGCTGCCCAGGCTGGTCTCAAACTCCTACACTCAAGTGATCCGCTCAGCTCAGCCTCATGAAGCTCTGAGTTTTCAGCCATGAGCCACCCACCATGCCCGGCTGCTTTTTTTTTGAGATGGAGTCTCGCTGTGTCACCCAGGCTGGAGTGCAGTGGCACGATCTTGGCTCACTGCAACCTCTGCCTCCTGAGTTCAAGCGATTCTCCTGCTTCAGCTTCCCGAGTAGCTGGGATTACAGGCCTGCACCACCACACCTGACTAATTTTTGTATTTTTAGTAGAGACAGGGTTTCACCATGTTGGCCAGGTCTTGAACTCCTGGCCTCAAGTGATCTGCCTGCCTCAGCCTCCCAAAGTGCTGGGATTACAGGCATAAGCCACAGTGCCTGGTCACTGTTTTTTTCTTTTTGATAATAGCCATCCTAATGGGTGTGAAGTGGTATCTCAATACGGGTTTGATTAGCATTTCCCTAATAACTGATGATATTATCTTCATGTGCTTATTGGCTATTTGTATATCTTCTTTTGAGAACTGTCTATTCAAGTTATTTGTCTATTTTTCTGTTTTGTTTCTTTTTTGAGACAGGGTCTCACTTTGTTACCTCAGATAGAGTACAGTGGTGAGATCATGGTTCACTGCAGCCTCAAACTCCTGAACTCAAGTGATCCTTCCACCTCAGCCTCTCTAGCAAGAGGCTAATTTTTTGCTTTTTGGAGAGACAGGGTCTTGCTGTCTTGCCCATGCTGGTATTTGTCCATGTTTTCAATCAGGTTTTTTGTTGTTGTTGTTGAGTTGTAGGCATTCTTTTTTTTTTTTTTTTTTTTTTGAGATGGAGTCTCGCTCTGTCATCCAAGCTGGAGTGTAGTGGCGCAATCTTGGCTCACTGCAACCTCCGCCTCTCAGGTTTAAGCAATTCTCCTGCCTCAGCCTCCTGAGTAGCTGGGACTACAGGCACACACCACCACGCCCGACTAATTTTTGTATTTTTAGTAGAGATGAGGTTTCACCATATTGGCCAGGATGGTCTCGATCTCCTGACCTCGTGATCCACCCACCTCGGCTTCCCAAAGTGCTGGGATTATAGGAATGAGCCACTGCACCCAGCCAGGTATTCTTTATATAATCTGGATATTAACTCCTTATCAGATATGCGATTTGAAAATATTTTCTCCATTTCCTGGGTTGCCTTTTCACTGGATTAATAGTGTCCTTTGATGTACAAAATTTTAAATTTTGATATAGTCCAAATTATTTTTTTCTTTTGTTGACTGTGCTTTTGGTGTCATATGCAAGAATCCAATATCATGAAGTTTTCCCATATTTTCTTTACTTTTTTTTTTTTTTTTTTTTTGAGACGGAGTCTCACTCTGTCACCCAGGCTGGAGTGCAGTGGCGTGGTCTCGGCTTACTGCAACCTCTGCCTCCCAGGTTCCCAGGTTCAAGAGATTCTCCTGCCTCAGCCTCCCGAGTAGCTGGGACTACAGGCACGTGCCGCCACCACCATGCCTGGTTAATTTTTTGTATTTTAGTAGAGACAGGGTTTCACCATGGTGGCAAGGCTGGTCTCCATCTCCTGACCTTGTGATCCACCTGCCTTGGCCTCCCAAAGTGCTGGGATTACAGGCTGGAGCCACTGTGCCTGGCCAATTTTTCTTTCTTTCTTTTTTTTGAGATAGAGTTTTGTTTTGTCGCCTAGGCCTGGAGTGCAGCGGTGTGATCTTGACTCACTGCAACCTGCGCCTCTAGGGTTTAAGCAATTCTCCTGCCTTGGCCTCCCAAAAAGCTGGGATTACAGGCATGCGCCATCATGCCTGGCTAATTTTTGTATTTTTAGCAGAGACAGGGTTTTGCCATGTTGGCCAGCTGGTCTTGAACTCCTGGCCTCAGACAATCCGCCTGTCTTGGCCTTCCAAAGTGCTGGGATTACAGGCATAAGTCACTGTGCCTGACCTCCCATATTTTCTTCTAATAATTAATCTATTTAACATATTAAAATAGTGAGCATTCAAACCATCACTTTATAGATGTCACATATTATTTTTAAAGTTTTTCAAACTTAAGATATTGAGAATTTAAATAAATATACTATGTAAATAATAGGAGAGGTTTAGCATACATCTTGCAGTTAGTACCCAAGTGACTGATGCTTGGTAAATACTGTGCTAAGCTAAACTGCATCCTTCTAAATATACCTATTGCTGTATCTCATTCCTAAGCTAAGCAGTCCCCCCCCCAGTACCCAATGGTTGCCTCATGCATCCATTTAAGAAAGACAGCAGACCAAAACTGGAGTCACTAAATGCTAAGGATTCATGCTACCAAACTGAAACCTGGGTTGCTTACTTGTAAGATCTTCTGAGAAATCAGGAGAGGGATGAAAGCCAAATTACATTACACCAAGATTTCGTCTACACCTCTATAAGGAAAGTAACCTTGAAATGACTGATCTGCTATTTGTTCATTCTTCCTGCTTTCCTCCACTTTTTCCTGCCTGTCAAACTCACCCACTCGGTCCTCATTGGAGCACCTTTCTATCTTGTAGACTGCCTGGTGCATGCAATGCTATTAAAAACCAATCAGATCTTTGAAACTAAATTTGTTGAAATTTTGTTCTTATACACATCTGAAAAGCAGCCATCAGTATAAAGGCCAGCGAATCAAAAGTGGGTAACAAAGCAAGTCATCTAATCTAAACTGCAAGACAAGCATTTTGAGAGGCCTACAACATACCTTATTTTCAATTCTGAAATGCAGAAAGTCCTCCAAATTAGTTTTTCCCCACGCTTGGAGTAAACTCATTTGAACTGATATGAGACTATTTACAACCTTTATTTATTTATTGTATTTATTTTATTTGAGACAGGGTCTCACTCTATTGGCCAGGCTGGAGTGCTGTGGTGTGATCACAGCCAACTCACTGCAGCCTCAACCTTCCAGGCCCAAGCAATCTTCCCACCTCAGCCTTCTGAGTAGCTGGTACTACAGGTGGGCGCCATAGTGCCCGGCTAATTTTGTTATTTTTATTTTGTAGAGACGGGGGTCTCACTGTGTTGCCGAGGCTGGTCTCAAACTCCTGGGTTCAAGCAATCCTCCCGCTTTGGCCTTCCAAAGTACTGGGATTACAAGCATGAGCCACTGTGCCTGGCCCTATTTACAACCTTTATATATCCCACTTAGGGTGAATATTTGTGAATACTCACACATTTCTGCTATAGAAACATTGTTTGACTACGGGGGCATACAATATATCTCACCTTTTTTAAACATTCAAAAAATTCTGAATTTCACAAACACATCTGGCCTGAAAGGTTTTTGATAAGGGACTGTGAATCAGTGGTGGCATAATTAGTCTTAGGAGTACTAACTAATAGGAGAAATGTTACATTTGTTAAGTACTTAGTTTGTGTCCAGCATTGTTCTAAGTATCTTCTAGGTAAATGCCTCATGTAATCCTCACGATCTCTATGCTTTATCATCCTATCCTTTATAAATGAGGAAACTGAGGGAGATTAACTATTTAATTTGCTGAGGATCATGCAGCAAATAGCCCGAAGAGGGATTCATGCGTTTCACCATAATGGTTAAGAACAGGGCTTTGTCAAAGGATACCTTCAACTGCAGCAGAATGATGGACTCAAATCACAGAGACACGACAAAGTGACGGGTAGTCAGCTGTGGGTTGGTTCAGAGGCTCAGGCTGTTCCGGCTCTAGGTGATTTCCTGCTTTCCTAGGGTTCCCACCAGCTGCCCTCATGGTGACAAAAAGGCTGCTGCAGCTCCAGGAAACTTACACTGGGCAAGGACAACAGGAAGAAAACAGCCCCCACCCACCCAACTCCCCTTTTAACTAGAAGATCTTTCCCGAAACTCTGCCTCAACAGACCTCGCTTACTTCTCCCTGGCCCGTACTAGGTCGTGTACCCATCGTTAGCCAATCGCTGGCAACGGATTGGCCCCGTTTTAATTTATCCAAAAAAGGCGCCAGTCTGGGCTGTTTGGAGCAGTCAAGGGAGCTCCGTGCTAAGGCAGGAGGGGCCTGGACATGCGGCTGCAGGAGTCCGGGCCTCGGTGCCCTAAGATGAGGGCTCAGTGGTGCTCAGCACCGCGCCGGGCCAGAGACTGAGCCGCCGCCGGCTGTTGAGGGTTGGTTGGCTGAATCCCCGGCAGGGGCCAGGCGGAGCGAACATCACCGCGGCAACTGCCTCCACAGCACACACTCCCGACAGTGGCTGCGCTTTTCCCCTTCAGCACAGCCCAAAGGCCCCGGCAGCTCAGCACCTGCGACCTCCTAGTGCCCTCCAGCCTACGGAGGAGTAGAAGTCCTTCCGGGGCCTCCCAACCAGCAGCCACCAGCCACCAGCCACAAAAGCCGTGAGCCGCGCGGGGCTGGCCTGAAAGCTCTGCGTCTTCCCACCGCGGCAACAGCAGCTCCCACCCGGAAGCGAGGCAGCCCTGCGGACCACAACTCCCAGAAACACCCGCTGTCTCGCTCAAGCTAATTGACCCGCTGCGCCATCTATTAGCCAACCAGCCACAGGGAGACGGCTCCCCACGAGGCCTAACAACCAATCATAAGACAGAGGAGGCGGGCGCTCCTCCAGCCGATCCACGGGGTGTTGTCAAAAGTTTGGCGGGATCCTGAAAGAATGCTTTCTTTAGAGCCCCACGGCTGCTCCTGTGAAGGGAGAAGCGACAAGCAGAGATATGCAGGGACCTCTCTGCGAAGTAATGACTTGGGGCAGACGGACAACGCCCACAGCATCCCAATAGTCTCAGAAGACTCTGGTCTCTGCTACTCCTGCCTGCGGTCCTCGCCTTGGTGCTCTCGCGCTTCCCGCGGCGTCCCGCCCCTCCCTCTCCTTATTGGCTCCCCAGGGCCTTGTGCGGAAGGGGGCGTGGTGCGCGGGCCTCGGCCAGGCCTGAGATGCCGGGAGGGTTTGACCCTGGGGCTGCATGGACAGCTTAGCGCTCGGCCGCTGGCGACAGCGGAGGGCGGAGGATCTGCAGGTTCCGGGGGACGTGGTGAGCCCCCGGGGCCTGGGCGTTAGGGACGGGAGGGCGGATGGCCCCTGGGCGGGTTCCCACCGCGCCTCGTTTTTGCCGGCGCGGCCCTGCCTGTGAGGAGGCCTGGCCCAAGACACTCGCACGCTCGCGTACGTCCCTGGGAGGGCGTGGCCAGTGATGGGCGTGGCCTGTTAGGGCGGGGTTGTGACGCCGCTCTCCCGGTTTCGCGCCTGCGCGGTCGGGCGCGGAGCTCGGGCACCTTCCTGACCCACACGCTCACTGGGGCTCCAGACCCAGGCTCCCTAAAACATGGGCCGAGACTCATTGCAGGACCTCGGGTGCTTGGTATCCGTGTCATGTCTTCTCCTGCCGTCTACACCTGACTGTTCCTGAGTCTCGTTCACTGAGCGCCTGCCACGTGCCAGGCCCAGGGCTGGGTGTTGGGGGACGAGTACGTGGGGAGCGAACACGCGCAGAAAATTACCCGGCATTGAGCGTGTTAGTGCTTCTTGGGCTGAGTCCATTAACTGATGAGCAGAGGGTAAGATGAGATGGTAATGGGGAGACTTGCACAAGATCCCAGGGTGCGTGGGTAAGTCAGGTATGTGTGAGACTTGAAGGATGACCGGGGGTAGGCAGGATGGGAGGTGACAAAAAACAGTGTTGGAGGAAGGAGCTTAGCGTCTTAGGGGCACTGAAAGAAGTACTGCAGGATTGGAGCTGGAAGACAGAGCTGCTTGGCATTCCTGTATTTTATCTTCCACCTCTGCTTGCAAATTGGCCAGTTCTTACTTAACCTCGTTTATTTCAAAGTTCCTCGCTAGGGGCAGCAGTGAGCAGCCAACATACCGCATATTTGCTTTTTTTTTTCTTCTAGAGCTACACAGGCTTGGTAAGTGCAGGATCCGTCTTCCCAGTTAATACAGGCAGCATTTTTTTAGATGTCTTTACTGCGTAGCGGGAATGACTAGCTTTCTACCCTGCACCATCTCTTTCCTCACTACTCACTGCCTGGCCGTGAAGCCAGTACCACTTAGGTTTCTATCACAGCCGCACCCCTCCTCCAGGTACCAATTGTTATATTACTAGGGTGCAGGTTACCCCAGTAATATAGTAATAATATGGTATAGTAATGTAGTATAGTAATAGTATAGTACAGTAATATAGCAGGTTAGGGTGCTTTTGTAACCAAGAGCCTTCAAAGCACGCTGGCCCTAACAAGATGGAAGTTTGATTCTCCTGCACAGAACAGCATGGACGTGAGCAGTCCAGTGGGGTGGAGCCCAGGGTCACTAAATATAGGCGTAGGGCTGGTGGTACCCAGATCAGGGGATATGCGGGGACCTAAGTTCCTTCCCCTCACACCATCCCCTGGGTGTCACCCTCCTCTGCATAGCCAAGGGTGGCTCACTGCTACTGTGCTACCAGATGGCAGAAAAACAAACAGAAAAGTGACATGATTATGCTGATGTGTTGAGACCTTACTTCACTGCCCTGGAAAATGAAAGGTGTGATCAGGGTGCAGGCAGGGAGGCAAGGCTTGTGGCTACAGTAGTGTGTCAGAGGAGAAGTGGCAGAGGTTTGCACAAGAGAGGGCAGTGGGGTGGTGACACTAGAGAGACGTGACTGTGTAGAGGGAGAGCAGACAGTCTCACTGATGGAGTGGCAGTGGCAGGGTAATGTGAAGAGTGGAGTCCAGGGTGTTGTAGGGGTTGACTTGAGCCCTGCGAGGGCAGTACTGCTGCTCCTTGAGAGAAGAGTGGTGTGGAGGCAATGAAGAGCTCCTGTTAGGCCATGCTGTGTTTTCTGCGACTTTGAGACGTTTAGTGGAGACGTGGCAAATACTGCTAGTGATTGAATGGTTATCATGTGGATTATCTGAATTTCTTTAATCAACTAAAATTTATTTAAGCATAAAGTTACTTTCACATTTGTCTACACCTACAGTAAATACAGTTGTTGGCATAAAGACACAGCCTTTAGAATTTAAAGCCTCCCCACCTGCAAGATTACATACGTAAAACTCCCACTGTTGTTTCTATAATAGTGGATTAATCAAATTAAAATAGTTATACTATCGAATAAAATACAATGGAAATAATTTACTTATAAGATTCATATTTAAATCATCCTTATTTACAAAATACTATCCTAAGAATTATAATTCCATTAAGTTTCAATTTGAGCAAAAGTGTAATCACTTAAGTAACAGCAGTTACTTGAAATGAGATCAGTCAGAATTACTTTTGAAGAGAGCAAAAATATTGCCAGGTATCTTGCTGCGGTTTTGGATGTTCCGTAGCAGGCTCATTTGAAGGCGGAATCAGCCCTGAAGGGAACTCACTTCTACCTTCAGAATGTGGGGGTCGGGGGAAAAATCCAGGTCTTGGGGGAGGGTAAGGAGGAAAACCCCTCGGTGGATAGACATTTCTCATTGCAAACGGAGCATGTGGTGGACCTGGGAAATCCCCTGGTGGAAAATAATCTCGAGAAGCTCCAAACCTGGTTCCTGGAGGAGGTGGGGGGAAAGGAGGTGCTCTTCTCATGAACGGGCCCCTTGTATCCACTGGAAACAGTGGACCTCTGATTAGGGCAAGAGGTGGAGGAACAAAGCGAGGGCCAGTTGCTGCATTTTCAGCAGGGAGAGATGAATCAGGGATATTTAAATTACCAAGATCATCTTTGGTGTCATTTCTACTGGATTCCATTTCTGAAGGCATTGACCCATCCATTTTATCCAAAGGAGGCATATTAAAACTTCTGAGTTCTGCTGGTCCAGACAGTCCACCAGAGTTAGAATAAAATCTGTCTTGCCTTTGTGGAGGAAGAGCTGAATCAAGATATGATTGCGCTGGTGGAGGAAACATCATCCTACGGTCCTGTTCCCTCGGAAGTGACAGGGACCCAGTGTCAGAAGGAGACCTGTGAGGATCGGTTAACCTTTCACAGCTTGATTCTCCTCTTTCCTTGGTAATCTGATGGTCCAGAGGATTCCCTGGGCCTCTTGAGCCTCTTCCTTCCCCCCCTGGAGGCAAAGGTGAGAGTCTGAGTGGACCCTCCAACAGAGTTGCGGGAGAGAGAAAAGCTCTCGTTTCAGATGAAGGCCGACCCAATGATGAGGGACCATATGGGGAATGCTCTCTGCCAAATGCTGTATTTGGAACATCAAGTACATAAGGATCTTTTTTTAGAAGTTTTATTTTATACTCTGTTTCAGCTAATTTTTGTCTGTTGTGAGCATTTTCTTTCCTTAAATCATTGAGGTTTCTTTCAGCAGCCCAAGCTGCCAACCAGTTATGATGTGCCTTTTTCTCATGGGAAATAATCTGCCGTTGATAATAATGAATAGTTCTCTCCAATTCTTCTTCAAGATCTTTGGCTCGCTGTCTGTAGGTCTCCAGCTCTTTAGTGGCATGGCTGATCTTTTTGTCTACCTTAGAAAGTTTCTCTTCTTTCTCTAACCGGCTATTTTCCTCTACTGTTAATTTCCTGTAGAGTTTCATTTCATTTTCTTGATATAATTCAGTCATTACTTTAAGTTTCTGTTGAAGCTTCTGATTCTCACTTTCAAAATGTGTGTTTTCTGACTGCAAAGATGCTTGTTCAGTCCGAAGATTTTTAATATGCTCTGTAAGCTCTTCCTTTGTTTTATCAATTTCAGGTAACTGGATATAAATTTGGTTTCTTTCTCCTTCTAAGGTTTTTAAAGAAGCATTTAACTTAGTAGCATGAATCAGTTTCTTCAGAGCTCCTTTTAGAGGATCATCTAAGTAAGCACCATCTTCTGATTCACTGTTCACTTCTAAGTTATCATCATCCGTTACGTCTTCTCTAAGCCTAGCAGCCCAATCTTTCATCTTTAGCAAATGTTCAGTCAGAGTCTTGATGTGATTTTCTTTATCATTTAGAACTTGTTCTGCATGTACTTTGGAGTCTTCAAATGTTATTTTCTGTTTATTAAGTTCATTCACTTGTTCGTTCCATACTTCAGCTTCTTGCAAAAGCTGTTTCTGGCTTTCCTGAAGGTGAGAGTTTTCATTCAAAGCATCTTTTATTGCTATCTTCAGTTGTTTCTCAGTCATTTTAAATCTCTTGAAGATCATTTTGGCTTCAGCTACTTGTGATTTGAGGGATTCTGACTCATCTGCTAGAGGCTGTATCGTTTTTGAAATATCCGCCATCAATTCATTTTGTTGCGAATGTTTAGATTTCTCTTCTTTTAACTCTTTTTCTAGACAGAGAATTTCATGCTCAAGTTCAGAATTGGACCTGTTCAACTTTTCACAGGTTGCCTCCAAACTTCGTGCTTCTGCTGCCGCCTTCTCAAAGCTGGCATCCTCTAACGATGACGCTACTTCATAGTCTTCATACTCTTTTTGAACAAGGCTAAATTTTTCAAGTAGTTTACATTTTTCTTCAATTAGTCCAGAAAGCATTATAGCAAGCTTTTTCTCTCTTCCCACATAAAGCCGACTCCTAACCGATCTAAAACTTCTCCACAGAAAAAGGAGAACAGCAAAAAATGCAGCAACAGCTGCACATATCACCATTTCCCATGGAAAACCATGAGGATTCGAATCCAGTCTCATACTTTCAGGCAGCGCTGCCACAACCCTGCGTGGCTCCCCCAGGACCAGCCCCAAGTACCGCTGAGGGGTAGCCCCTGGCTCCAACATAGCGCCAAGGCTGCTCTGGCGGTCGCCGCAGTAACCCCGGCCACAACAAGCAGCGGAGAACTCGCAGCCTTGCGTCCGGAACCCGAATCCGCACCCGGCAACCGGAGCAGACCATTGTGGAGCCGGCTGCGGGGGGGAGCTGGGGGATGCGGGCGCTCACAGGCCCACTCTGCCCACCCAGCCCCCTTGTTACACTACATCCTGAGGTAGCACATGTTGGACCCGCGCAAGCCCCACCCCTTGGTTTGGTTTTGGCCAGGCAGCCGTGGGGAGGTGGGGAGTTTTGTTTTGTTTTGTTTTGTTTGGGGGGGGAGGGGAACGGAGTCTCACTCTTGTCGCCCAGGCCGGAGTGCAGTGGCATAATCTTGGCTCACTGCAACCTCTGCCTCCTGGGTTGAAGCGATTCTCTTGCCTTAGCCTCCGGAGTAGCTAGAATTACAGGTGCCCGCCACCATGCCCAGCTAATTTTGTATTTTTAGTAGAGATGAGGTTTCACCATGTTGGCCAGACTGGTCTCGAACTCCTGACCTCAGGTGATCCGCCTGCCTCAGCCTCCCAAAGTGCTGGGATTACAGGCGTGAGACACCGTGCCCATCCTGGATTATCTGAATTTATAGCACAACACTGCTAAATTATTCCCATGATACAAAGGAGGCAGCTGAAACGCAGAGGGGGTAATTAACTGGCCTAAGGATACACAGCTAGTAAATGGTAGAACTAGGTCTTAAATCCAAGCCATCTGGCTCCAGAGCCTGCCATCTTAACCACAGGGCTGCACAGCTTCCCATGTGGCATTTGTGGAACTAAAATACAAAGCAGGCCGGGCGCAGTGGCTCATGCTTGTTATCCCAGCACTGTGGGAGGCCAAGGCAGGCTGATCACTTGAGGTCAGGAGTTCCAGATCAGCCCGGCTAACATGGTGAAACCCTGTCTCTACTAAAAATACAAACATTAGCTGGGCTTGGTGGCACACACCTGTGATCCAGCTACTTGGGAGGCTGAGACAGAAGAATTGCTTCAACTCGTGAGGCAGAGGTCGCAGTGAGCCGAGATCACACCACTGCATTCCAGCCTGGATGAAAGAGTGAGACTCTGTCTCAAATAAAAAAGTAAAAATAAAATATACCCACAAAGCTTCACAATGAAGTCCTAAATTGGCTATCATAAAATGATGAAAAGTGTGATGCTGTGGGCTGTCAGGGAAGGGGAGCCAGAGGTCATTATTGATCAGAGCGAACAGGGAAGGTTTAATGGAAGACACCCTGAATGATCTATCAGGTTGGAATTGCTGAAATGGAGTGCCAGGCTTCAGGTTGCAATACTTCTTGACTGTTACCAAAGAATAATGAGTTGGGTATCTTATTGGCATGGTGTATATTGCCTCTTAATTTGATAAAGTTTTGTTTATGTTGTATTGTGTCCTAGTCTTTGATTTAATAATCCAGATTGAGTTCAATAAAGTATCCAAGTTCTACCAAGTTTTCTGTCCTCTCTCTGCCTCTCTGTGTATTTCTCTCTCACAGGCGTCTCCAGAATTTGGTTACTGAGGAACGGTAACTAGTTTCTTACTTCTGTTCCCAGCCTAGAGGCTCTGTACTCTGCACATAACCACCAGCAAAGTTTTGGAAAACACAGCAGCCAGGACCCATCTCTGTAGTGACTTTGCAGGTGATTCTCGGGCAGGGCCAGAGTGAAGCACCTCTGCTGTGATGCGAGTGTCTTATCACTGTGCATTTCCTTGCAGTCCAGTTAGCTAGCGTGGTCACATGTGTCATAGTTCAATGACAGTAGTGTTTTATCGTTTCCATTGGGCAGACATGTTTTGAGCGCCTGCTGTGTCTCAAGCCCTGTCCTAGGCACTGGAGATGAGATGAAGAAACGATGAGTAGAGGCCTTGCTTACGTTTATCCTGCAACTCATGATGAGGCTTACTCTGCAACTCCAGTGCTCGGCTTTTTACACAGTAAGTGCCCCTGCTTACCACACCCTGGCCACACTCATGTGTTTCAGATTGAAAGTTGCCTGCCTAGAACGCCTAAAGATTCATGTCCACTTAGTCTTTCATCTTTGCTGAGACTCTTCTCCCTAAAGAACTCACTGAAGACCAGGTTTCTTGGGTAGAGCAACATTTTAGATACCTGGGCTGGAAAATCAAGTCGATAATATTTTTTTTTTCTGGTGTCATATGAGTTGATTCAAGATCCTTCTTTCTAGCTTTTTTTTTTGTTTTCTTTTTGAGACAGAATTTTGCTCTGTTGCCCAGGTTGCAGTGCAGTGGAGCGATGATGGCTCACTGCAGCCTCAATCTCCTGGGTTCAAGCGATCCTCCTGCCTCAGCCTCCTGAGTAGCTGGGACTACAGGCAAGCATCACCACGCCCAGCTAATTTTTTAAAACTTTTTTGTAGAGACGGGATCTTGCCATGTTGCCCAGGCTGGTCTCAAATTCCTGGGCTCAAGTGATCCGCCTACCTTGGACTCCCAAAATTCTGGGATTACAGGCATGAGCCACCGCACCTGGCCTCGTGTACAAGTGTGTATGTATTTATTTACTTATTGAGGCAGAGTTTCGGTCTGTCACCCAGGCTGGAGTACAGCAGTGCCATCTGGTTTCACTGCAACCTCTGCCTCCTGGGTTCAAGTGATTCTTCTGCCTCAGCATCCCAAGTAGCTGGGACTACAGGAGTGTGCCAGCTAATTTTTCTAATTTTAGTAGAGATAAAACTAAATACCCAAAGGAAAAGGCAGAGAATTAAAAAATCAAGACTCAGCTGTGCGTGGTAGCTCAACACCTGTAATCCCAGTACTTTGGGAGGCCAAGGCAGGCAGATCACTTGAGGTCAGGAGTTCAAGACCAGTCTGACCAACATGGAGAAACCCCGTCTCTACTAAAAATACAGAATTAGCTGGGCGTAGTGGCTCATGCCTGTAATCTCAGCTACTTGGGAGGCTGAGGCAGGAGGATCGCTTGAGCCCGGGAGGCAGAGGTTGCAGTGAGCCGAGATCGCACCATTGCACGCCAGCCTGGGTGGCAACAAGAGCGAAACACAATCTTTTAAAAAAAAAAAAAGACTCAATTATAAGTCCATCTATAAGAAACTCACTATAAATATAAAGATGCAATAGATAAATAAAAGGACGCAAAAAAAATCACGCTAACACTGACCAGAAGAAAGGTGGAGTTGCTATATTAATAAAAGACAAAGTCAATTTCAGGGTAAAGAATATTACCATGGATATAAAAGGTGATTTCATAGTGATTAAAAAAGTCAATTCATCAAGAGGACATAAAATTCATCAATGTTTATGCATCTAACAACAGAGCTTCAAAATACATGAAGCAAAAACTGATAGAACTGCAAGGAAAAATAGGCAAATCCACAATTATATTAGTAAGTTTCAGTATCTTCTCACAAAAATTGATAGATATATGAAGAAAATTATTAAGGATATAGAAAATGTAAACTAAACTACTGGCCAGTGCAGTGGCTCACGCCTTTAATCCCAGCACTTTGGGAGGCCGAGGTGGGCGGATCGCTTGAGGTCAGGAATTTGAGGCCAGCCTGGCTAACATGATGAAACCCCATCTCTACTAAGAATACAAAAAATTAGCTGGATGTGGTGGCAGGCGCCTATAATCCCAGCTACTCAAGAGGCTGAGGTGGGAGAACCACTGGAGGCAGAGGTTGCTGTGAGCTGAGATGGCGCCACTGCACTTCGGCTTGGGTGGCAGAGTGAGAGTGTCTCAAAAAAAAATAAAAATAATAAACGAATATCAAACCGCCTGACTTACTTGGAATTTATAGAACTCTTCACTCAAAAACAGCAGAAAACAAATTTCCCAAGACTAATTATATTTTGGGCCATAAAGGAAGGCTCAATAAACATAAGCTGGGACTTCAGGCACATGGCACCCCATCCCGGGTAATTTTTGTGTATTCTTGTAGAGACAGATTTTCACCATGTTGTCCAGGCTGGTCTCAAACTCCTGGGCTCAAGCAATCTGCCTGGCTTCAGCCTCCCAAAGTGTTGGGATCACAGGCATGAGCCACCATGCCTGGCCTCAATTTTGTTTTCTGCCTGAAGGAATTTTTTTTAAACATTTCTTATAGGACAGGTTTGCTGGTGATAATTTTTTTTTAACTTCTATATTCTGAAAAAGTTTTTTTTTTTTTTTTTTTTGGTTTTTTTTTTTTTTGAGACAGAGTCTCCCTCTGTCACCAGGCTGGAGTTGCAGAGAGCTCACTGCAATCTCTGTCTCCCGGGTTCAAGAGATTCTCCTGCCTCAGCCTCCCAAGTAGCTGGGACTACAGATGCTTGCCACCATAGCTAATTTTTGTATTTTTATAGAGATGGGATTTCACCATGTTGGCCAGGATGGTCTCAATCTCCTGACCTCATGATGCGCCCGCCTCCACCTCCCAAAGTGCTGGGATTACAGGTATGAGCAACCATGCCCGGTCAAAAAAATCTTAATTTTATCCTTATTTTGAAAGATATTTCCACTGTGTGTGGAATTCTAAATTGATAGGTTTTTTTCTTTCAGTAATATAAAAATGTTGCTCCACTGTCTTGACACAGTTGCTTCCAATGAAAGAGCTGCAGCCACCCTCTCTCTGCTCCTCAGTGTTGAACGTGTCTCTTGTCTCTGGCTGCCTTTAAGGTTGCCCTTGACCTGTGGCTTTGAACTGCTCATCACGTGCTCTCATATAGTTTTCTTCATGGTTCTGTGCTTGGGTTACTGAGATTCTTGGATCTCTGGGTTTATAGTTTTCATCAAATTTGGTATACTTTCAGCCTAGATAAATAGATAGATTTTTTTTTTTTTTTCCCCAGACAGAGTCTCTGTTGCCCAGGCTGGAGTACAGTCGCACGATCTTGGCTCACTGCAACCTCTGCCTCTCAGGTTCGAGTGATTCTTCTGCCTCAGCCTCCCAAGTTGCTGGGATTACAGGTGCGCTCCACCACACCCCGCTAATTTTTTGTATTTTTAGTCGCCACGGGGTTTCACCATGTTGGCCAGGATGGTCTTGAACTTCTGACCTCAGGTGATCCACCCACCTCAGCCTCCCAAAATGCTGGGATTATAGATGTAAGCCACCATGCCCGGCCTCAGCTATTATAGCTTTCAACATTTTTTCTGTCCCTTTTCTCCCCTCTCCTTCTACAACTCCCACTACACATCTATTAAGCTTCTTGATAGTTGTCCCACAGTTCCCTGATGCTATGTCTACTTTTAAAAATCTCTTTTCTGTGTTTGATTTTTGATTGTTTCTACTGCTGTGCCTTCAAGTTCATGAATCTTTTTTTCTGCAATGTCTAGCCGTCCACTAATTACATCCAGTGCATTTTTAATCCCAGACATTATAGCATTTGATTTGGATCTCATAACATTTGATTTTTATCTTTTAAAAAATATCTTCCGTGTTTTGTTTAATATTTTGTACATATACAGTTATATTAACTCTTTTAATGTTCTTCTCTGCTAAATTTAACATCTGTGTCTGTTCTTTGGCAGTTTTTGTTTTTGAGACAGAGTCTCCCTCTCTTGCCCAGGCTGGAGTGCAGTAGCTCACTGCAACCTTCGCCTCCCAGGTTCAAGCAATTCTCGTGCCTCAGCCTCCCGAGTAGCTGGGACTACAGGCACGCACCACCACGCCTGGCTAATTTTTGTATTTTTAGTAGACATGGGATTTCATCATGTTGGCCAGGCTGGTCTTGAACACCTGACCTCGTCACCCACCTGCCTCAGCCTCCCAAAGTGCTGGAATTACATGCGTGAGCCACTGTGCCTCGCCCTGTTTTGTCCATTTTTGGTCAGTTCATGCAGGAGAGTAAATCTTGTTGGTCCAGATTGGCCCAAAGAGGAAGTTGGATAATACAGTTTGGGTCAGAGTTTAAAAGAAAATGAAGCCCGGGCGCGGTGGCTCACACCTGTAATCCCAGCACTTTGGGAGGCTGTGTTGGGTGGATCACAAGGTCAGGAGTTCGAGACTAGCCTGGCCAACATGGTGAAACCCCGTCTCTACTAAAAATACAAAAATTAGCCGGGTGTGGTGGCGCGTGCCTGTAATCCCAGCTACTCAAGAGCCTGCGGTGGGAGAATCGCTTGAACCTGGGAGGCGGAGGTTGCAGTGAGCCAAGATCACGTCACTGCACTCCAGCCTGGGTGACAGTGAGAGTCCATCTTAAAAAAAAAAAAATAAAGAAAAAATAAAAAAAATTTAGGTTGAGCGTGGTGGCTGTAATCCTTGCACTTCGGGAGGCTGAGGCGGACGGATCACTTGAGGTCAGGAGTTCAAGACCAACCTGGGCAACATGGTGAAACCCCGTCTCCACCAAAAAATACAAAAATGGTGTCACACGGCTGTAGTCCCCAGCTATGCAGGAGGCTGAGGCAGGAGAATCACTTAAACCCACGAGGCAGAGGTTGCACTGAGCCGAGATCATGCCTCTGCACTCTAGCCTGGGCGACAGAGTGAGACTGTGTCTCAAAATAAATAAATAAATAAATAAATAAATAAATAAATAAATAAAAATAAAAGAAGAAGATTCAGAGTTAAATATCTTTGTTTTACCCCATTGGTTGCAGATTTTATAGCTCATCTGCTGAGTAAGATCTTTGCCGTGAGAACCTAGTAAATAACCAGCTGATGATGCAGCCCCTGACAGAAGCCCTCATTTTGCCTTCTGTGGTCACTCTTCTCCTTCTCAATAATTATCACCCATTCCTCAAGAAGCAAGCTATTTAATTCTCTCACCCATTTTGTATTTTGGAAACAATCTGTTGAGCTATATTATACTATCTGTTATACTCAGTTTAATGAGATTCCACTATCCTCCCATGTAGATATAGGAAATTGATCAATGATAATTCATCTTTGGTTACAACCCTAATACAGGTGTTCACCCTGCCAGTTATGCCTACACTCAATCATTTCTTTTTTCTTTTTTTTTTTTGAGATGGTGTCTCACTCTTTTGCCCAAGCTGGAGTGAAGTGGCATGATCTTGGCTCACTGCAACCTCCGCCCCCTGGGTTCAAGTGATTCTCCTGCCTCAGCCTCCCTAGTAGCTGAGATTTTACAGGCGTGCACTACTACGCCTGGCTAATTTTTGTATTTTTAGTAGAGATGGGGTTTCTCCATGTTGGCCAGGCTGGTCTTGAACTCCTGATCTCAGTGATCCACCCACCTCGGCCTCCCAAAGTGCTAGGATTACAGGCATGAGCCACCGCGCCCAGCCAATCATTTCTGATTTTTGGCAGGTTTCTTTATATATGACACAGAAAGTCACAATGAGGTTAGGATCGGCAAGGAGGCCATTTTCTGTGGTTAGCCACCTCTTCAGGTGTCTGTTGTGTCCAGCACTGACCCTGGAAGGACTCTGCCTTGGCTTCTGGTTCTTTAATTACCAAGTGCCCAGAACTGAGTGGGGCACATAGTAGGTATTCAGGAAAGGCTTTTTGGTTGACTGACACGTGAGGGTGTGTGTGTGTTTAACTGAGAATTGGTGAAAGGAGGATTAAGCAAATGCATAAAATTGTTGGTATTTTCAAAACATCTTTGTTTAGGGAAAATTATAATTCATTTGGGGAAAACGCCATCAGCGTGCCACATGGTCACCCTTCATTATCATCACATAGCTACTATCTTTTTAGATTTCTCTCTTGGCAGTTACCAAGACCGTGTTATTTAGGTTTAGAGTTTTTTTTGTTTTTGTTTTTTGAGACAGAGCTTCCCTCTATCATCCAGGCCTGAGTGCAGTGGTGTGATCTCAGCTCACTGCAACCTCCGCCTCCTGGGCTCAAGTGATTCTCATGTCTCAGCCTCCAGAGTAGCTGGGATTACAGGCACGTGCCACCATGCCCAGCTGATTTTTGTATTTTTAGTAGAGACAGGGTTTCCCTATGTTGGCCAGGCTTGTCTCGAACTCCTGGCCTCAAGTGATCCTCCTGCCTGGGCCTCCCAGAGTGTTGGGATTACAGGTGTGAGCCACCATGCCTGGCCAGGTTTAGAGTTTTTTTTTTTTTAAGTGTGTAATTAAGTGGTTTTTAGTAAATTTACAGCTGTGCAACTATCACCACCCAGTTTTCATTCTCTTCACTTCAGAAAAATCTCTGGCCATTGGTAGTCACTCTGTTCACACCCCTAGCTCCAGGCAACCACTGACTGACTTTCTCTCTCTGGATTTGCCTTTTCTGGAACTTTCTTGTAAAGGGAGTCATACCTGATAGGGTCTCCTGCAGCTGGCTTCTTTCAGTTTGCATCATGTTTTCAAGGTTCATCCAGATAAAGCATAGATCAGTAGTGTGCTCCTTTTTATGGCTGTATAATATTCCATTGTGTGAATAGAACACGTTCTGTTTATCCATTCATTTTGGTTATGAATAGTGCAGAAAATTCTGAAAATTCACATAGGTACCGATCATTGTGTGAACATATCTCTTAGATGGATACTTAGGGCTGGAATTGCTGGTTTCTATGGTAAATTTATTTTTAACTTTCTAAGAAACTGCCAAAATATTTTCCAAAGTGGCTACACCATTTTACATGCCCACCACCAACATATGAGGGATCCATTTTGTCCACATCTTCATATATAGTCATTCTAGTAGATACGGAGCAGTATCTCACTGCAGTTTTTATTTTTACTTTTTTTGTAGAGGTACAGTCTTGCTATGTTGCCCAGGCTGGTCTCAAACCCTGGCCTCAAATGATCTTCCCAAGTCAGCCTCCCAAAATGCTGGGATTACAGGCATGAGCGCCCATGCCTGGCCATCACTGTAGTATTGATGTTGAGCATCTTTTCATATACTTACTGACCTTTCATATATCTTCATTGGGGAAATTACTCTTCACATCTTTTGCCCCTTTAAAAAATTGTGTTGTCTTTTTGTCAAGTTGAGTTTTTAATATATTCTGGGCTGGGTGCAGTGGCTTATGCCTGTAATTCCAGCATTTTGGGAGGCTGAGGCAGGAGAATCGCTTGAACCCAGGAGGTAGAGGTTACAGTGAGCTGAGATCACGCCACTGCACTCCAGCCTGGGTGACAGAGCGAGACTCTGTCTCAAAAAAAAAAAAATTAAAAAATTAAATTTTATATATATATATTTTCTGGATACTTGTATCATATATATGATTTGTAAACATTTCTTCTCCACGAATGTGGCTTGTCTTTTCGTTTTCTTTTTTTTTTTAATATATTTTAAGTTTTGGGATACATGTGCAGAATGTACAGGTTTGTTACATAGGTATACACGTGCCATGGTGGTTTGCTGCACCCATCAACCCATCATCTATATTAGGTATTACTTCTAATGCTATCTGTGCCCTAGCCCCCTGCCCCCTGAAAAGCCCCAGTGTGTGGGTGTGTGATGTTCCCCTCCCTGTGTCCATGTGTTCTCATTGTTCAACTTCCACTTATGAGTGAGAACATGTGGTGTTTGGTTTTCTGTTCCTGTGTTAGTTTGCCAAGAATTTATCCAGTCTGTCATTGATGGGCATTTGGGTTGGTTCCAAGTCTTTGCTATTGTGAATAGTGCTGCAATAAACATACATGTGCATGTGTCTTTAAAGTAGAATGATTTATAATCTTTTGGGTTTATACCTAGTAATGGGATTGCTGGGTTAAATGGTATTTCTGGTTCTAGATCCTTGAGGAATTGCCACACTGTCTTCCACAATGGGTGAACTAATTTACACTCCCACCAACAGTGTAAAAACGTTCCTATTTCTCCACATCCTCTCCAGCATCTGTTGTTTCCTGACTTTTTAATGATCACCGTTCTAACTGGCGTGAGATGGTATCTCATTGTGGTTTGGTTTGCATCTCTCTAATGACCAGTGATGATGAGCATTTTTTCATGTTCGTTGGCCTCATAAATGTCTTCTTTTCAGAGGTGTCTGTTCATGTCCTTTACCCACTTTCTGATGGGGTTGTTTATTTTTTTCTTGTAAATTTGTTTAAGTTCCTTGTAGATTCTGGATATTAGCCCTTCATCAGATGGAGAGATTGCAAAAATTTTCTCCCATTCTGTAGGTTGCCTGTTCACTCTGATGATAGTTTCTTTTGCTGTGCAGAAGCTCCTTAGTTTAATTAGATCCCATTCATCAATTTTGGCTTTTGTTGTCATTGCTTTTGGTGTTTTAGTCATGAAGTCTTTGTCCATGCCTGTGTCCTGAATGGTATTGCCTAGGTTTTCTTCTAGGGTTTTTATGATTTTAGGTCCTATGTTTAAGTCTTTAATCCATCTTGAGTTAATTTTTGTATAAGGTGTAAGGAAGGGGTCCAGTTTCAGTTTTCTGCATATGGCTTAGCCAGTCTTCCCAACACTATTTATTAAATAGAGAGTCCTTTCCCCATTGTTTGTTTTTGTCAGCTTTGTCAAAGATCAGAAGGTTGTAGATGTGTGGCGTTATTTCTGAGGCCCCTGTTCTGTTCCATTGGTCTGTATGTCTGTTTTGGTACCAGTACCATGCTGTTTTGTTTACTGTAGCCTTTAGTATAGTTTAAAGTCAGGCAGCGTGATGCCTCCAGCTTTGTTCTTTTTGCTTAGGATTGTCTTGGCTATGCGGGCTCTTTTTTGGTTCCATATGAAATTTAAAGTAGTTTTTTCTAATTCTATGAAGAAAGTCAGTGGTAGCTTGATGGTGATAGCTTTGAATCTATAAATTACTTTGGGCAGTATGGCCATTTTCCCGATATTGATTATTCCTTTCCATGAGCATGGAATGTTTTTCCATTTGTTTGTGTCCTCTTTTATTTCCTTGAGCAGTGGTTTGTAGTTCTCCTTGAAGAGGTCCTTCACATCCCTTGTAAGTTGGATTCCTAGGTATTTTATTCTCTTTGTAGCAATTGTGAAGAGGTCCTTCACATCCCTTGTAAGTTGGATTCCTAGGTATTTTATTCTCTTTGTAGCAATTGTGAATGGGAGTTCACTCATGATTTGGCCCTCTGTTTGTCTATTATTGGTGTATAGGAATGTTTTTGAGTTTTGCACATTGATTTTGTATCCTGAGACTTTGCTGAAGTTGCTTATCAGCTTAAGGAGATTTTTTGCTGAGACAATGGGGTTTCCTAAATATACAATCATGTCATCTGCAAGCAGAGACAACTTGACTTCCTCTCTTCCTATTTGAATACCTTTATTTCTTTCTTTTGCCTGATTGCCCTGGCCAGAACTTCCAATACTATGTTGAATAGGAGTGGTGAGGGAGGGGATCCTTGTCTTGTGCTGGTTTTCAAAGGGAATGCTTCCAGCTTTTGCCCATTCAGTATGACATTGGCTGTGGGTTTGTCATAAATAGCTCTTATTATTTTGAAATACATTCCATCAGTACCTAGTTTATTGAGAGTTTTTAGCATGAAGGGCTGGTGAATTTTATCAGAGGCCCTTTCTGCATCTATTGAGACAATCATGTGGTTTTTGTCATTGGTTCTGCTTATGTCATGGATTACATTTATTGATTTGTGTATGTTGAACCAGCCTTGCATCCCAGGGATGAAGCCAACTTGATTGTGGTGGATAAGCTTTTTGATGTGCTGCTGGAATCAGTTTGCCAGTATTTTATTGAGGATTTTCACATCAATGTTCATCAGGGATATTGACCTGAAATTTTCTTTTTTTGTTGTGTCTCTGCCAGATTTTGGTATCAGAATGATGCTGGCCTCATAAAATGAGTTAGAGAGGAGTCCCTCTTTTTCTGTTGTTTGGAATAGTTTCAGAAGGAATGGTACCAGCTCCTCTTTGTACCTCTGGTAGAATTTGCCTGTGAATCTGTCTGATCCTGGGCTTTTTTTGGTTGGTAGGCTATTAATTACTGCCTTAATTTCAGAACTTGTTATTGGTCTATTCAGGGATTTGACTTCTTCCTGGTTTAGTTTCGGGAGGGTATATGTATCCAGGAATGTATCCATTTCTTCTAGATTTTTGAGTTTATTTGTGTAGAGCCGTTTATAGTATTCTCTGATGGTAGTTTGTATTTCTGTGGGATCAGTGGTGATATCCACTTTATAATTTTTTTTTTTTTTTAATGGTGAGATGGAGTCTCGCTCTGTTGCCCAGGCTGGAGTACAGTGGCACGATCTTGGCTTACTGCAAGCTCCGCCTCCCGGGTTCATGCCATTCTCCTGCCTCAGCCTCCTGAGTAGCTGGGACTACAGGTGCCCGCCACTACACTTGGTTAACTTTTTATATTTTTAGTAGAGATGGGGTTTCACCTGTGTTAGCCAGGACGATCTCAATCTGACCTCGTGATCCGCCCGCCTCGGCCTCCCAAAGTGCTGGGATTACAGGTGTGAGCCACCGCGCCTGGCCCCCTTTATCATTTTTTATTGTGTCTGTTTGGTTCTTCTCTCTTTTATTCTTTATCAGTCTGGCTAGTGGCCTATGTATTTTGTTAATCTTTTCAAAAAATCAGCTCCTGGATTCATTGATTTTTTTGAAGGGTTTTTTTGTATCTCTATCTCCTTCAGTTCTGCTCTGATCTTAGTTATTTCTTGTCTTCTGCTAGCTTCTGAATGTGTTTGCTCTTGCTTCTCTAGTTCTTTTAATTGTGATGGTAGGATGTCAATTTTTGATCTTTCCCACTTTCTCCTGTGGCATTTAGTGCTATAACTTTCCCTCTAAACACTGCTTTAGCTGTGTCTCAGAGATTCTGGTACATTGTGTCTTTGTTCTCATTGATTTCAAAGAACTTATTTATTTCTGCCTTAATTTCGTTATTTACCTATTAGTCATTCAGGACCAGGTTGTTCAGTTTCCATGTAGTTGTGCGGTTTTGAGTGAATTTCTTAATCCTGAATTCTAATTTGATTGCACTGTGGTCTGAGAGACTGTTTTGATTTCCGTTCTTTTGCGTTTGCTGAGGAATGTTTTACTTCCAATTATGTGGTCAATTTTAGAATAAGTGCAATGTGGTGCTGAGAAGAATGTGTATTCTGCTGATTTGGGGTAGAGAGTTCTATAGATGTCTATTAGGTCTGCTTAGTCGAGAGCTGAGTTCAAATCCTGAATATCTTTGTTAATTTTCTGTCTCGTTGATCTATCTAATATTGACAATGGGGTGTTACAATCTCCCACTATTATTGTGTGGGAGTCTAAATCTCTTTGTAGGTCTCTTAGAACTTGCTTTATGAATCTGGGTGCTCCTCTATTGGGTGCATATATACTTAGGATAGTTAGCTCTTCTTGTTGCATTCATCCCTTTACCATTATGTAATGCCCTTCTTTGTCTTTTTTTTGATCTTCATTGGTTTAAAGTCTGTTTTATCAGAGACTAGGATTGTAACCCTGCTTTTTTTGCTTTCCGTTTGCTTGGTAAATATTCCTCCATCCCTTTATTTTGAGCCTATGTGTGTCTTTGCAGGTGAGATGGGTCTCCTGAATACAGCACACCGATGGGTCTTGACTCTTTATCCAGTTTTCCAGGCTGTGTCTTTTAATTGGGGGCATTTATCCCATTTATGTTTAAGGTTAATATTGTTATGTGTGAATTTGATTCTGTCATTATGATGCTAGCTAGTTATTTTGCCCGTTAATTGATGCAGTTTCTTCATACTGTCGATGGTCTTTACAATTTGGTATGTTTTTGCAGTGGCTGGTACCAGTTTTTCCTTTCCATATTTAATGCTTCCCTCAGGAGCTTTTGTAAGGTAGGCCTGGTGGTGACAAAATCTCTCAGCATTTGCTTGTCTGTAAAGGATTTTATTTATGTTTCACTTAATGAAGCTTAGTTTGGCTGAATATGAAATTCTGGGTTGAAAATTCTTTTCTTTAAGAATGTTGAATATTGGCCCCCACTCTCTTCTGGCTTGTAGGGTTTCTGCTGAGAGATCTGCTGTTAGTCTGATAGGCTTCCCTTTGTGGGTAACCCAACCTTTCTCTCTGGCTGCCCTTAACATTTTTTTCTTCATTTCAATCTTAGTGAATCTGACGATTATGTATCTTGGGGTTGCTCTTCTCAAGGAGTATCTTTGTGGTGTTCTCTGTATTTCTTGAATTTGAAAGTTGTCCTGTCTTGCTAGGTTGGGTAAGTTTTTCTGGATAATATCCTGAAGAGGGTTTCCAAGTTGGTTCCATTCTCCCTGTCACTTTCAGGTACACTAGTCAAATGTAGGTTTGGTCTTTTCACATGGTCCCATATTTCTTGGAGGCTTGGTTCATTCCTTTTCATTCTTTTTTCTTAATCTTATCTTCATGCTTTATTTCATTAAGTTGATCTTCAATCTCTGATATCCTTTCTTTGGCTTGGTCGATTTGGCTGTTGATACTTGTGTATGCTTCATGAAGTTCTCGTGCTGTGTTTTTCAGCTCCATCAGGTCATTTATGTTATTGTCTAAACTGGTTATTCTAGTTAGCAATTCATCTAACTTTTTTCAAGGTTCTTAGCTTCCTTACATTGGGTTAAAACATGCTCCTTTAGCTCAGAGAAATTTGTTATTACCCATCTTCTGAAGCCTACTTCTGTTGACTCATCAAACTCATTCTCTCTCCAGTTTTGTTCTCTTGCTGGCGAGGAGTTGTATTCCTTTGGAGGAGAAGAGGCATTCTGGTTTTTGGAATTTTCAGCCTTTTTGTGCTGGTTTTTCCTCATCTTCATGGATTTATCTACCTTTGGTCTTTGATGTTGGTGACCTTTGGATGGGGGTTCTGTGTGGATGTCCTTTTTGTTGATGTTGATGCTTTCTGTTTGTTAGTTTTCCTTCTAAGAGTCATGCTCCTTTGCTGCAGGTATGCTGGAGTTTGCTGGAGGTCCACTCCAGACCCTGTTTGTCTGGGTATCACCAGCAGAGGCTGCAGAACACCAAAGATTGCTGCCTGTTCCTTCTTCTGGAAGCTTCGTCCCAGAGGGGCACCTGCCAGATGCCAGCTGGAGCTCTCCTCTATGAGGTGTCAGTCAACCCCTGCTGGGAGGTATCTCTCAGTCAGGAGGCACAGGGGCCAGGGACCCACTTGAGGAGGCAGTCTGTCCCTTAGCAGAGCTTGAGTGCTGTGCTAGGAGATCCCGCTTCTCTCTTCAGAGCTGGTAGGCAGGAACGTTTAAGTCTGCTGAAGCTGTGCCCACAGTTGCCCCTTCTCCTAGATGCTCTGCCCCAGGGAGATGGGAATTTTATCTATAAGCCCCTGACTGGCGCTGCTGCCTTTCTTTTAGAGATGCCCTGACCAGAGTGGAGGAATCTAGAGAGGCAGTCTGGCTACAGTGGCTTTGTCAAACTGTGGTGGGCTCCACCCAGTTCGAACTTCCTGGAGGCTTTGTTTACACTGTGAGGGGAAAACCGCCTACTCAAGCCTTGGTAATGGCAGATGCCCCGCCCGCCCCCCACCAAGCTCAAGCATCCCAGGTTGACTTCATACTGCTGTGCTGGCAGTGAGAATTTCAAGCCAGTGGATCTTAGCTTGCTGGGCTCCTTGGGGGTGGGATCCACTGAGCTAGACCACTTGGCTCCCTGGCTTCAGCCCCCTTTCCAGGGGAGTGAATGGTTCTGTCTCACTGGTGTTCCAGGTGCCACTGGGGTATGAAAAAAAACTCCTGCAGTTAGCTTGGTGTCTGCCCAAATGGCCGCCCAGTTTTGTGCTTGAAACCCAGGGCCCTGGTGGTGTAGGCACCCGAGGGAATCTCCTGGTCTGTGGGTTGCGAAGACCATGGGAAAAGCATAGTTTCTGGGCTGGAGTGCACCGTTCCTCATGGCACACTCCCTCACGGCTTCCCTTGGCTGGGGAGGGAGTTCCGTGACCCCTTGTGCTTCCCGGGTTAGGCGATGCCCCACCCTGCTTCAGTTGTCCCTCCATGGGCTGCACCCACTGTATAACTAGTCCCAATGAGATGAGCTAGGTACTTCAGTTGTAAATGCAGAAATCACCCGCCTTCTGCATTGATCTTGCTGGGAGCTGCAGACTGGAGCTGTTCCTATTTGGCCATCTTGCCAGCTTCCACTTTCTTAATGGTGTTGTTTGAAGCCCCAAACCTTTGAATATTGATGAAATCCAAATTTTCAACTTGTTTCTTTTAGGGATCATTCTTTTGGTGTTGTATCTGAGAAATATTTGCCTATTCCAAGATCATAAGGATTTTTTTTCCCTATGTTCTCCTTTAAAAATTTTACACTTTTAGTTCTTACATTTAGGCTTCTGATCCATTTCAAGTTAATTTTTGTGCATGATATATGTCAAGAGGCCAACTTTATCTTTTTACATGTGGATATTGAATCGTGTCAGCACCATGTCTTCTAAAGACTGTTCTTTCTCCATTGAATTTTCTTGGCACCCTTGTCAAAGATCATTTGACCATAAATATAAGGGTTCATTTCTGGACTCTCAGTTCTGTGCCATTGACCTGTATGTTCATCCTTATGCCAATACCATATTGATTACTGGAGCTGTATATTAAGTTTCTATTATATTAAGTTTTGAAGTCTTTTTTATACATTGTTTAGTTTCTAGTGCTTCTTTAGTTGTATTTTTCAGTCTTATTTCTCCACTTAGCCTGAAAGCAGACTCAAGACCCAGCTGACCCAGCTCAGTCATTTCATATCACCAGACTTCAGGCAAGTTGGCTAAGGTTTTTTTTTACTTCTTTTTCCTCATCTATAAAATAGAAATAAAACTCCATATCCCTCCATTGTCACAGGATTATTGTGAGGATCAAATGAAATAACAAATGTGGAAACATCTAAACTAGTTTTCTATAAATGCAGAGGACATTTATTAGGCTCTGCCTGTTGCAAGTAAATGTGCATAACTGCTTTCCTTAAGATCCTTAATTTATTCAGGACTATAACTTAGGTTTACAGTGTGCTTGGTAAACCTTGCAAGCCTAAAATTAATCCTCAACAAGTCCAATGTGTTCATTTATGTCTTTTTCAGAATCAAAGTAGAAGAGTGGTTTTTCCTTAATCTTCTCCATTATCTCAAGATAACTCACTCCCCTAGAATTCAGTTGCCCTCTTACTTTGAGTGTTGGCTTGCTCATATCAGAACTTGCCTTCTCTTCGCCAAGCTAGACTTGGTCAAGAGTGTGGACTGAAAGCTCGAGCATAGTAGGCTGAGGAGTCTTTTTTAAAAAAGGTCACAGTATCAAGATGTTAAGATCCTGTTGGTAAAGCCCCAGTGTGCCCTGGTAATGCAGGAGTTCAGTGTGAGAATCCTAACTTCTGGCCCTCCTTAGTTGATGCAGTACCAAATGTCATAGAAAGAAACCTCCTAAGAGTACAAGGTCATTCTCCAAATGAAAATGTCATAGGAAAGGAATCTTTACTTGATGGAAAGAATGCTTTCTTTCTAAATGGCAATCTGTGGCGCCTTCTCAATCTTGTTCCATCCAGCATTACCTGTTCTGTGTTCAGACCAATGGGCATCCGTATCAGCTGCTCCATCCTGCAGAAGTAACTTTATCATGGTAGGACTTGAACTAAACTGAACCAAAGAAACCTCCCTCAGCTGACTGTTCCTGGTACCTAAGGACTGAATTACCCAGCATTATACACTTACACTACAAATGATCTTCGGCATAAGGGCCATTAGTCAATAAAAATTCTCAAAATACCTTCAAAATGAAAGATTAGATTATTTTATATAAAATATATTTTCTTGTGGACTTATTAATTGCATTACTGATTTCTAATGATTTCCTTTGGTATTTTATTTATATAATTTATTTTTTTGAAATGGAGTTTCGCTCTTGTTGCTGAGGCTGGAGTGCAATGGCGCGATCCTGGCTCACTACAACCTCTGCCTCCCGGGTTCAAGTGATTCTCCTTCCTTAGCCTCCTGAGTAGCTGGAATTATAGGCACGTGCCACCACGCCTGGCTAATTTTTTGTATGTTTAGTAGAGACGGAATTTCACCATGTTGGCCAGGCTGGTCTCGAACTCCTGATCTCAGGTGATCCACCCGCCTTGACCTCCCAAAGTGCTGGGATTACAGGAGTGAGCCACTGCACCTGGCTAGCTCCTTTGGTATGTTAATTTGCTGTATATTTGCTTAACTCATATGCTCGCTCACGTGTTAACACATGTAATACATATGCTTAATTCAGTGTGTTTGATGTTGAAGAGTGTGCCATTTTCTTGCTTTGCTGACTGAAGAGAGTATGTGGTGCTTTTCTGTTGAAGAGGTCAGAGAACCATGCCTCTTCTCTATTCTCCACCCTCCTCTTGAGCCCAGAGCGGAGGCTGCCAGCATGGCAGAGCCCCACCGGTGGCAGAGCTGGCGCTGGGCTCTGCTCACCCTGCTCCGTGTTCTCTGGCTCTGCTGTGTGTTTCTAGGGGCTTTGGGGAGATGTCCCCTGTCTGGTTCATATAAGGGCTGGCTCTTCTCAGCACAGAAACCAAAGCTTTGAATCTCATCTCTGGCAAACTGTTAGGTCTTCAACCCCCTATCCCTTATAGACACTTCACTCATTAAGCTCACTTGGGACCATCACCTCCGGAAAAGGAAGAAGTCCCCCTCAACAAATGGTTGGTCTTGCCTCCTCAGGACAGGCAGCAAGACTTCCTGAGATCTGTGGCAGCTTCGTGTGTTTCTATCATTGAGGCAGCACCATCCCTGTTTGCTATTTTAATTTAGCATCGTTTGAAACAGCGTCTATTTCTCGGCCACGCTCCTGCTTCACCTTTCTCTGATGAGGATGCTGGTCACTTGATCTATTCTAGTTATTGTTATGTAATGGGGTCCTTGTGTATACTTAGGATTTTCATTTCGTTCATATAGTACAAGTGTCTTTTTAGCTTGGCATAAGCCTTCATCTGCCTTTGCGAAGGCTGACAGATCTTCTCGTTCAACGTAAGCAGCCCCAGATGTAAATGCCTCTGTGGCAGTCATTTTTCTTTGGTCCAGGCCCATCCATGACAACTGAACTATTTCCCAAGTAAGTGTATAGATCAGTATCGTATGTGGTCAGCTCTCAATAATCCACAGTAAGTAACAGAAAATATGAATAAATTAATTCACTGTGCTGGCTGAGTGCCACTGAGATGTCATCCTCACATTCCCTACTAGAACCCACACTCTGCTCGCCTTGGTGGCAGAGTATGGCTTGGCTCTCCTTTCTCCTACTACAGGCTGTCGGGACCCTGGCCCTTCAGCCCCCTGCGCCCCTTGAAGAATGTCAGCTTTTCATTGCAGATAATCACAAGTCTGCTGACCTTAATGTGCCAAGGGCCATTCAACCACACAGAAAAGGTGTAGAATATAGTTTCATAAGTGTTGTAAATTTCATCCAGAAAGTACAGGTTCTCATTCATATTCATGCATGCCTGTTTGCTTTCCTTTTGAGTAAGTCCTGTGTTATTGAGAAAAGAGGAAGGGAAATAATATTATTGCTATTAGCCGACTATGGTGTTACTGATGGGGGAAAATTGAAACTTGTAAAATTATGTGGGGAATACTTAATATTTCCACTTTTCCCCTTTAATCCAGGTGATTGAAAGTTGACAGCAAACCAGTTTTAACATAACACACCTCCTTTTGCACTGTAAGGATTGAGCAGATCCTGAATAACCAGAGATTGAAAGCCTTGGTCTTAGTTCTTCAAACTGTCATCCAACTTAGGTGAAGACATAGAAGGCTGCATTATTTGCAAAAGTCCTAAGGATGATTAATACGATTACTGTAATATATGGCAGAATAAGGATTGAATATATTTTGATATGCTACAAATCAAATACATATTCCATGGAAATCAGATTTAACTAGTGTACATAGGAGAGCCTACAGTTAAATTAAAAGAAGAAAAAGAGGAAGACAAAGACGACTTAATAAGCCCCAGGAATGAGAGAGTACGTTTGTGTGGAGAAGCTGAGGGGGTTGCAGGGGAGGTGAGCTCGCATGGACCTGTGTGTGATGTGGTTGCTGGGGCTGTTGACCTAGTGTGGGTTTCTCCTGTGCAAACACAGTGGCAAGTGGTGATTCTACTCTGCTAGTTACATGGCATTGAAAGTATTTTGCGTGGTTTATTTTAAGCGGGATATTGGCAATTTAGAAACACTGGACTAGGGTGTCTAGGATATGAAGAGTCTGAAGAACATCTTTGAAATGGAATAGTGAGAGAGACTAGGGATATTTGGTTGGAGAGAACAAGCCTCCAAAGTGTCTGAGAATGATCATCAAATATCTGAATGTTTATCTCATACACAAGGGGTTTTGTTTATTTTATGTTGCTCAAAGGAGAATAATTAGAAACAGTGGGTTGAGGTTGTGAGAAGGCAATTTGGTTTAGATCAGTATTTCTCTCACATTAGGGATGCAAGATATTTTTTTTTCATTTTAAAAAACTTGTTATTTTGAAATAGTTTTAGACATACAGAAAGGTTGCAAAAACATAGTATAGAGTTCATATACATCCTTCACTTAAGCTTGTTAATGATCTTAGTATAGTTAGCATGCCATGAAATTAATGTTGGTGTAGTACTGTTAACTATAGACCTTATTCCATTTTACCAGTTTTTCCTCTAATATCCTTTTTCTGTTGCAAGATCTAACCCAGGATCCCACATTGCATTTAGTTATTGTGTTTCCTTCCTCTCTTCCAATCTGTGACACTTTGACAGTCTTTTAGGACCTCGACACTTAGTGATTATTGGTTAGTTATTTTGTTGTCCCACATTTTCTTATGATTAGAGTCAGGGTGCGCATTTTTGGCATGAGTACTGCAGAAGTGATGTTGTGCCATCTTGGTACGTTGTACGGAGGAGGGTTCATGGTATTGTGTCCCATTACTGCTGTTGTTAACCTTGTCACTTGATTACGATGGTTTTATCCACGGTAAAGTTACTATTTTTCTCTTTACAATTAATACGAATCTTGGGGAAGATAGTTTGAGGCTGTGCAAACATCCAGTTTCTCCTTAAACTTTTGCCTCCTAATTTTAGCATCTATTATTAGATCTTGCCTGCAATAATTTTTACTGTGGTATTTACTTAATGTATTTCCTTCTTTCCTTTTGCATTTGTTAATTAGAATTCAACTGTAAGGAAGTCCTTTCCCTTTTCAGCTATTTATTTACTCAATTATTTTTGATATGGGTAGACTAATAGGCATTTACTTTATTCTGTGGATTATCCAGTGCTGTTTTTTATTTATTTTATTGCTTAAATCATTCCAGCTTTGGCCAACAGGAAGTCCTTCAGGTGTATGCCTTTGTCTTTTTGACATGCCCTCATTTTACAAGAACTTTCTAAGTTTTTGGCCTATGAAGTGTTTGAGGCTCATCTTGTATTTTCCCTACTCCTTCCCTGAATCAGCTGCTTCCCATGGAGTCCAGATTCCTTTTAAGGGAAAATGGTATTTCGAAACCAATTTCTAGGTGATAAGTGTAATCTTGCTACTAGGATGCCACTGTCCTTAGTGGACACAGCTAGGATATATATATGTATGTGTGTGTGTGTGTGTGTGTGTATCACCTGCACACACAGTAACTCACACATACATATCTTTATATATTTCTATATCTCTGTCTGGATATGTATTAAAAATTCTAATGCAACACCACTGGGTTCATTGTAGCCTCTCCCTTTTCTGTATTTGTAGCTTATTTCTTAAACAGTGAGAAACTTTGCTCTTGTTATTTACAGTGTATTTACTTATTTATCCAATGCCAATAAAGTAATTTCAAAAATTGCTAACCCTGTAATAAACACATTTACTAGCTAGAGTACAGGATTTCTATACAGTGCTTTTTGTCGTCTTTATTTAGCGTTTGAGTTTCTAGTCAAAATAGTTTTTTTTTTCTTTTTGAGATGGAGTCTTGCTCTGTTGCACAGGTTGGAGTGCAGTGGTGCAATCTTGGCTCACTGCAACCTCCACCTCCCGTGTTCAAGTGATTCTCCTGCCTCAGCCTCCCAAGTAGCTGGGACTACAGGTGCCTGCCACCACGCCTGGCTAATTTTTTTTTTGTATTTTTAGTAGAGATGGGGTTTTACCATATTGGCCAGGCTAGTCTCAAATTCCTGACCTTGTGATCTGCCCACCTTGGCCTCCCAAAGTGCTGGGATTGCAGGCATGAGCCACCATGCCTGGCCCAAAATAGTATTTTTAAAAGTTATTTGGGGTAGTTCTTTTCAGTGTGGCTATGTTACTTATTTGTAATGTAGTTAGGTTCATTATTTTTGTATTCCACTTGGGTTCCTCTCCCCCTATGTCTTGGTTTACTTACATTTTTCCCTCACTTTTTGGCATGTGAAATGTTACTCTGGTGCTTTAATGCAGAGCTCTACACTCCCTCTTCATTTCTGTTCCCATGCCACCCTGTTCCCCAGCCCTTTCCTATCCACTCTCTGTAGGAAAGCAGTCTCTTTCATTTCTCAAATATCCTTCCTGTATTTCTTTTGCAGAAATGAGCAGATAGTGTCCATTTTCTTATAACCCCTTCTTTCTTACACAAAGGATAGCATATTATAGATACTCTTTTGCACTTTGTTGTTTTCACTTAACAATGTATTCTGGAAATCACTCTAGACCAGTTCATGGAAATCTTCCTCTTCCTTTTCTCAGTTGCCTAGTACTTCGTTGCTTGGATGTACCATAGTTTATCCAACCACTCTCCAGTGTAGGGGCATTTAGGTTGTTTCCAATATATTGCACTATTGAATAACTGTGCAAATGTGCTTTTTTCCCATATCGTTGGAGGTGTATGTTTTGGGTAGATTCTAGAGTTGTAATTGCTGGGTTAAAAAATGTGCATATAGCTTTGTATTGCCAAATTTCCCTGCAAGAATTTGCATTCTCACCAGCAAAGCAGGAGGTGCCTGTTTTCCTGCAGCCTCACCAACAGGGGCTACACCACATTCTACAATTTTTGCCATTCTGATGATAAATGATATCTTGATGTTGACTTAATTTGTATTTCTTTAAATATGAGTGCATTTGAACACTTTTTTTCATGTTTGAGGACCATTTTAATAGCTTTTTTAAATTGTTTATGTCTTTTCTCCATTTATCTTTCAGGTTTTTGGTCCTTTTTTGCTCAGCTTTTGTAACAGTTTCTTATATTCAGGTTATTCACCCTTTTTCTGTGGTATATATTGCAAACATTTTTCTTCCCCTTTTATCAGTTATCTTTTGATGTTGTTTAGGATTTTTTTGTTTGTTTGGCCTTACAGAAGTTTTTATTTTCATATAGTCAAACTTGTCAATCTTGATTTTATTGCCTCTGTATTTTGAATCATAGTTAGAAAATCTTTCCCTACACCAAGATTAGAGAATTCACTTGTATTTTCTCCTAGGAATTGCATAGTTCTTTATAATTAGATCTTTTGCATTCAGGTCCCTAATGCATCTGGTTTGGTTTTGTATGTGGTTGTATTAGTCTGTTTTCACGCTGCTGATAAAGACATACTGGAGACTGGGTAATTTATAAAGAAAAAGAAGTTTAATGGACTCAAAGTTCTGTGTGCCTGGGGAGGCCTCACAATCATTGCAGAAGGTGAATGGCACGTCTTACGTGGCAGCAGGCATGAGAGAGAATGAGAACCAAGCAAAAGGGAAGCCCCTTATAAAACATCAGATCTCGTGAGACTTATTCACTAACACGAGGACCGTGTAGGGGAACCGCCCCCATGATTCAATTATCCCCCACTGGGTCCCTCCCACAACATGTGGGAATTATAGGAGCTACAATTCAAGATGAGATTGGTAGGGACACAGCCAAACCATGTCATGGTGTGAGGTGCAGATCTAAATTTCTTTTCTCCAAATGGCTCCAAGTTGTCCTGGGACCGTATATTAAAAAGTCCATCCTGCTGGGCACAGTGGCTCATACCTATAATCCCAGCACTTTGGGAAGCCAAGAAGGGAGGATTGCTTGAGGCCAGGAGTGTGAGACCAGCCTGGTCAACATAGTGAGACCTCATCTCTAAAAAAAAAAAGAAGATCATATATGTATGTATAAAAAGTCCATCCTTATCACAGTGATTTGAAGCCAAACTTTCATATATATTTTGATTTATATCTGGACTTTTAATGCTACCACACTGGTCTGTTTGTCTCCTTGTGTGCCACTGTGTTTAATTATGGAGTGTCTATGGTTTGTTTTCGTGTCCAGGAGTTGTTTTATTTTTTCCTTCAGGGTTTTCCTGGCTCTTCTTGCATATTTGTTTTTCATTGTGACCGTTAGTATCAACTAGTATAACTCTATAAAATAGTTTACTGGGATTTTTACTGGGATTATATTGAATTTACAAATTAATTTTTAGGGAGAACTGTCATCTTTATAATGTTGGGTTATCCTATCCAAGAGTTGAATTTTTCTCTGATTACTGCTTTAAATGTATTTCATGGATTCTGATATGTAGTGTTTTCATTGTAATTTTTTTTTAAATTCTTTCCTCTCAGTTGGTGACCTAAGAAATAATAAGACTCTTAAATTTCCAGGTGGAAGTGCCTTTCTGTTTTTTTGTTTTTGTTAATAATTGATAGTTTATTGCATTATAATCAGAAAGTATTGGCTACATTTCTACCCTATAGAAATCATTGTTTTTTCCTTTAATGCCATCAGTTGTAACTGTGCTGTGAGTTCTTGAGAGGAATGTGTATACTCTATTATCAGGGTACAGAGTTCAATATATATGTCCATAAGGTCAACCTTGGTTGATTATGTTGTTTAAATCTATCTCCTTACTTGTTTTCTGTGTACTTGCTCTGCCTTGTACTGAGAATGGTGTATGAAACCTCCTGTTATTAGTATGTTTCTAACCGTGTTTGCTCACATCTCCTGTAGTCTTTGTTTGATAAAGGTTATGGTTGTATTATTCGGCTCATAGGTGTTCATGAGCATTATGTCTTCACTGTGAACTGTGGCTTTTAGCATTAAAAAAAAAGTCCTTGGTTGTATTTAACACTTTGGGCTTATGTTCTATGTGATCTGCTCCTGCTCTCTTTTTGTTTTTATTTCTCTATTATACCTTGGTCCATCCTTTTTATTTTTAGCCTTTCAGAATCACTTGATTTTAAGTACATCTGTATAGTTGGGTCTTGTTCTTTTAAAATTTTGGATGTAGAAGGATTTGTATTTTCTAGTGATTATTTGTATTTAAACCGATTTAATATCCTTAGGTCCCCTGTTTTATTATTTAACCCTTTATTGTCTGATTCTCAGTTTTTTCAGCATCAGTTAATACTCACCTATTGCTTATATGATAATGAACTATACAGTAATGAGAATTCTCCTCTCTTCCTTTTCCCTCATCTCCCATTTTTAATGCATCATTTCTAGTCTGTCATAAGGTTTCTATATTGTGTAGATGCATTAAGTGAAAAAGTCCATTAATAATATATTAAATAATAGTAGTATGGATAATAAACACATTTTGCAAAAGTGATAAAGGTGGTTTGCAAGTGACTGCAGAGGTTGGGGAGATGCCAGTGTACCATGAAGTGTGTTCTGACATCAGGGCTGTCCAGCAGCGGGGCCTCTTGGGCTGGCTGCCAGGGCTCCTGGGGTGGATTTCTCGCCCTGGGCCAGGGTGGCCTCCATGACTGTTTACAGAGGTCCTCCTGCCTCTGAAACTCTGTGTCAGTTACAACATTGTTACCCTAAAAATACACAAAGTCTTGGGACTTTCAAACTGAGTACTTTTTTTCTTTAGCATTACAGGATTCCTTTTGTAATTATTTTCTTTAGTTCACATAGTAGTAAAAACCAAATGCTAACTTTCCCAAAGGTTATCAGTTATGGACTGTGTATGCAACCTTTGTAAATAAAATTAATTTGCTCTTCAGTGCCAGTGAGACACAGAAGTAGTCACATGTGAATTATTCATATTGTATTAAGAAAGTATGTAACTTGATACTAAGCAAAAGCATATAACTAGTTTCTTGAACAAAATTTATAGGTTTTGCACATTTTCAATATCAATAAACCAGTCACCATAGTTTATTACAAGAGTTTCAGCCAAAATTATTTGAAATGACTGTTTTAAATGTATAAAGCTAAGTAAATATCAGGCAATGCAAGAAATAATGAGGTTAAATGTAATGGATGATTGTTATTCTGAAAAGATAAAGTTTAAAGTCATCTCCTCAAATGCCCTATAAAGTTTTCCAGCTCCACAGGGGTCTGTATTTGCAGCTGAAGTTTTCTGAAAGCAAATTCAATTAGAGTGTTGTGTGCTTTATGAGACCATCTAAAGTAAAATTTTGTTTGTTTCAGAAACGGGTATGCAGGAGATTAGAAGCCAGTGGGCATGAGCGTGGCTGCCACCAGGTGAATGCCTGTGCCCTGGCGTCCTGGGGCCCAGAGGACCGGGAGCTTCCATCAAGAGGCTGCCTCCCAGCACCAAGGCCAGAGAGTGGCCAGGGGAGGCTAAGTACAGGGGTATGTTCCTCTTCCCACCAAACTACTTGTGAGCATGTTGAAATATTTTAATAGAAAGTGTAAATAATCATTGTTCTGATATATCTGCAACTGTGATTTGTTAACTAGATTTCTCAGAATGGTGGAAGGAGCTCAGCCCAGCCTTGCCCAAGATGTATTGCAGGGGAATCTGTAAGTGCATTAACCTTCTTGCTGTGACATAAAAGATAGACTTCTTCTTAAATATTAGATCCATAAAACAAAGTTAATAAAAACTGCAATTATGTTTCTGAAGAATGAGGAACATAAATAAAAAGGTGAAAATTGATTTAAGCTTTTCTTAGCATTCTATCGGTGTACAAACTAATTTGTGTCCAGCTTCAGATTGGAAATATAAATTGCAAATACATTTAAAATTCCTTCTAAAAAACAGGGTTTAGGAAAGGGACCAGGCCACTGGATTTGGTTAAAATAGAGAATCATTTAAGGACATCTTGGAGAAAAGATCTTTCTCATTTAATTTTCCAAATAGCAATCAACATTGCTTTTTTCTTTTCCCTGTTTATGCTTTTCTTGCATGTTTCTATCATAAACTTCACATAAATCACAGATTTCAGAAGCAAACACAGTGTTTACACCATTAATTCAAAGTAAAGGGAGGTCAGAAACTGCCAGAGTCAGATTCTCAGTCTCTTCTACTGGGCAGAATATCATAAAGTATATATTAGCATAATAATACCTTTGTTATTAATTTTGAACTTACTCCAAGAACAAGTTAATATGTCTTTGATAACCTCTATAATTCTTGGGTTTCTTTAATTTTACATTTGGAATCTTAATATTGCAATAAAATAGAATTATATTTAAATTCCACCTAGAAACCAGGAATTTGTGCGTGTGTATATGTGTATTTCTGAGATTGCCCCCTAAAGATCTTTAGAGAAATGTATTGCTGTTTTTGATAAGCAAAAGATTGAGTCAATAAATTATGGAGATCCTCAATTGACATACTGTAAGCTACTGTGTTTTACGATGATAAGCACTGATTTTGTTTCAAACGGAGACCTGAAACCATGACAGCCATCACCGTGTCTGATGACAGGGTGAACCTCTAATTATCTGAAGTCCTTAGACAAATAGGAAAACAAAGTTTAGTATGTAACTCATTCCATGAAGGTATACTTTGCTACTTTTTGTACTCTCTTTAGAAAAATTTTCATAGGTTATGTTGCATTCTATGGTGTAATTCTGAACAATGTTGAAATTAAAGATCCAGCAACTTGAATTTAGTATGCTTATGTTGATTCATGTAACTGTTAAACATACCCTAGAATACAAACGAATAATGCTTACTTTGAGAACTATGCCTCCATTGGGGTTGCATTCCTTGTTTGCCGATGACTGACCGGTGCCTTCTTTGTCCCCACCCCATTTCCATGGAATGTATCTTTCACATCCCCCCATCTGTTGGAAGCAAACACTTGGAATGTAGTACAGATTCTTACTGCTTTGAGAGCTTGTGTTCTGGCATGAATGGCTTAAAGAAAAAAAAAATTTAGTTCAAGCAACTGATTGGATCATTTTGGCTAATATTCTGTTTGAACAACAGTACCTATTTGATTAGGGTTTTTCCTTTCTTTGTAATTCCCCAAGCTTGCCTCTGTTATGTTTCGTAGGAAATGAATCTATGAGCAGAAAACCTTCATTGATATGTAAATATCATTTTTTTGTTAATACTCAATATTCTTTTCATCTAAATTTCAGAAACTGACTTTAAAAAATCAGTTTCCTTTTATTTGTAGTTATTCTCAATAAAATTTCACCCAGGCTTGGGCGTTTTAATATTTACACCCACTACTTCTGAAAGTCTAATGTAAATAAAGATTGAAATGTGAATTTGAAAAGTCACACCTCTTGATATTTGAACAGACTATAGCTGCATATATCTTCTTCTTCTAATAATATGGCTAGTTTCTCTCCTAAGCTTTTAAAATAATAAGACACTATTTTTGTATTATAAAACATCAAAAGGTTCAGTGTTAAATAAAAAGCAAATAGTATTTTTAGAGATGCAAGATCCCTGGGAGTCGTGCTTAACAATAAATCACCAATGGGGCACAATTCCAAATTTCAGAAGACTTTATTAAACTTGCAGTTCCATTCACAAATGCCTGCTTACACGTGGGCCTGCCCACTCTCCCATGATGCCCGTAGGCAGCTCAGAATGGTTCTCTTGGTCAGAGAGAAGCCAAGGTGATGTGAGGGGTAGTTTGTGTGGAATTCCTAATGGGAAACTTACATGTGATTCTCAGTTTATTTGGTGGCTGTTCTCCAGTAAGCTCCCTTGCATCCTGAATTCTCTAGTGTATTTTTGACCTTCGTAGGATGTCAGCTAATCTGATCTGTTCTGCTCTGAATTCTCAGTATAGCCGTCTGAGCTTGGTGGTCCTTCTGTTCCTAAGCTTTTCCTTATGTTTATGATTGAGTTGTTTCTCACACATACAGGGTTTTGACATTTTCTCATATGCAAGGACTTCCTCGGTAGACCTCTTCAACCTCATTTTCCAAGTTTGCATTTCGGTCTATTTCTGTTGACTCATTCTGGCGTATTGTAACCATTGTTACAATGGTTACTATTTCAGGAGTGACTGAGGTGGTTTCTTATAGTAATTACTGTTAGGGTTTATCTCCTGCTGTACATTATTATTTAGGACCGTCACCTCGTAGCCCTGAATCACCCTGCTCATGTTACTGATGATCGAAATGAATGTGGTGGGACCCAGTCTTGCAGCATCAGGGCGTCCGCTCCTGCCCAGGGTCGGGCTGCTTGCTCTCCCTGTCATGTGCTGTCTGGGGCTGCAAGTCTCGTAGAGGATGATCGCCATGGCTAGGAGGCTTCCTTTCCTGCCACCAATGGCTCCCATGCTGGACAGTCACCTAGGCTGCAGGCTTCCATTCCCGGATCGCGCGGCTTGCGTGTGCACAGGCCACACGGTAACCAAGTGTGAAATGGAAATGAAGCTGCTCCTTGCAAATTCAGAGCAATTAAATGAAACCTTAGGGGTCTGCCAGAGGTCTCCAAAATAATCAAAAGAAGGTACATGAAAAGGGGAGGAAGGCTTATAAGGCAGAGAACTGTAGAAAGGATTTAGGATATTGGTTGAGGGGAGATATGATGATATTTCCTCAGCACCGTGTTTTCCTAGTGGTCTCTGGTCTCTGACGTTTTGTAGCCTCTCAGTGCTGGAATCCTCTGGAGAAGGGGCCACCCTCAGATCTTACTGGGTCACTGGTCAGCCTGTTGCCTGTTTTTTTCTCAGCTCCGACCTCCTTTGTCTGCCCCTCCTCTGTGTTGTGGAGACTGTTTCCCAGACTCCTTTGCTTCTGACTTCTGGGAGAATCCAGCCAACGTGAGGCATTGGTGGGACACAGGAATGTGGGGGAGAAGGAGGAGGAGGCCAGAGCATTTCTCTCTCTCTCTAGCCCTCCCGCAGTACATAGCTCCTGCAGAGTAGTCCCTCTGGGCCCATCTCTTGCGAGGTCCACCTCCTCCTCCCTTTGTCCTCCTGGTGAGTGTTTGGCTCCTGTAGTAGTCCATTTTCACATCGCTATAAAGAACTACCTGGTGCCTGTAATTCCAGCTTGGGAGAATGAGGCAGGAAAATCGCTTGAACCTGGGAGGTGGAGGTTGCATTGAGCCAAGATTGCGCCATTGCACTCCAGCCTGAGTGACAGAATGAGACTCCATCATTTCCAAAAAAAAAAACAAACAAACAAACAAAAAACACACACATACACACACAAAAACTACCTGAGACTGGATAATTTATAAAGAAAAGAGATCTAGTTGACTCACAGTTCCACAGGCTGTACAGGAAGCATGGCTGGGAGGCCTCAGGAAACTTACAATCCTGGTGGAAGGTGAAGGGGAAGCAAGCATGCCTTACCATGGCAGCAGGAGAGAGAGAGAGCGCCAGAGGGGAAGTGCTATGCACTTTCAAACAACCAGATCTCATGAGAACTCACTATCACGAGAACAGCAAGGGGAAGTCCGCCCCCATGATCCAGTCACCTCCCACCAGCTCCCTTCCAACATGTGTGGAGTATAATTCCAGATGAGATTTGGGTGGGGACACAGAGCCGAACCATATCAGCTCCCCCGTTTGGCTTCTCATCTCTTCCATCATTTGTGTAGCCAAATCTTGTTACAGTCCCTCTGTTTGAAATATACCTAGATTGGTTTCTGTTTTCTTACCAGCGCTAATCAGCTAATGAATGGACAGATTCTCCTGGGGAGGAAAGTTGCTGTTTCTAACAGAGGTCTCCGGGCCTGTATTGTCCCCTGCAAGGGCTCAGTCAGTAGTCCGCAAGCTTGGCACTCCAGAGTGCTGGCAGGGCTGATCCTGGTGATAAGCCACATGAGTCCCGAGAGCCTGGACATGAAAGTTAAAAATACAGTCAGGCCCTTCAATGTTGCCCATCGCTAATGCTCCTTCGCTGCCTTTTATCTGTGGTTATTGGTTTTTATTACTCAAACGGGTAGGGAGTTACCACTGAAAAGCCAGCATGCAAAACATGGTGTTTCCTGGTGCCATGGAGTCTCCGCTCCCCACGTTGATTCTGGATACCAGCATTGTCATTAGCCTTATCTTTTTTTCTTTTTTTTTTCATTGAGGGCAAATAGCAAAGGAGCAGTCTTAATAAGCCTCCGTATTATTCACTTTTTGACATTGAAATCTATTGCCTGACAACATTTGTGTGTGTGGTATATATGGTGTGTGTGCATGTGTGTGTCTGTGTACATATGTAGTGTGTGTGCATGTCTGTGTGTGTGGAGTCAGCCAACGTAGGAGTAGAAATTGAGGGCAGGGGAAGGGAGGTGTTTGGTCCAAACCTATTGTTTTGGTTCAGTTTTCCCTTGTAGGGACACCAGGAGGAGCCAAAGTATGATTATTCTGATTCTAAATGGATGCATTTTTTCTTTGTATTTCTTTTTATCTCCAAATGGGTTACCTTTAAAGTATTTCTGTTTATTTTGTTTACATATTTGTACATTATTGGTCATTGCTTTCTACACCTACATCATCTATAAATACTGCACTAGAACAGGAAGCCTTGGAACCCAGTGATCTCTGCCCTCCTCTGGTGCCTGCAGTGACGGCTGAGAACACTGCCTGTGCTTGCTAGGGCGGGTCCGAGTGTCAAGCTGGGGACGGGACCAAAGATGGAAATGTAACGTTCTGATATCGATGAACAGAGATCGATGCGCAGTGCCCTGCTCTTTGTGTCCTGTCTCGGCCACAGCTGATAGCAAGCATCCTTGTCAGTTCTTTCTTCTTCTGTCCTGAGAGAAGAAAACACAATCATGGAGGGATCAACGGGAACTTCATTGATCATTCTGTAAGAATCAAGTTGTGCTCCATGCATTTCTACCCCCAGGTTTGTCAAGGATCCTGGAGTTCATTGGTCTAACCCTGTCAATTTACAGATAAGGAAAGTGAGGTCCCCAGGGGCTAAGCCATTGGACTGCCATGCACCGTGGTTGATGGGGAGGCAGGGGCCTGAGCACTCTGCTTGGAGCCCCCTCTGCTTTCTGCTCTTTTTGGCTGATCAGTGTGTTTGCAGTCAGCATGCCGGCATCACTCCCCAAGACTGGCGGCCCAGCGTCAGGCTCGAACACCCTATGAGAACTGTGGCAGTGACAGTGCGGGTTTTTGTGGACTTCATCCCCGGACACAGTGAGAAGCTCTTGGCTAAGACACAGGGCTGATTTACTCACACTGTGAGGGAATAAGCTGGGAATGGAAGAGTCTGGCTGTGTCAGTATAGCCAAATACGAATCCCAGAATAGATGGGTATGAATAGACCACTGACAAAATCTTCAGATTTAGCATCTAGCAGTAGCTGACAGTGAGTACTTTCTCTGGAATATGGATATTGAAAAACTACCTTTAAAAAAATTTTTAACTGTTATTTAGGTCATTTTCTGGCACTGAAGGAGCTGAGGGGCTTCAGATGACTAGAAGAAAAAAGAAACAAGTTCAATTTAGACTTCCTACAAACATGTTAGATAAAACCAACACAGATGTGTCCCCCTCCTGCTGCAGAGACTCAAGGTAGACTCTGATAAAAAAAAAACACACAGCTGATCACGTAATAGGCGAAGAGAGAAAACAAAAGTAGTGCCGTTGGGACCAACACACTCTTTAGTGGCCGTTCCTGGGTCTGGGTACTTGTTGGGTTTGGTCCTAGATTGCACCCAGGGCTGGGAACTGGAATGCTCACGTCCAGAGATAGATGTGGTTTTGGCCTAACAAAGGTGTGGGAGCTAGAATTTGGATCCTTGCATAAAGTTTAGAGCCTGAAGATCTGATTGTACCCTAAAAGGGGACTGGAAATTACAATACCAGGCCATGCATGGGTATGGGCTCCAAGTTTATTTTATCTCAGTCATACAGGAACCAAAAGTAGAAGCCCTGCCATAAAAACAGTTGCAGCCCATTGAAGTCCTGAAGGCCTTGGGTGGCAGCAGGTGCAGAACTGTCCTGTAGGCATGCCTCCACCACCCAGTGTGTAGGAGATTTGGAGATAAAACAACCCCCACGGAGGATAAGATCACACTAGAAAAATAAGCACATAAACAAATCTACCACCATGGTGAGAAGAGGGGTCAAGAAATAAACAGTAGAATCAAAGTCTCTAACAATCTGAAATAATTGAAGAACCTGAAGGTGGATATAAAGTACGGGCACAACTCATTTTATTGCACTTCACTTTATTGTGCTTTGAAGGTACTGTGGTTTTTACACATTGAAGATTTGTGGCAACCTTGCATTGAACAAGTCTGTTTGGTGCCATTGTCCCAAAAGCATATCCTCATCTCATGCTTCTGTGTCAGCATTTTAAAACAACAAAGTATTTTTAAATTAAGGTGTGTACATATTTTTAGGCAGAATGTTGTTGCACACTTAATAGACTACAAGCATATTGTAAACAAAACTTGTATATGCACTGAGAAACCAAAAAATTTGTGTGACTCACTTTATTGCAGTGTTCTGCAACCAAGCCTGCCATGTCTCTGAAGTATCCTGTAGTTATTTTATAAAATGATTAAAGAAGAAATAGAGCCATAGTAAGAAAGGAAGACAGTTTGAAAAAAAATTGGAAGGTTTTTTTAAAAAGAACTAAAAGTGCATGATATGTTCATTGAAGTTTTTTTAAAAAGTCATCAGATTAGACACAGTTAAAGACAGAATTAGTGAATTAGAAGATAGAGCTGGATAAATCCCCCAAGCACAGCAAGAGAGATAAAAAGATGGATAGTATAAAAGTGTAATTAGGAGTCATAGAGGAAAGAATGAGAATGCCCATTAGGAAATCCAGAAGGAAGGACTTTAGAGAATGTTTGAGTAGAATAGTTGAAAAGATAATGGCTGAGAATTTTCCAGAATTGAAGAAAGGCATATGTGGTCAAACAATTTTGAAGTAGAATAACAAGCAAGGGAAATTATCCATCAGATATCAAGATATATTACAAAGCTGTGACCATTAAGACAATGTGTTAATTGGCCTAAGTGTAGACTAACCAATGAAATAAAATTGAGATCTTTAAACATGCATATATGGCAGTTTGAAGGCATTATAAATGAGATTTACATACACCTATAAATTGTGCCAGGGCAATTAGTTATCCATATATGAGGAAAGATAAAATTAGATCTCTGCCTCACACAAAATCAATTCTAGGAGGTGGGAGGTGGGGGTGGGAGTTAATAAGAACCTATATATGAAAGAAAAACCTTTAACATTGTTAGTAGAAAATATAGAATATGACGGCCAGGCGCGGTGGCTCATGCCTATAATCCCAGCACTTTGGGAGGCCAAGGTGGGCAGATCACCTGAGGTTGGGAGTTCAAGACCAGCCTGACCAACATGGAGAAACTGCATCTCTACTGCAAATAAAAAATTAGCCAGGCATGGTGCATGCCTGTAGTCCCAGCTACTCGGGAGGCTGAGGCAGGAGAATCTCTTGAATCCAGGAGGCAGAGGTTGCGGTGAGCCGAGATTGTGCCATTGCACTCCAGCCTGGGCAACAAGAGTGAAACTGTGTCTCAAAAAAAAAATATAGAATATAACTGTATATATTAAGACATGCTACATATCAGAATTCTTTCATCATTGTCTAAGAAAAGCTTTTTGCAGGAAAGATATTTACAATGCACAAAATATAAAGATGGGTTTCTTGAATAAATATGCAAATCAGTCCAGTAAATAAATGGGCAAAGTATATGACCTGGCAGTTCAGAGAAGAGGAAACCCAAAATAGCCAATAAATATAAATAGGTGTTCAACCTTACTAGTAATTTAAGGGCTTGCAAATTAAACCATCAAATTAGCAAAAATAAAAATGGTGCTATAACTGTGAGTGAGGTAGAGTGAAAGGATGTGTTCACTTCCTCAGAAGCCATGTACATGGGTAAAGCTTATGGTGGGCATTTCTGGTAAGCTAGAAGATATGGTCCTAGGTGTATACCCTAGTAGATGCCCAAGAAAGTGTATACAAAATATTTGTTGTATTTGGGAGGCTGAGGCAGGCAGATCACTTAAGGTCAGGAGTTTGAGACCAGCCTGGCCAATATGGTGAAACCTCATCTCTACTAAAAATACAAAAAACATTAGCTAGGCATGGTGGCGCATGCCTGTAGTCCCAGCTACTCAGGAGGCTGAGGCAAGAGAATCACTTGAGCCTGTGAGGTGGAAGTTGCAGTGAGCCAAGATCCCACCACTGCACTCCAGCCTGGGTGACGGAGCAAGACTCTGTCTCAAAACAAAACAAAACAAAATATTTGTTGTTGCACTGTTAGAGTAAGAAAAGCCAGAAACAACCTAAATGTTCATCAATAGAATGAATAAATGAATTGCAATAGATTTACTCAATGAAGTGTTACAGAGAGCAGTGAAAATGGATCAAATCAAATGGAGAAAAAAGGAAATTACAGAAGGATCTACGTAGAATGATACTATCTAGATACAATTTTAAGCATGGGAAACATTGATATATATCTACTAAAGGAATAAAAACATTTATGAGAGTGGTAAACAACTTCAAAATAAGGGCGTTATTTCTACTGAGTGGAAGGGCTCAGGGTGCAGTGTTTTGGTGATATCTAATGTTTTATCCCCTAAGTTTTGTGAGTCTTGGGTGTGATGTATCCACACATAGATAGGTCATCATGACACTGGAGGACATCAAAGGCAGAGAAACGTGTAGAGCTGCTAGAGAGAAATGACTGGCTAAGCATGAAGGGATGATAATTTGACAACAGATCTCTCATTAGTAGCAATAGATGCCAGAAGAGCTTGGAATGCATCTTTGAGCTGCTAAGGGGACTGCACTGTGACGTGCATGTGGACAGGCTGCACCAGGTCCGGGGGTGCGATGGCCACTGCAGTGGGGTTCCTCTCCCCACCCCAGAAAATTCAGTTACCAAAACTGACTCAAGAACAGAGAACAGAATCAGATCAGTAACAATGGAAGGATCTGGGAAGGTTATCAAAAAGCTCCCATCACAGGGATTTTACAGATTTTAAAAACCCTGTATGAAAGAACACATGGATGATTTAACATTAGAAAAATGACTGCATTGTCTGATAAAAGGGAAAATAGAGATCATCTGTTACATGCAGCAACAGCATACAGTCAGATGCGAATCCCATTCATGATATATATTTAAAAACTCCACAAACCAGAAATAGAAGGCTTTCTTCTGGTAAAAATTAAGGACGTGATACTTAGTGGAAGCATCTGTGTTGAAGAGAAAAGGACGAGGATGCTATTAGCACTTCTGCTCGGTATGCTAGGGCTCCTAGCTGGCATAATGTGATAAGAAAAAAAAAAAGAAACAATGGACATAAGAATTGGAAAGAGAAAAATCTAAATTGTTATTTCCAGATGGTATAATTATCTACATAGAATATCCAAGGCTGACCACAGTGACTCATGCTTATAATCCCAGCACTTTGGGAGGCTGAGACAGGAGGATTGCCTGAGCCCAGTAGTTGGAGGCTGCAGTGAGCTATGATTATGCCACTGTACTCCATCCCAGGCAGCAGGGTGAGACCCCATCTCTTAAAAAAAAAATTTTCCAGAAAATCTGCAGATAGACTAGTAGAACTAATATCCAGCAAGATTGTTGAATATAAGATGAACACACAAAAATAGATAGACTCTTACTTACTGGTAACAGTCAATTAGAAGAACAAAACTCCATTCACATGGTTGCAGCGTGAGGATGTAAGTTACTATCTAGTGTTCTGTATTTCATCAGCATTTCTTGTAAGGCAAGTCTTCTAGCGACAGATTTTCTGTTTTTGTTTATCTGGGGATGTCTTAATTTCTCTATCATTATAATTTCAATGTCGTTTGGTTTTGTTGGATATTGAGGAAAGGCATATGTGGCCACATGGTTTTGAAGTAGAGTAACAGGTGCTGACAGTCTTTCTTCTGGCACTTGGAGTATGTCATCTGGCTGCCTCTCACTCCATGATGTCTGATGAGAAATCAGCTGTTGGTATCACTGAGGCTCACTTGCACATAGTATGTCGCTTCTCCCTTTCTGTGTTCAAGATTCTTTGGTTCTAGATCACTTTGTTATGATGTGTTTAGGTGTGGATCCCTTTGGGTTCATGCTAGTGGAAGTTAATTGAGTTTCTTGTATATATAGATTAATGTTTTCAAATCAAATCTGCGAAGTCTTTGGCCATTATTTTAAAAATACTCTTTCTGCCCTTTCTCTGTGTCCTTTTCCTCTGAGACTCCCGCTTAGAGGTGTGTTGGGACACCTGATGGAGCTGCACAGGTGTCTTCGAAGCTCTGTTCATTTTTCTTCGCTTTTTTTTTCCTGTTCCTCAAACTGGATAATCTCAATTGATTTTGTGTTCACTAGTTCTTTCTTCTGCTTGCTCAAATCTGCTGTTGATCCCCGTTAATGAGTTTTTAATTTCACTTATACTTCTAAACTGTAGAACTTCTGTTTAGTTTATATGTATAAAATTCTCTCTTTATTGATAATTATCTATTTGGTGAGACATCATTCTGCTTTTCTTTAATTCTTAATCATAATCTTCTTTTTTTTTTTTTTTTTTTGAGATGGAGTTTTGCTCTCGTTGCCCACGCTGGAGTGCAATGGCATGATCTCAGCTCACTGCAACCTCCGCTTCCCAGGTTCAAGCGATTCTCCTGCCTCAGCCACCCAAGTAGTTGGGATTACAGGTGTGTGCCACCATGCCTGGCGACTTTTGTATTTTCAGTAGAGATGGGGTTTCACCTTGTTGATCAGGCTGGTCTCAAACTCCTGACCTCAAGTGATCCACCCACCTCGGCCTCCCAAAGTGCTGGGATTACAGGCGAGAGCCACCGTGCCCGGCCATGACCTTCTTTAGTTCTTTGACCATATTTAAAATGGCTGAGGTGAAGTCTCTGGTAAGTTCATGTCTGGGCTTTGTGTTCTGTTTGCCCTTCCAGGTCAGATCCACTGCCCACCTTTCCTGGCATCTGCACAGGAGGCCAGCCTGCATGGCTTACATCCAGGGGGTGCCGGGGGCACCTGGGCTCTCCCACTTCCCTTTGGGCTCAGCCGCTAGGGGGATTTGGGGCAGGCAACAGGAGGCTGGAGAACGAGGGCAGGGTATGTGGCCATGTCCCCTGGCCAGTGTCACTCAGCAGCATGTGTCATCTCCTCCTTCCAGGTTCTGGTAGCCGCTGCTGCCCTTTATCCCTTGGGTCTGGCCCCTGCACTGTCCCTCGCGGCTCCCAGGACAACTTTGTGACAAATCCTTTTGTAATAACCCCTTTGTGAGGTCTCCTGTTCGCCCATGTATCTGTTTCCTGTTGGGGCTATGACTGGTACAGAAGGGTGCACGCCCACTTTCAAGTGTTGACGCCTCCAAGAAGGAAGGGAGGAAGATGAGGCAAGGGTGTGACAGGTGTCCCTCGGCACAGGGCACAGCAGGTGCTCTAAAGACATTTCATCATACAAAGATGCATGCTGGTAAAGACGGATGATTGTCTTAGAGGTCCAAGCTTTTACTGTAGGCCTTTGTAGAATTCTCTTGAGAAGGGACAGTGTTTTGTGGTAGTAAAGACGAATATGCTGTTAAAGGAAGAAAAAATGACTCCTCTGGCAGATGGTAATGGCAGGAATCGTCAACATCTTTAACCCACAGAGGGCTGCTGTCATCCTGTCACACAGGTACTCGGGGAGAAGCAGAGAGCTAGCCACAGCCAGGGCTCTGCCCATTAAGGAAAAATGGCTTCAGCAAAAAGGGAAGGAGATGTGGGGTGCAGTTCTCTCCTCCCCCAGTCCACAGGGATGACTTGCAGCTAGATGTACCAGAGGTGAGGGCATCAATCTGGGTGTTTCACGTAATGGTCCCAGATGGAGTGAGGTGTGTCCCTGTTGGCCCTGCTGTCCTTCCGGCTCCACAGAGAGGTCATGGAGAGCCCAGCGAGGAAGGCTTCCAAAAAGGAAAGGGGGACGTTTTGAGGGAGTTCATGCGTGGTGGCAAACCCCACAAAGAAGCCGTTGCAGTGAGAGATGAAAGAAGGGCTGAGGCCACACACGTGTGCCCCAAGGGTGTGGAGGAGAAGGCGCTGGGCAGCAGGTGCAACCAGAAGCAGCTGGCCCTGGGCCCTTTTCATTCCAAGGTTAGAAGCAAATAAAAACTCCCTCTTCACAAACATCGTTCTCTTGCTCCGTGGAATTGTGTTTTACCAAAAGTGGAAAAGGGTTTTCCCATTATTGCTGATCAAATCACTTTTCAAGCCTGACCAAACAGGAGGCAAGGCATTTTAATTGTCTGCAGTAAGACTCACAGTCGAGGCACAATGAGCCTGATGCTCCTCGTCAGACCTGCCTCTGGTGGCTGGTGTGGGCCATCTGTGAGTCCCAGAGTCTGATGACTTGAGGTCCCACTGGCCCAGCCCCAGTCTAGATTGGGGTCAGTACGAGGCTTCTCTTTGGGTGTCACTGGGGGCTGCTTGCTTTGAGAGAGACAGAGACAAACTGGGACGTGTCAAGAAGAGAGAGTAGGATGATGCGGGGACTTGAGATCATGCCAGGGCAGAGGTTTAAATGAGCAATTTCGAAAGGTTCCTTTGTGTCTAAGAGAGAGTAGAATGGTGCGGGGGCTTGAGATCACACCGGGGCAAAAGGTCTAAAGAGCAATTTCTAAAGGTTCCTTTGTGTCTAAGATTCTGGGTCTTGGCCAGCTGCGTTGGTTCACACCTATAATCCCAAGACTTTGGGAGGCTAAGGCGAGTGGATCGCCTGAGGCCAGGAGTTCTAGACCAGCCTGGACAACATGATGAAACCCTGTCTCTACCAAAAAAAAAAAAAAAAAAATTAGCCAGGTGTGGCGGCAAGCACCTGCAGTCCCAGCTACTCAGGAGGCTGAGATGAGAGGATCTCTTGAGCCTAGGAGGCTGAGGCTGCAGTGAGCCATCATTGTGACACTGCACTCCAGCCTGGGTGACAGAGCCAGACCCTGTCTCAAAAAAAAAAAAAAAAAAAAAAATCCAGGTCTCAGTCCTCAAATTGATGTGGCTCTTTGTCCCCACGTTTTATCCTTTCTGTCTCAAACATGTCTTCCAGGTATACCCCTCCTTGAACAGAGCAGGGAAGGATGCGTCAGGAATAAGTCACCTCAGTGAATAGCTGTTTTTAAAAAAGAAATCATTGTGTTTTTCAAGTTCTGTGGTTGGTGATGACGAAATGAATTAAACAGCATTTCCCTGCAGTTCCCCTGTCTCTTCCCTAAGAGACGCCTGCTGCCTCCTGGGTCTGCGCACCCCACGGCACCTCCAAGTGAGCCTCCCAGGCTTCCACTGACTCTGCCCCTTCAGTGCACAGCCCAGAGCCGTGATTTGCCAGCTGGGCTCCTGCGTTCAGAGTCTCCCAACAGAACAGGTTCTTGTCCAGAGAAGTTCAGGAAATGCTACATACTTTCCCCTGCCTTTTAGAGACTTGATGTCCATTAGACTGTGAAAGACCTCGAGAATTGCATGAAGAAACTGGTTTCCAAAATGTCCTTTTGTAAAGGGATACCTGCTACACATGTGATTCTGGGAATATTCTGGGAAGCGCAGGCCTGTTGAGTAAATGCAGCACCTGTATTCACCATGGCATCCAGGGCCCTTCAAATCTCAGTGTTGCTTGACCTCCCAGACAGCTGCTCCCATCCCTGCCATGTGCGCCACAAGCCCCTGCTCCAGCCGCCACAGCTTCTCCGATCCTGGAACAGTCTGACCTTGTACTGTGCTTACTGCTTGAGGTATACCTTCCCACCTCCAAAGATTCTCTTGCTCCTTCGTGGCCCACCCGAGATTCCTGTCTTGTGTGAAGCCTTCTTCAGGCCCCTCACCAGGTAGGGTCACGTGCTGTCTTCCCTGGCTCCTGTAGCATTTCGTTCTGATCACTCGAAGGAGCCATCAGTATCTGACGTCAGTACTCTGCTGTCTGATAATCCCTCCAGGCAAGTTCAGAGTCTCTCCTGTCTGGTCCCTGTGGGTCAGGGCAGCCCCTGCCTTCCAGGAAGCAGGGACATCATCAAGAACTGGACTTCTTTGTTTCCCCACTGCCCAGCCTACCCCACCCTTCCTGGGCTGCAGCCAGCTCAGGAGCCTGTTGCCCTGATGGTGGAGTCCTTTCAGGACAGGGAGGCTGTGCCTGTCTCTGCCTGTGGGCCAGAGTGCCACGCTGCTATGTGCCAGGATATGTGGCCAAGTGTGACAGAGATTCCTAGATGCTGACGAGCCTCTCATTGCACAGTGGTACAGTGTCTGGCCAACTGTCTATCCCCAGCCATCTGGTTCTCCCAGTTACTTCTGCGGGTGAAGGTGAGGAGATGAGAGGCCTGCTCTAGGAAATGGGTTGGGGGCCGGAGGGGCCCTGGTGGGGATTGCCGTGAGCCTCTCTTACTCCCGGATGTCCCTGGTGAGAGGAGCCACTTTTGTGTTGCTTTTGTGCTGAATCCTGATTCAATATTTAGACATTTTTTTAAAAATTTATTTTATGAATATATGAATAGTATTTTCATTCTCTTGCTATTCCTCAAAGTACTATAGGAAAGAAGGGAAGTAACATTTATTGAAAGTCTTCTGTGTACCAGTCACTACTGGAAATGCTTTAAATATCTTAATTATAATGTAATATATATTAATATATCTATAAACAGATACCTCAGGAATTAAGTTATCACTTACAAGTAGTCATTTTAAATGTAGTGCTTTGTGTTGGCAAATGTATATATAGCCAAGGTGTATTAATTTGGCCAAGGTAAATTAATTCCCGCAATGTGCTGTTTTATCTTTGTAGGGACATTTTAGCCATACCAAGAATCATTAGAAGATGCAAGCTGGAAAAAAGAAGGTCCCAGTTTTGGTTTTGAACCCTTCATGTTGCAGCAAATGTGAATCTCCTACAGATGGGTTTGGGGACTTACCTGTTCAAATAGCAGCCCGGTGTCCTCTGTGGGTGGGGGGAGGTTTGTCTGTCCTTTCATTCTAGTAAATCCACCATCCTCTGCACGAGAGCCAGGAGAATCCACATCACTTCAAAAGAGCCCCCAAATCCTTACTACGTACTACAGCCTCCTTTCGAATGTTCCTGGTTGAGAGGGAGATCAATTGCATTATTTACAAGTCAAAAAATTTTGTATCAAACTTCCTATGAGCTTGGGCACTCATGGCCTATGGAGGCCCACCCAGACGCAGCCCCGCCATCATGCTTTTTCGTTGTTTTGTGGATGTACCCAGGGCTATTTACACACTCTTTCATTAAAAGGCTTATTTTTATATTTAAAATGTTCTAATCTTGGAGTGAATTTTACTAAATGCTAGTGTCCAATCTGTTCCCCAACTGAAGTTATCAGAGACAGAATCCCTTTTATATTCAAGTGGAAATTACTCATTTTCTCTTGGGTTTTCAATGTATCGTCTGACTGTGAGGCTGGCATTATTTTCTCTGGGTTTGAAAGCTTCCTGAGATGTCCTGTTTGTAAGCTCCTGTCCGCATCACGTTATCTGCAGGGAATGTGCTCCCTCCAGGGAGTGTCCTCGGCACTGATGTGGGAAGAGCCCCCTCTATAAGTCATCATGGCATTCGGTCATGGGAGAGTTCCATACGGGAAAGATGGAGCAGAGGAAGACAAGGTGTTGAAACCAGTACAGCACCACCTGGGATATGGATGATCCAGAATTACAGGACACGTCTTCATTAAGCCTGGGTAAGATCCCAGAGCTATGACTCGATCAAAAAATGCCAGTTCGTGCCAAACAACCAAAGCCGGGAAAGAGGGAGAAGGTATTGGCGTTTGTAGCCTTACGAAAGATCTTTATGAAGAGCTTTAGTTTGTTCTTCTCTTTTCCAAAATGAGATACACGTCTAATTTTTACGGGAAAAAAAGAAAACTCTTAGATGGACAGCATGTTCTTTTTTGTGTGTAAACTCTTCCTTCTCACCCTCGTTCATGGAGAGAGCAGGTGTCCACCCGGTGTCAGGTGGGTGTTTTGTAGCTGACGTGGCACGCGTCCCTCCAGCTGTTCATACGAAGCTGGCTTTTGTAGAGAACAGTCCCCGGGCATCCTCCTGCCCCAAGGAAAATGCCCCCGCTTCAGAGTCAGACAGACGTGAGTTCCCATCTCATCTCCACCGACCATCTCCACCTGACCTTGATGAGTCCTTAGACTTCTTGGAGCCTCTGGTTCCCATCTGTGTGGTGGGGAGGTTGCCCTTGGGGTTTGCCCTTAGCCCACAGTGTGACTCCTCAGTGTCAGTGCCCTCCCTCCTGGTACACAGCCCCTCCACCCCAAAGCAGGCCTTCGGTTCTGGAAAAGCAAAGCTCACAAAACCTGATGACCCAGGTGACAAGGACGAAAGGGATGAGGTGTAACTGGCCAGAATGTGGGTGTATTAGGGTTCTCTAGAGGGACAGAATAGGATAAGTGTATATGTGAAGGGGAGTTTATTAAGGAGTATTGACTTGCATGATCACAAGGTGAGGTCCCACAATAGGCCGTCTGCAAGCTGAGGAGCAAGGAAGGCAGCCTGAGTCCCAAAACCTCAAAAGTAGAGAAGTCGATAGTGCATCCTTCAGTCTGTGGCTGAAGGCCCAACAGCCCTTGCAAACCACTGGTGTAAGTCCAAGAGTCCAAAAGCTGAAGAACTTGGAGTTCGATGTTCAAGGGCAGGAAGCATCCAGCACGGGAGAAAGAGGAAGCCTGGAAGACTCAGCCAGTCTAGTCTTTCCACATTCTCCTGCTTGCATTATTCTGGCCAAGCTGGCAGCTGATTAGATGGTACCCACCCAGATTGAGGGTGAGTCCGCCTCTCCCAGTCCACTGACTCAACTGTGAATCTCCTTTGGCAACACCCTCACAGACACACCCAGGATCAATACTTGGCATCCTTCAATCAAGTTGACACTTGATATTAACCACCACAGTGGAGAACCAGCAGCTTTATCCAGGTGCTGGATTTTCCAGACTGTGAAGGGAATGGAGGAGCTTGTGACTGGGTACCTAAAAAGGGGGATGGCAACATTTTCTTGGTGTTTTCAGCCATTTTAGTACAGGCCATGAAATAGAAGGCTCAGAAATTCCAGATTTTCCTAGGTGTGGTCCACACCTCAGTCCCATCCTACTCTGGCCTCGTGTGAACAGAGGTCCTGCCCGTGGCCTTGTTGTCCCCTGGCAGCCGCCCTCCACCCACCCCCTGACTTGCTGTCACAGCTGCCCTGGCATCCATCCTGGCCTTCAGCCCCACCTCCCTGGCTCCAGAGTCATCCCTGGCCACAGGACGGTCTCTGCTCTCCAGCCCAACCCGCCTCCTGCTGGGATTACCTGGAGGAGCTCACCCCGTGCAGAACTGTTTCTCCCTGGCAAATTAATTTGTCAGCACCACAGGTACTAAAACAGATTAGCTAATAGGCAAAACCTGCATAGATTTCACTAAACTGGGTCTTGATGCACCCATGACGAGCGTGAAATGGGATTATCCCTTTAAAGTGCTTCATCTTTGTATTCTTGTCAAAAGAGGAGGAAAAAGACATTTTCTTACACCCTGAGGAAACAGACTGGGCATTGATGTGTCTGTATGTCCATTAGATAAATTTTCAATTTGTTCTTTAATTATAATCTGTTATTGCTTTTGGGGGGATATAGGGGCTAAAAATGTCAAAACGTACCTTTAATAATTTCACAAAGTAAGTTTGTAATGGTTTCTAAACCAACAACTTACGAAACTCATTTTAGAACATTCAAAAGCATGGTAAGTGGTTAACAAAGATGTGTTAACATCATTTGACATGTTTTTCCTCCTTCAAAAATATAGTTTATTTCCAAATTTGTTTTTAAAACAAAAAGTATACTTGAAATCCATACTTATTAAAGAAAAAAATTTTTAATTATAAATTTTAGATAAACATGAAACTAAGTCGTCCATAATCCCATTACTCAAAAGTAACTCATGTTCACATTTTGATGTGCGTCCTTTCAAAATTTTTTCTATGTGAATATATGCTCCCAAGCATGTACTTTTAAAATTTATAGTTTATTTTATTTTGAGACAAGGTCCCACTCCTGTTACCCAGGCTGGAGTGCAGTGGTGCAAGCACGGCTCACTGCAGCCTTGACTTCCTCGGGCCCAGATGAGTACCTCCTCAGCATCCTGAGCAGCTGGGACCACAGGCATGTGTCACCACGCCTGGCTAATTTTTGTATTTTTTGTAGAGGTGGGGCTTCACCATGTTGCCTAGGCTGGTCTTGAACTTCTGGGCTCAAGCCATCTGCTCACCTTGGCCTCTCCTAGTGCTGGGATTACAGGTGTGAGCCACCGCGCCCGGCCTAGCATATACTTTTTTTTTTTTTTTTTTTTTTTGAGACGGAGTCTCGCTCTGTCACCCAGCCTGGAGTGCAGTGGCGTGATCTCGGCTCACTGCAAGCTCCACCTCCCAGGTTCACACCATTCTCCTGCCTCAGCCTCCCGATAGCTGGGACTGCAGGTGCCCGCTACCACGCCCGGCTAATTTTTTTGTACTTTTAGTAGAGATGGGGTTTCACCGTGTTAGCCAGGATGGTCTCGATCTCCTGACCTTGTGATCCATCCGCCTTGGCCTCCCAAAGTGCTGGGATTACAGGCGTGAGCCACTGCGCCCGGCTGCACATACTTTTTAATGTTAACATCATGTAACTCTTTTCATGTCAATTAATATATATTAGATTACCATTTTAAGTGATCATTACCATTTTAAGTGATTACACAGTATACCATTAAATGGAAATGCTACATTTACCCAGTTCCTTCATAATGAGTGCTTAGGTTGTATCTATCTACTTGCTATTATAGAAGTTGCTGTCTAAACATCCTTATATTCTGTAAAGTTTTGCAATTATATTCAAAAGAACATTCTAGAAGTTGTGCTGCTGGTGCAGAGGGCACCTTCTGGTTTTCTGCCCTCTGGAAAGGTACCAAGAGCCCATGTCCTGTCCCTGTGCACGAACATTGGCAGAAACTTTTTTTTTTAGCATGGAGCACTTTGCACCCACAAAAGTAGGCAGGACAAACAAACAGGACAAGGAACCCCGTCAGTTCTTATCCAGCTCCAGTGATGATCGGCCACTGCCAGTCCTGCCTGCCTGTTCCCACCTGGTCCCACTGTTAGATGCAAATACCAGACAGAATATGACTGCAGCTGTGCTTTTTTTCAATGTCTCTCCTAAAGAGACATTTGAAAAGCAAAACCACAATACAGTCGTCACTCCTAACACACAATTTACAGTAATTCCTTATATCATGAAATAGCTAGCTTTTGATCAAATTTCTACATGCTTCATCAATTTCATGATGATTTTGTTTTGTTTTGTGTTTTACAACTTGTGTGAATTGGGATCCGAATCAGGGCCACACACTGTGACAAGCTGATGGGTTCCTAAGTATCTCTCTCTATGCAAGGATCTTCTCTCTCTCTCTCTTTCCCCTCCACTAACTGGATTATAGAGTTTGTGCTGATTTCGCTAATTATATCTCCCTGAGGTTTTATCTGCTTCCCTGACCTGTGTTTCCTACAAATTGGTAGTTGATGTAGAAGCTTAAGTGGATTCTATTTAGATTTTTTAGCAAGTCTTCTCTTTTGATTGATGCCAGTATGATCTTTGCTAGTTGCAGTTTTAATTTGCATGCCACACACTGCTTTTTGGAGATGCTTACTGGCCGTGTGTGTCTTTTGTAAACTTTCCACCTTTGCCCATTTTTCTACTGGAGCATGTGTCTTTATTTATTTTTAAGAGTTCTTTATATATTAAGGCCATTGAATCTGTTTTTCTCTCATGTTGGAAATATTTTTCCCAGTTTATTATTTTTCACTTTGTTTTCAATGATATTTATATATCATTTGCCACACAATTTTTCTCTGTCATATCTGTCAGCCTCTTTTTTTGCTGGCTTCTAGCCTTGCAATCATTTGAGAAAGGCCTTTCTTTCCCCCAAGGTCATCTACATTACATGAGTTGATTGTAACTTACACATCTACATTTTTGCACAATTCTGACATTTAAAACTTTACTCTAGCTACAACTTTCTGGAGGGTAAAGAGTGATATATCTAACTGTGTTTTTTCCCCAAATATTAACCAGTTATTCTAACCACATCTTTTCCATTGACTGTCCATTCCATTTTTATCATACATGGTGTAGTTTCTTTACTTGCTTCTCTGTTCTTTGATCTTTCTCATGCATTGGCCATAACATTGTGCATGTGTGTGGGTGGCCTTTTTATTAAAATATAACACACATGCAGAAGAGCGAATAAATGTGTGCCCAGGTCTAGTACACCTGCATGGGTATGATCAACTTTAGGATCATTTTGTCAAATCTCAAAAAAAAAACCCACATAAAGTGTTGATGGGGTCTGTGCTGATTATTGATGAATTGCAGGATAAGGGGTAGCTTTACAGTATTAAGACTTACACAGACACGTGGTACATTTTGCTCTGATAAACACTTTCCTGTTTCGTTAGTATAGATAGGTCCTGCACTTTAAGCTCATCCCAGATCATCTTGGTTCAATTACTGTTTCTATGTGTAACTGTTATACCAGATCATTTCTGAAAAAAAAAAAAAAATGCTGTTTAAAACCTACTAGTGCATTTTTCCCAGATGCAAAGGGAAATTTTGATCAAATTTCTACATGCTTCATCAATTTCATAATGATTTTGTTTTGTTTTGTGTGGCTGTCCTCAGGAAGCCCATCCTTCCTGAGCACCCTGTATGTCAGACACCGTGCTGAATACTTGACTTACATTAGCATATTTAACCCCCAGAACTCCTTGAGAGAAGAAGTACCTTCACTGTACTAAGAGGAGAGGCCCAAGGAGGCTGCATCACTTGTCCACAGTCAGATGCTGGGGTCAGACCTGGCCTCCACTCCAGCATCTGCCTTCTCCAGACGCTCACTCCTAGAACTGCACATGGATTGTGGGGTGGTGGAGTAGGGGTGGGTGTCTGGTTAAAATGCAGACTCTTAAGTCTGGGGCAAGGCCTGGGATTCTGCATTTCGAATAAGCTCCCAGGAGATGCCACAGACCATGCTCAGGACTGTTATAGCACATTGCCTGCCCACATCATTTAGAATATGGTAACATGGAATCTTGTGGAGGTGCAGACAATTCCCTGGCTCTAGAGTGGAAAGCATTCTGTTTTGGGGAATAATTTGAACAGTTTACCTTGCCAGTCTAGGAAGCCCCTCACCTTGGTGCCACTTCCTGGAGTCATGACGTCTGAGGGCCTGGGCAGGCTGCCTGCCTGGGGCTCCTCTGCCACTTACTCAGTTTCCTTATCTGAAATGAGAATAACAACAGTACCTGCATCATCACTCACTGAGGAGTTAGTGACATAGGTCTGCATTTGACGCTCTTGGAATGGAGCATGGTGTTCATAGCCACTTTTACCGCGTGCTCTTGCACAGGCCTCAGAACCCGCCACTCCAGTGCCCAGGGCCACAGTGGCATAGGATTAAAGCCAGCCCTCTGCCATCCACATGCTGACCCTGTTGTGAAGCCCCCTTCCCCCACAATCACAGGCCTCGTGGAGAGGCTGTCTCAGACCTCATCTTCTCTACCCACTGCCTCTTAGCTAGGATTCGTGATTTTTATGCAGTTTTTTGAGGACCTTTAGAAACTTCTGGCCCCCCAGTTGCTTACCAATATGTCAAGAGTATTTGGTGAGGATTTCCTGGCCTTGGTTTCTGTGATCACTGTCAAGTCTTCGGCATCTTGGTAGAAAGACAGGGTGGTCCTAGTGCAAACTTGGAAGGGCCCAGAGGGGACAGCAGGGATTTAGCGTTTAATGGGCACTGAGTTGCAGATGGGGAAGATGAGAGTTCTGGAGATGGATAGGGGGATGATGGTTGTACAACAGTGTGAAACAATGCTGCTGAACTACACACTTAAAAACGGTTTAAATGGTGAATTTTATGCCATGTATATCTTACCACCATGAAAAATTAAAAATTCAGCCAGATGTGGTAGCTCACACCTGTAATCCCAGCACTTTGGGAGGCTGAGGCGGGAGGATCATATGAACCCAGGAGTTCAAGACCAGCGTGGGCAACACGGTGAAACCTCATCTTTACAAAAAAAAAAAAAAAATAGCTGGGCCTGCTGGTAGCATATGCCTGTACTTTCAGCGAGTAGTGAGACTGAAGTGGGAGAGTCACTTGAGCCCAGGAGATCAAGGCTGCAGTGAGCCATGATCGAGCCACCTACTCCAGCCTGGGAGACACAGTGAGACTCTGTATAAAAAATGAAAGCAACTGGCCGGGCACAGTGGCTCACGCCTGTAATCCCAGCACTTTGGGAGACCGAGGCAGGCGGATCATGAGGTCAGGAGATCGAGACCATCTTGGCTAACATGGTGAAACCCCGTCTCTACTAAAAATACAAAAAATTAGCCAGGTGCGGTGGTGGGTGCCTGTAATCCCAGCTACTCAGGAGGCTGAGGCAGGAGAATGGCATGAACCCAGGAGGCGGAGCTTGCAGTGAGCCAAGAGAGCGCCACTGCACTCCAGCCTGGGCGACAGAGCGAGACTCCATTTCAAAATAAAATAAAATAAAATAGATTTAATTTAATTTAAAAAAATGAAAGAAATAAAAAACTCTCAATGGCTCAACCCTTCCCTTTCTCTGTAAAATGACATTGTTTCTTTTCCTCATTTCTCACTGACTATGGACCAGCCAAGTATGAGTTCTCAGTCACCCACATGAAGGTCCTGGGGTATTCACTGAACGCTTGACTCAGCATGACCCTTGCTGTTGAGCCCTGTGCATGCAGCGGCTCTCAGGGGTGCTGCCCTCATCCTGCTCATGACGGCACCCCCACCCCTGATCTTCTGGTACGGCCACTGGAGCTTGGAGCCATGAGGGGCAGCGCTTCCCTCTGGGCAGGATCCCAAAGACCACCAGTGGCTTGCTAGGGTCGGTAAGGGTTAATTGCACATTTACTAAATACACGGTGATGTTTTCAGCCCTAAATCAGGACAAACAAGATTTCCTTTCTGACATCTAAATTTACTTACTTTAAATTGCATTTACTCATTTATTCAGTGACCATTATTAAAAAGAGTAAAGTTATTTAAAAAGTTAACAATCATCAGCCACCAATGCATTTTTCAGTTAAAATGATCTATTTCATCACTCTTCTGATAAGGCCCATTTTTCTTTTCTTTCTTTTTTTTTTTTTTTTTTTTTTTTTTTACTTTTGGAGACGGAGTCTTGCTCTGTTATCCAGGCTGGAGTACAGTGATGCGATCTCAGCTCACTGCAACCTCTGCCTCCTGGGTTCAAGCAATTCCCCTGCCTCAGCCTCCCAAGTAGCTGGGACCACAGGCCCGCACCACCACATCCGGCTATTTTTTTTGTATTTTTAGTAGAGATGGGGTTTCACCATGTTGGCCAGGCTGGTCTCAAACTCCTGACCTCATGATCTGCCTGCCTCGGCCTCCTAAAGTGCTGGGCTTACAGGCGTGAGCCACCGTGCCCGGCCAGGTGAGGCCCATTTATTCAGATTTCAGGAAAGCCAATTCAGTGATGATTCATAATTCTTAATTTTTTCAAACATTCTTGACAAACTTTTTAAAAATGAGTTTAAATCAGTGGAAGAAATTATATCTCAGGAGTCATAAATGCCTGGGGCAATCACTGCAAGTTGTTGATGATCGAAAATGACCCATGGCCATTCCTATGTCTCCTTTGGAGAAATGTCCAAAGCCCATTTTTAAATTGGGCTATTACTTTTTTTGCTTTTGAGTTGTGTGAATTCCTTATATATTTTGGTAATTGACCTTTTATCAGATATGTGGTTTGCAAATATTTTCTCCCATTCTGTAGGTTGCCTTTTCACTCTTGATTGCTTCCTTTGCTGTAAAGAAGCTTTTCAATTTGATGAAATCCCACTTGTCTATTTTTGCTTTTGTTGCCTGTGCTTTTGGGGTAATATCCATGAAATCAATTCCAATGTCATGAAACCTTCTCTCTGTTTTTTTTCTGGGAGTTTTTTGTTTTCTGTTTGTTTGCTAGGCATTAGCCCACTTGGGGAAATCTAGGAGTTTTATAGTTTTAGGACTTACATTGAAGTCTTTAATCCATTTTGAGTTGATTTTTTTTTGTATGGTGTAAGATAATCGTTCAATTTCATTCTTTTGTATTTGCATATCCAGTTTTCTCAATACCATTTGTTGGAGACTGTATTTCCCCCATTTTATATTCTTGGCACCCTTATTGAAGAGCAGTTGACCATATATGGTTGGATTTATTTCTTGACTCTATTCCATTGGTCTATAGATTTGTCTTTATGTCAGTACTATACCATTTTTATTACTGTAGCTTTGTAATATATTTCAAAATTAGAAAGTGTGATGCCTTTAACAGATAGATGAAAAGATATGCAATGTTACTACTCATCAGGGCATTGCAAATCAAAATCACAATGAGATACCACCTCACACCCATTTAAAAAACAAAAGACAAGTGTTGGTGAGAATGTGAAGAAATTGGCAGCCATACCCACTGTTGGTAGGAATGCAAAATGGTGCAGCCGCTATGGAAAACAGTGTGGAAGTTCCTCAGAAAACTGAAAATAGCACTACCCTATGATCCAGCAATCTCACTTTTGCGTATGTATCCAAAAGAATTCTAATGAGATCTCAAAGAGTTATTAGCACTCCTTTGTTCATTGTAGCACTATTCACAATAGCCTGGATGTGAAAACAACCTGCATGCCCACTCAAAGACAGCAGATGAGGAAAATGTGACTTATACATATGATGGAATATTACTCAGTCTTTAAAAAGGAGGAAACCCTGTCCTATGTGACAACATGGACAAAGCTGGAGGACATCATGCTAAGTGAAACAAGCCAGACACAGGAAAAAACATACTGTGTGATTCACTTCTATGTGGAACCTGGAAACTTTGAGCTCACAGAAGCCCAGAATAGAATGATGCTTGCCAGGAGCTGGAGGGAGGGAAAACGGGCAGTTGCAAGTCAGCCAGTATAAAATTTCACTTATGGCAGATGCATGGGTTCCCGAGATCTGCGAACAACACTGTGCCTGTAGGTAACAATGCCATGTTGTACACTTAAAACTCTGCTAAAAGGACAGATCTGATGGCAAGTGTTCCTGCCACAATAAAATTCAAAACAGCATACTGGCCCATGACCCACGGTGGCACTTGGAGGGATGGCTCACACTTGCTCTCGTCCTTTCCATTTGGGTTCAGACACTCACTCTCCCACGTGAGAATCTCCCCATCCAGGCATGGTCCCTAAGGGGCCTTCCCCCACTCTCCCAGGGACCCACAGTTTCTCCTTGAGTTGGTGCTGGGCCAGCCTCCTGGCAACAGAGTGGGAGGAGACTCTGACAAAGCTTCCTTGTCTTTCCAGATGGTTCCACTTAAGACGCGGTTTCACTGGCATCCATAGTAATTGACAGATGTACTCGGGATCCCTTGTCCAAAAGTCCTGGCTTTCGAGGAGCCCTCTTGGCTGCTGTGCTACCCGCAAACTGCCCCGAGTCCCAGCCATTCGCCCCCTTGAGTCTCACGCCCAACAGCAAGCTCCTGACACCGGTGGAAATATTCCTGTGGGGGTCTCACATGCCTGGGGCCTTGTTCTGGAAAACACCATCACAGAGGTAGAGGCAAGAACCAGGGGGTCTGACTCTGTGGTCCCAAAAACCTTAATGAATAACAGTTTTGTTTTAGCGGCTTAAAAAACATCCTGAAGTATTTTTTATATTCTTTCAAGCTCTCCATCAGTATAAAAACTTAGCAACTTTGGCCGGGCGTGGTGGCTCACGCCTGTAATCCCAGCACTTTGGGAGACCAAGGCAGGCGGATCACGAGGTCATGTGATATATCAGGAGATCGAGACCATCCTGGCCAACATAGTGAAACCCCGTTTCTACTAAAAATACAAAAATTAGCTGGGTGTGATGGCAGGGGCCTGTAGTCCCAGCTACTCAGGAGGCTGAGGTAGGAGAATCGCCTGAACCCTGGAGTCGGAGGTTGCAGTGAGCCGAGATCATGCCACTGCACTCCAGCCTGGGCCACAGAGCAAGACTCCATCTCCAAACAAACAAACAAACAAAAAACACTTAGAAACTTCTAGCGTAACAAAACTCAACATTTTGCCACTGCCTGCCCATAGTTCCTCTGTATACACAATTCATAGAAATGTGCAAGACTCTGCCCACTTGGTATTCCTGTTTGGCTGCAAAGGTTTACTGTACGAATGACCTCCACCACTACTCGACTAGAGTTAGCTGTTTGGAAAACATTCTTAGAACATGCATTGTTTTTCTCTTCAGAGTGAATGCAAGAATTTTCAAATGCTCTACTAATAATTTTCTTTATCTTCAAGGGTACTGAGAGGACCATGAAAGAGTAACGCTGATTAGTTGACCGATAGTCTTATTCACTGGTGTCCTGGTCTAAGCTCTTCCTTTAATCCTGTACTTTTATTAAAATAGCTCCTGATATTAAAATAGGCAGCTTACGTTTGTGATTAGATAGGTACAGTAAAAGTCTATGATGACAAGGTGAGGGGGTCCAAAGATTCAGCTGTGTAACCTCAAGTGTCCTATGGGGCTGACGCAGGCTGGGGCAGCCTCCTCAAAGCTGGTCTGGGCGTGAGACCCAGCTTGCACCTCACGTGTCCTGGCTGTGTCATCTGGGGGCAGTAACTATCCCGGGGATGCTTCTGGGTGTGGGGGACTGTGCTTGGTGCTCCCGGCTCCCATGGCTACCTTCTCCAGAGATCGCCCTGGTGGTTCAAGCTGCCTCACCTGGAGGTACCTGGAGTCACCCTCCATGATTGGGTGGCCCAGGGGTGACCGCTGTCCTGTGTGGGGTACATGGACCCCCACTTCTTTGCCTCAAGGAGCTCCATAGAGCAGCATGTGACCCCCATCGGGCTCCCGTCCAGGTTCCTAACCCAGGGCAAAAGTAGAGAAGCTATTTTATACAGGCCGGAAGGATGTATGGTGGTGGCCTCCTGAGGTGGGGGCGGGAGAGGGAGATGAGACTCTTAACTAGGTGGGGGCGAGAGAGGGAGATGAGACTCTTAACTAGGTGGGGGCGGGAGAGGGAGATGAGACTCTTAATGAGGCAGGGGTAGGAGAGGGAGATGAGACTCTTAATGAGGCGGGGGTAGGAGAGGGAGATGAGACTCTTAACTAGGTGGGGGCGGGAGAGGGAGATGAGACTCTTAACTAGGTGGGGGCGGGAGAGGGAGATGAGACTCTTAATGAGGCAGGGGTAGGAGAGGGAGATGAGACTCTTAATGAGGCGGGGGTAGGAGAGGGAGATGAGACTCTTAACTAGGTGGGGGCGGGAGAGGGAGATGAGACTCTTAACTAGGTGGGGGCGAGAGAGGGAGATGAGACTCTTAACTAGGTGGGGGCGAGAGAGGGAGATGAGACTCTTAACTAGGTGGGGGCGGGAGAGGGAGATGAGACTCTTAACTAGGTGGGGGCGGGAGAGGGAGATGAGACTCTTAACTAGGTGGGGGCGAGAGAGGGAGATGAGACTCTTAACTAGGTGGGGGCGGGAGAGGGAGATGAGACTCTTAACTAGGTGGGGGCGGGAGAGGGAGATGAGACTCTTAATGAGGCAGGGGTAGGAGAGGGAGATGAGACTCTTAATGAGGCGGGGGTAGGAGAGGGAGATGAGACTCTTAATGAGGCGGGGGCGGGAGAGGGAGATGAGACTCTTAACTAGGTGGGGGCGGGAGAGGGAGATGAGACTCTTAACTAGGTGGGGGCGGGAGAGGGAGATGAGACTCTTAACTAGGTGGGGGCGGGAGAGGGAGATGAGACTCTTAATGAGGCGGGGGTAGGAGAGGGAGATGAGACTCTTAATGAGGCGGGGGTAGGAGAGGGAGATGAGACTCTTAATGAGGCGGGGGTAGGAGAGGGAGATGAGACTCAACAGCCACTGAAGGAAGGTGAGCACAACGGTCACCGTTTGCTAAGTATCACAAAAGCAAAAGCAAGTATGACCAAGTGTTAACAGTTAATTCTGGTGAGAACATGGATGTTCGCTATGTATTGTAGTTTTCCATTTTTTGTGTGTTTCAAACATGAACCTTGAATAAATGGCAAGTTGGCTTAGCAGTGGAATCTAAGGACTGTAATCACAGCCAGCGCTGCACCTGTCCACGCACGGGCCGGCGTGTTTTGCACGTAACAGCTCAGTGGTCCCTCCACAGCCTGAGATGGGACCATCATCCATGTTGGAGACAAGGAAGTCGGGGCACTGGCCAAGGCCACACACCTGCCTATGGCTGAGGTCAGTGCTCCAGCAGGAACTGACCCCAGACGGAGAGGCGCCAGGGTTTACATCCCGTGTTAAGAGCTGATTCGGTTGCCACATGCTCTTTATATTCAAAACAATCTCTTAGAATAATTTCTTAAATAGCATCTGAGAGAGAATGCATGCTTCTTTGTTTATGTGAAATGAACTCAGATGCTCCCTATGGTAATGGAGGTAGAAACGGCATGTATAGATGTTCAAGTTTCTTTAAAAAAACACATTGTTTTAAGGCCTTACTACCCGTTATTTTCCATTTTGCCTTTATTTTGTGACTAAGATGATTCTGATTATTTTATTTATGTATGAATGAATGGACAGGGTCTTGCTCCGTTATCTAGGCTGGAGTGCGGTGGAGCAACCAGGGCTCACTGCAGCTTTGACCTCCCATGTAGCTGGGACCACAGGCGCACGCTGCCACGTCTGGTTAATTTTTGTTGTTGTTCAGCCATGTTGCTCAGGCTGGTCTTGAACTCCTGGGCTCAAGTGATCCTCCCGCCTTGGCTTCCCAAAGTGCTGGGATTGCAGGCGTGAGCCACTGCACCCAGCTGAACCTATTCTTAATGAGCCTCAGAACTTGGGGAGCCACAGCCGCAATTCTGCACTTGGCCGGGGCCAGCGAGAGTGGAAGTTTGGGTGTGAGCGTGGCCCATTCCTGCTTCTCAGTCATGCGCCTGCAGCCTGCCAGGAATGTCTCGCCCAGGCGGGTCCCACCACCTGTTTTCTGTTTTTGAATCCTGCCCCGCCTCCCGTTTTTCCATTATGGCTGATGATTTTCTCCTGGGTATAAAAGCTATCCATGCACACTGTCGAGGCCCTGAAAACACAGAACACTTGGAGATGAGATTTTAAACCACTCAATTTCATCACCGATGGTTTTACAGCCATCGGTGTATTTTCCTCTTTCTCTCCTTTGATTCTGTAGCAATACCATCTACAAGGATAGAAATTCAAATTAACATCTTGAATTTTTCATTTAATATTTAAGTCATTTCCTTTGACTTTTAAATCTCCCTAATTGTTATTTTGGTGAGGTCTTCCAATTCTAAAAACCCAGACTCAGTCCTGCCGGTGGAATGGTCTCCCTCAGGACTCAAAGCGCCTCTTTCTACATGTTGTCTGCAAAAGAACTGTCACTGGTAGCAGCGACAACAAAGTGACTGCGAAGTCAGCGTGAGTTGGCCACAGCGTGAACCCAAAACCCCTGTAGGTTCCCTTATCAGGACCCACCTTTGAGCACCCACCGGTCTGAGTGGGGGCTCCGGTCCCCAAGCCCCTGCCCAGGACCAAAGGGTACTCAAGCATCTTCCCGGGGCTGGTTCAACAAGGGCCCCTCCAGGTGGAGGCGATCTGGCTGGCCCAGGGGCTGCCCGGTCTGCCGCACACCATGCTTGTCCCACCCTGGATGGCACCCGGGGCATGTTTTCCACTTGGAATCAGTCGTTTGGAGCTCCGGCTCTGAATAAATGAGCCACAGAGTCACAACACAACAGGGTGGCGAGGGGCCCCTGCACAGTGTTCCCTCCAGTGGCAGAGGGGGAGCTTGCCCGAGCCCCCATTGCTCAAAGATGCCTGCTGTCTCCATGATCGCCACTGGATGATTTCCCTGTGGATGGAGATCCAACATAGGAGGTGCAAACGCATGAGCCCAGGTGCTGCACCTGACATTGCAAAGGAAGCCCGGGCAGTGGGCTGGCAAGGAGCACAAGCTGGGGCTTGTCTCTCAGGGGTAAACCTGGGATAGTGCTGAGAGAAGGAGCCCCGGAGTCCTAGGGGCCAGCTGCGGCCTTGCACATTTCAGAGCGTCTGCATTTGGTTATATTAAGAAAATGGAGCTGGGCACGGTGGCTCACATCTGTAACCCCAGTGACTGGGGAGGCCGAGGTAGGAGGATCCTCTGAGACCAGGAGTTGGAAACCAGCCTGGGCAATATAGCGAGACCCTATGTCTAAGAATAAATAAATAAAACTAACTGGGTATGGTGGCGCATGTCTGTACTCCTAGCTGCTTGGGGGACTGAGGCGGGAGGATTGTTTGAGCCCAGGAGTTCAAGATGACAGTGAGCCATGGTTATACCACTCCACTCCAGCCTGGGAGACAGAGGAGATTCTGACTCTTAAAAAGAAGATGTCTCTCAAGCTCATGGCTTCCTCTGCATTGCGTGGTCTACAGGAAGACTTGGTGCACCAGAGTATCTGGAGCTTTTGTAGCCGTGGGGCTAGTAGGTGGCCCTTGGAGCCTAAAAGTGACCGAGGTCCCTGCACGTCTCAATTCTTTGGGCTCCCATGGATCTGGAACAGCTGAATCCACTTGCCCTGTGACGTGAGTTGGGGACTTGCAGGGACCCTGGTGTCCCAGCAGAGGGTACTGGGGACTTAGGCGAGTGTGTATCCAGCCAGTCACAGGCTAGGTAATGATGGGGCTAAGGAGGGGGATGGCAGAGATTGGGCGCCCCAGGAGAGAGGGAACCTACTCTCAGCCAACCTGGCCAGTAGGAGGGGCACCCACAGACTGGGGCTCTTACCCTCTGTCAAGGCAGGTGGGTCCAGGGAGGGACCACAGCCAGGTCATCTTTCCCCTGGGCCTGCTGTCCTGCAGCTGTAGGGGTGAGCTGGACAGCTGACCCCCAGACAGCCGTCATATATCCACAGAGGGCTGGCAAGCCTGCTGTCCTCCCCTTCCTGCCTCCTCCTCCCTGATAGCTTCCATCTGTCTGCTTACTGGGCTCCAGGGCACCAAGATGATAGGGGGCCTGTGATGCCCCATGACTGGGATGAAGTCCTGTGATGAGCCACAGAGGCAGAGGCAGGAGACAAATTGCAAATAGTATTGAGGGGGAGACACTTGGACCAAAAGTCAGGCTGCCAGACTGGAGCACTCGATTTTTATCTGGGCTTCAAAGGCAAAAACAGCTGGCCTCCAGAAAGGAAGCACATCTGTGCTTTAGGGGAAGCCACCTTACTTTCCTGGTGATAAATCCGAAAAAAAAAAATGTTTCCAGTGGGTCTTTATGGAAATGACATTGATGGGAGGAGGAGAAACCTGGGTTTGGGCATCTCTTATGGGCACTAGAGGCCAAGGCCACCATGTTAAAATAGAAGGATGTGAAAGTATGTCTCAGGGAGCTAGGGTCACGTGGCCTGGGTGTCACCTGTCCATGGGTTTAGGGACAGGAGTGAAAGAGAAGGTGGACCCCTCATCATTCAGCTCAGCTGGCTTCGTCCGGGTCTGACCAGCTCTGGACGCAGGAAGCCTGGAGTGCGGGGGGCCTTAGTAAGTTACTTAGTGCAGGAATCCAGGAATTTGAGAAAGCGGCTGCAGGTTGAGAGCTGTGGGCATCATCAGGGCATTAAGGCAGCCTCAGGGAAGGTGGGCTCTGGAGGCTTCCCTACCAAGTACGCAGCCCCGCTCAGTGCCTTACACAGACCCTCCCGCCCCAAGCCCTGTGCTGATGCTGGGGCTGAGAGAGAGCGAGGGAGCAGACTGCCTTTATTTCCCTTGCAATAACAACAGGAACAAAATAGCTTCACTTCCTACCTGCAGCCAGTACTGTAGCACTTTACTCCATGGAAACTTCATCCCCACGGCAACCCCATGGGGTCCACACCAGGCTCCCCTGTATGATAACACCAGGTCCAGAGCAGCTGCAGAATGCACCCAGTGCATCCGCCAGGCTCACACAGGGGATTGGGTGGCTGCTTTTGGAGCCCATCTGGATATTGGCAGGAGCCTAGACCAACCTCAGTGCCGTGATGTGACAAGCCAGCTGACCACTGTGGATGCGAGACACATCTCTTCCAGTGAAACACCTGGATTATAGTGTGAACGCCTTTCCTTGCAACTGAACAACCGTACTGTCTGTTGACTAGAATACAGAACGTTAAAAAGCAAGTGTGCACGCTTACACACACACGCCTCAGGGGTGGGCTCACACTGCCCACTTCCCCACTCTGTCACCCCCAGAAAGGTCAGGGAGCTCCCCCTGGGGAACGTGACTGGCGCCTCCTGGGAGAGTTAGGCCTAGGCGCTGCATAGACGCACGGATTAAATGAACCTCCGCGTGCAGGTGAGCGGGCGGCGTGGGCGAGCTGGTGGCCTCAGGTGCATGGCCCAAGGCCCCTCCCAGAAAGGACACGCCCAGCCCGCAGCGCGGAGACGGCAGTTTCCATATTTAAAGGAGCATGGCCGGCTTCCTATCTGAAGTGTGTTTCCCCGGAGAGACCACCACCATTTGATCTATTTTTGATTAAAATGTAAAAATTAAAAATTAAATCAAATGGTAGCATAACTCCTCGGGGAAAACACACTTCGGTTATGAAGAATTCCCTGCAGTAACCCCGAGACTCTTACGGCAGCATTGTCTCGTCTGTAGGTGGTCTTTTTATGTCACACATAATTAAGAGGAATTGCAGTGAGAACCACCGAAGACTGCCTTCCGTGTGGGGTCCCGCAACTGGCGCTTCTGGAGCAGGTCCCGGGGGAGGCGCTGGGCGGGGGAGCGGCGTGCACAGGTGGGGCTGCCCACCTGCAGGGAGCCCGAGAGTGCGCCCTGCGCCACCCATTGCCGTGCCCCCGCGTCCCGTCCCTCGTGTCCCACGCCGAGCCTCGCCCCACCCGCTCCACCCCACTCCGCGCCACGCCCCGCGCCCCACTCAGGCCCCACTTAGCACCTCTCGCCCCACTCCTCGTGCCCTGCCCCTTCCTGTGCCCCACGCCACGCCCCGTCCCACGCCCCGCCCCATCCCCATGCCCTGAGCCACTCCCTGTTCCACGTTCCGTCTGCCCTGAGCCCTACCACGCGCATCCCTCTGTGCCACGTGCCCCACGCCCAGCCCCACCTCCCATGCCCAGAGCCCCACCCTGGTCTCAGTCCAGCACCTCACGCCCGGCAGGTGAGGTCGCGTACTCGGAAGGTGGCTCCTTTCTCCCCCGCACGTGGCAGGCACGTTCTCCACACGACGGATTCCCCACAACAGCCACGACCGGAGCCATCAGACTTCCTGGGAGTGGAAGCCACAGGTGACACGGACCTGACTGCTCCTTAGCTGAGCCTCGAGTCGAGGCAATCGCATTTGCTTCCACGTTTTCCCGCCCGCGTGGCGGGACGTGGCTGTGACTTTCTGAGTCGTGACTTCAGGTCCAGTTGTGTGGGGTGTGGCTGGACATACCATGGCAGCCTATTGACACCTTGGCTGCATTTATTTTTTGACATCTCTGCTTCAAACGAAAATGCCAGAGAACAGAAACGTTCCCGGAACGAAGGTCTGGAGGCAGCTCCCAGGGGCGCCTCGCGGTTTTGGGGCGTGGCGCTCGCGGGGGGCGTCCTGGGGGTGCAGCTGCAGTGCTGCGGGGCGGGGCGTTGCTGCCACTGTCTGCGGGGCACTGTGGGCGGGGCAGCAGAGTTGGGGCTGTATGGTTCGTCACCTGCTAGTTTCAGTCCGAAGACATTTGACGCCTGTGCGGGTTTCCTTTTCTGTTGCCAAAGGTTCTGGAAGCAGGACCTCGGAGTCGGGAAGGAAATGCATTTCAGGAGCCGGGAAGAGCAGGCCCCGCCGACCTGCAGGCAGAGGGCGCAATGCCTGGCGAGGTGCCTGCCCAGAGCCTGCCTGCCCTGCAAGAAAAAGCCATTTGGAGGCGCCAGGTGGCCAGTACTGGGACAAAGCTGTTCCTTGCCCTCAGGAAAGCCAGACCCACGCTGGGTCAGGTCCTAAACTTTCTCCATGGGGTGGGTTTTGTTCACCTCCACAGGCAGTGGGGGCCCCTGGACCCCAGAGAACAGAGGGGACGGGGGGACAGGGCAGGAGGGGCCGGTAGGGAGGCATCGGGGTGTGGCAGGCACTGGAGCATCAGCCACATGCCAGTGATGGGCCGGTAGACCTGAGCTCCAGCCTAGGTCTTCACCTCACTGAGTAAGGACCCTGCTTGCAATCCGCACACCTATGCGCAGGGCTGGGCATTGCTGTTGGTAGTAATGGCCTCTCTGTTTGCACCTCTTGTCCCACAAGCCATAGGAAGCCCTTTCTGGGGTACACAGGTGGCAAGGGTACATCCCCAGAGGAAGTCTGGACTTCCCAAGGCTGACAAGTGGTCCGTTGACAAATGGATCCACCGGGTCATCTGGTTCATGATTTCCCTTCCATCATGCTGGCAACTTGCACGCACCCCTTCCATCAGAAGCCAAATGGGATTTAAGAGCCAAGCATCCCTTTCCCTGACTTTGCTCATCTGCAGCTGGGTGCACTTTGTAGCCCAGCGTGATGCCTTTCCGAGCCCTTAGCAGAGTGACCAGCTCACCTCAATGAAACCCCCTTCCTCAAAGACCACACCCGGGGTTCCCAGCCCCTGGCTCCCTGGCAGCCCTGGCTGGAGCAGAGCCTACCTGGCAGGTAGATGTGGAAGGAAGGAAGAAAAGCAAGCCTGGGAGTGAAGGGAAGCCCAGGCTGGGCTGGGCTGGAGGAGGCGTCATGGGGTGCAGCCAAGACCTCTCCACTTTCCTCCTCCAGCCACATCCGCATATCCTATTTCTTAAGTCACAGGGGATCTCACCTCCAGTTCCCAGCTCGGCCCCCATCAGGCTCAGCCTGTTCTCAAATGTCTCGGTCACTTTTCCCGCCAAGGCTTCTCCTATCACAGTGCACCAGTGGGTGGCTCCTCAGGGGCAGTCCCCAGACAGCATCCCCACAGCCTTGCAAGCTTTCCTGACCAGGTTCACATGTTGGCCTGGTCAGACTGGAGGAAACCAGCTGTCCCAAGCTAAAGTCTTCTCCTTCTTTACCATCTCTCTCTCCCTCTCCCTTCCTCCCTCTCCCTCTCTCTCTTTCTCTCTCTCTCTCTCTCTCTCCCTGCCATGGTCTGCAAAGGCCCCTGGGCACTGTCCAGGTGCCCAGGCTGAGCCCCAACCCTAAGAGTGTCACCTCTGTAATGTGCAGAAACTAAAAAGCCTCCCATCATGACGAGCTACAAGTAGGTTCCACCTGCAAGAGGCGGAGCTCCACATTGCTGGGGCATCTGCTCGTTCATTTTGGTTTAACTGTCAGGATGGACGGTGCCCTTGTTATGCCAAGGCAGGGCATAAGCACCTCTGGAACAGTGGGGTGGAGATGCTTCAACTTCTGGAAGACCACACCCCTCGGGGAGAACATCTGGGTATCAGGCACAGGAAAAGGCATGTCTGACTCAGCGGGAGAGCAGGGCACCTGGGGGTGCTTATGGGGTTTGTTCCCCCAACCTGCCCCTTGGTCTGGGCGTGAGTGCCATGGTTGAGGAGGGGAGAAGAAGACCAGGGCTGACAGAGGGGTTGGGGAGAGACTTTCTGCTGCTGGAACGAGCAAAGTTGCTGAGCTGCCCAGAGAGAGAAGCACAGTACAGAGGGGCGGGGCTTTTTCCCACCTGCCCGTCTTGGTAATGGGCATCTTGTAAAAATCATACTTTCCAGTGGGTTATGGCTGATATTTAGGAGGACTGTTAGATTTGGTGTGTTTTGTGTCTAGCCAGCTGATAACCTTTCCAATTTGCTTTAATATGTTAACGCGTTCTCTTCAATTTTCCAGGAATACCAGCATGTTTATAAGTAATGATGATCAATTTTTTGCCGTATAACTCCTTGGGAAAACACACTTAGGTTATGAAGCATTCCCTGCGGTAACCTTGAGACTTACGGCAGCATTGTCTCATCTGTTGGTGTTTTAATTATATCAGCTGCTTAACTTTCTTATTTTAAAAAACATATTGTTATGGAAAATTCAAACATACTCAAGCATGCTAGGCCAGTGAGCCTCCACGCCCCTCACCCAGCTGCAGTGAGCATCAGCGTTTTGCAGGCTTGCTTCCGCACTGTCTCCGAGTTTTTTCCTGGAGTGTATTAAGGTAATCCGTAATTCCACCTTGAATACCTCAGTATGTGTCTTTAACAGATAAGGGTATTTTGCCACGACTGATACACACATTTAACAAAATGATCCATAATTCCTTAATAGAGTCTGATATTCAGTTCACTTTCAAGTTTCCTCCAAGCCGTGACGGCCCACCTCCTTTCCAAGCGTTGCTTTCCCTACTTGTGTTTTCAGTTTCCACCTTTCTCACACTGGCTATACGAATATAGGCTCTCCAGACGTTGGCTGAGGTGATGAAAACAGTATGTGGCTTTCGGCAGCTCTGGATCAAAGGACGGAGAGGTGGATCCAAACCTGACAGCAAACAACTGATTTCAGATGCCCATGGTGTTAACAGTAGAGTGATGCCCGCGAGGAGGGGTGGGCCAGAGCTGAGGGAGGTCTCCCATCCGAGGGGCTGAGCTTGCTGCCTTGGGCAGCACAGAAAGGGCTTCCGCGCTCCAACCAGCAAACACGCCAGCTAATTGTCCAGGACTGAGACCGTTTGAGAAAACGATGGTGAAATCGATCACAATGTTTCTTCTGAGGAAGTGAGCCAAAGGAACTTCGTCATATTTATCCATTCACAAACTCTTCTAAGAATGTAAGTTTAATCAAATTAGCAGATTTTCTATTCTTCTAATATGTTTCCTTTGTCAGTTAAGTTAGCTAACAAACGGCGTGAAAGTGGTTAACGTTTGCAGAATGATCGTTCCATGTACGTGATAACTCTATGCACATTTTCTGATTTAGCCTAAACAGTCTAGCCCTGAATCAGAAAGTAATAATCATTCCCTTCTTCCCACATGAAGCCCACAGAGCTCTGCCTGGGGTTGTCTGTGTGTGTATGTATGGGTGTGCACATGAATGTGTAGCTGTGTGTTCATAGTGTGCATGTGTGGGTGTGCACGTGTGTACACAAGTGCATATTTGGGTATGTATGAACGTGTGTGCATGCATAATGTGCATGAGTGTGCATGTGAATGTGTGCTTAGGGTGTGCATGGGCATGTACATATGTGGTTATGTGTACACATAGGGCATATGTAATTGTATGAGTGTGTGCATGTGTGTGTGTGTGTGTTACACGTGTTCATGTGAGAGTATGCACATGGGTGCATGTGTGTACATGCATGTGTGTGTGTGTGTGTGTGCAGAGCTTATTAAAATTATACATAAAAGTCCTACAAGTTTTTTTCACTTAATTTGTCCTGAAAGTGTTTCCTATGGACACATTTCATCAGCACAGATGGAACTCATCATTTTAAAAGCCATGTGTTGCTACATTGAAAAGATGAACAGTAATTCACATAGCTGCTATCCCCCTGACAGACACATAAGTTCCTCTCAAATTTTGGCTACAGCAAAAGTGTTAAAACTCATAAGTTAAAAATGCAAATCGAATTTATGATATATCATTTTACTATCAAGTTGGCAACATGTTTTAAAAATCATAATCGTGCTGGTGAGGATGTTGGAAAATAGGCACTCAGTCACCATTGGTAGCAATGAAAAAAGAGTTTCAATCATTGTGGAAGAAATTTGGCAAAACCTATCACTATTTGAAATGCCCCTGCTTTTTGGTCCATCATGGCCTCCTTGGTACTGACTCTGAGCTTAGATTCATGCCTGAAGCTGCTGTCCCAGCCTTGTCCCCTGACCTTCGGAGGGGACTCAGTAGAGGTCAAGCTGGTGATACCTGTCCACACGCCTAAAAGTTCAGGTTTGTGGAAACCATCTGGACTCAGGAACCAGAGCCTCGGTATTTAGGTGCTCGCTGCTTTGCATTTTATCTCAAACACAGCTTCTCCCTGGCAAGACGGCCGTTCAGGAGCTTGGCCTCCTGAGAAGTAGAACGGATTCAACCCACCTGCCCTTCAGTGGAGGGAAGAGGTGATACCATTAGGATGGCGCAGCCCCTCCCACCCACCTGTCAGGGCCTCCTGGAGGTCTGGGAGTGCCGGTGGCGGGGGCCCTCACTAAGATCCAGTGTCCCTTCCCATGCCGGTTCATGCCCGGGAGTGCTCCCCAAGCAAGGAGGCCAGTGTAGCTTCCTGAAGCCTCATGTCCCTTGGTGCCCCTCACTGAGCCATAGGCCCTGCCACTGTGGTCCCTTCATTCTACCTTTTTTTTTTTTCTTTTTTTGAGACAGAGTTTCACTCTTTCACCCAGGCGGGACTGCAGTGGTGTGATCTCAACTTCTGCCTACCAGGTTCAAACAATTCTGCTGCCCCAGCCTCCTGAGTAGCTGGAATTACAGGCACCCGCCACCAAGCCCGGGTAATTTTTGTATTTTTAGTAGAGACAGGATTTCACCATGTTGGCCAGGTTGGTCTCGAAATCCTGACCTCAGCTGACCTCCACCCACCTCGGCCTCCCCAGGCGTGAGCCAGCACGCCGTCCCATTCTACTCTCTTGAATAAGGCGCTTCACTGTCTGGAGGCTGCAGGGTGCGGTGGAGAGTCTCAGGAGACTTGCTGCTGCCTTATTCTGATGTGCAGGAAGAATGTGACTCAGTACTCAGTGTCTTATGAACCAAATGATCCACTTCCTAAGCCGTTTTGCAAAAGAAGCCTTCGAGTGATCTTCACCTTGGAGAGACCCAGAACTCATACCACGCTTGCACGGCAGGCTAGGGATCAGACTGCTCTGTCCATATACGGGGACAGGCAGATGTCATGATATGGTCCTCGGTGCTCTTTCTGGACTGCTCAGCAACAGGCCAGCTGGGATTGGGGTGCCTTCAGCCCAGCAGGGACTGGGGGCTGGGGGCATGGATCCCAGGCCTACTGATGCTGGCTGCTGAAATTCCCAGCACTCCCTTAGGGAGGGGGCATCCAGGCTCAGATGACTCCCACCCCAGCTCCTCATGTTCCCTGCTGATGAGTGCACTCAGCCCATGGAAAGGGAGAATGGCAGGGGACAGGTCCCCTCCTGGGGCATCCTCACTAAGATACCAAGAGAATGGAGCTTCCAGACCTCCCACTGCTGATTTCAGAATTAGCTTCCCCAGGCTGGCCAGTTTCTTATCCCAAACCCTGCACATTGCTGTGTGATTTGCCACGTCCCTAAATGGTTCATGCCCAGTAGCTCTCTGGGGACAGCAAATTGGTAGTCACCCACTGTGCTTTCCTCAGAGTCATCCACAGTACCCTTGGGGAAGGCCATTGCCCCAAGGAGAAGAGCGCATGAGACGTCGGGAGCCTTCCTAGAGGCAGAGGTCAGCCTCCCCACCTGCAGCGTATGAATGAGAAACAGGCCCAGGGCATCTTCTGACTTGCAGGGCATGAGTGTGAATTTTATGGGTCCACTTGGCTGTGCCACAGGATACCCAGATAG